>NC_000023.11:76704966-77007996 GCF_000001405.40 Homo sapiens | reverse complement strand
TGGATTAGATTGGTACATCATTTTTGGAAGTAGTTTGATGTTATCTATCAACATGTCTAAACATAAAGATTCAGATAAATAGAGATTCAGGTAAAGATTTACATACCTTCAAATAACATTATTTGTAAAAACAAAAATGGGAATAAAAAGAAAAATGCCCCAAAATAGGGGAACAAATATATTACGGATGGAAACAAGATGAGAGACTTACAAAACTATTAAAAAATATTTTAAAGAAAAGTTAATGACATGGGAAAATGTTCATGATTTAATTGAAATGAATCAGATTATGATATAGATAATAAAAATTAAAATATGCCAAAATCATTTATACAAAAGTAAATTAACCTGAAAATAAATAAGTTTATTCAAGATTAAAGTATATTTTATTTTATATGTCCTTAATTGTTAACCAGAAACTAGGGGGTCTAGGGGATACCCTTACCTGCTGTTTGGTAACCATCACTTTAACCTTACTCAATTAGGCATATTTTAGGAGGTGGGACAATGGGTTTTGTCAGAACGAGGATTTGGGTGTCACTCTCTCACTCCCCATCCCATGTCTTCCTTTGTCTCCCCTCTCCTCCCTCCCTTCCCTCCACATTTTGTAATGCAGAGAAAGGTAAGATTCATTAAGACTTGGGTGAAAAGAGTTAACATGGGCAGAATCCTGGAAGACTTCAAGAAGAAGGTGGAATTCAAACGGAGTCCTGAAGAATAGGTAAGGTTTTTCTAGGGGAAAAATATAGGTTAGATCATAACCTTTTTAGTTTCTACATGTCAATGATACTACCCTAGACTATAAAGGCAATGCCTTTGAGAGGTACTAAGAGTGGTTTTCCTTTGGGACAGCTGTATTTGGAATTTTCTAGTGCCTTTCCTCAGAGTTCAGGTAAGTTTTCATATTCTGAAGCTCTGATCTTGGGATCAATATAGGATAGATATAGAAAAATTTCAAGAATTCGACGTTGTTTTGATAAACCAAGTATGTAATATGGGGAGTGGATTAAGGTTGATGGGGTGGTGGGGTGGTATAGTGGCTGGGAGGTATTGGGGAGAAGAGAAAGGAACAAATATTTGTTGAGCCTGCTAATTGTTACCATGCTTATTTAATTTTACCAAATGTACCTAACAACCATATGAAGAAGGCAGTTACTTCAATTTTGAAGATAAGAAGTCACGAGGGCCTAATGGAGGCTGGGGTAGTGAAAGTGGTGAGGAGTAGATGTATGTGACTTATATTTTCAAAACAAAATTGAAAATAGCAGTGGCAGGTGTGGAGGGAATGTTAATTGGCTTAATTGTGATGTACAGAAAACCATTTTAGAAAACTAAACTCTGGTTAGTAACAGATTTCCTGCCAATGTTCAGAGGCTTTGAGCCTGGGTCATCTTGGGAGGATGGAAAGGCTATTAATGGAGGTGGGGACTTAAGAGGAAGAGTATGTTGGAGGGAAGATGATATTCCCTAATTCTTCAAAGCCTCTTCTGTGCTTGTCAGTTCACACTGCCCTTCTTATTGTGCTCTACCATATTGTATAGGCACTCCATATATGTAAATATTTACAAATGCATCTTTGGGAGGATACATAAGAAACTTTTAACAGTGATTGCCTCTAGAAAAGGGAACTTGGTGGGATTGGGAAGAACCCTTACTTTCATTTTGCATTTTTTGAACTATGTATCATATACATGTGTTACCTACTTAAAAAAAAGAATATTATAAAGCAGATGAAAAATAAAATAGAAAAACCTAATACCTCTCCAATACATTTCCATATTCTGCACTTTAATCACAAAATTCTTCTGCATCCTGTGCCCTTACTTGTCCATGAAACCCTTCCCTGACCATTCTAATTCATATCCTAGCCTTTCTGACTATTTGGTGTGGGAATGAATGGGAAGAAGGAAATGGGACTAGAAAGTTCAGACTATTCTTGCAGAAGATTAGTGGAGAAAGGAAGGATATTAGGTAATGTGAAACCTTGGAGTCCAGGGAGGTTTTCTAATTTAGGTCTTTCCTTATTTGTGACTAGGAGAGATATTTGCACCTGTCTAATAGGTGTAGGGGGAAAGACTGGAGAGAGGGGAGAGAAGTTGAAGACAAAGGAAATGGAGAGGTTGTAAACGGGTTTACCAAAACCTATCAGCCATGTTGGGATAGAGTTGCAAATGAATGTATTTCTAGAGAACTGCTCAGAAATGGTTCTGAAAGCCTGAAAAGCTCTCTGTAAGGAACCAGATTTCAGAACAGGCCTCTCTCTGGCCATTTCCTACAGCAACTCTTCACAATTAGTCCTTTTGGGTCTGCTGAGTTCTATCAAGCAATCATTCAACAAATGTTGAATGACCATTATGAGTAAAGTCACGGCACGGGACAGGGATTGTATGGCTTAATTAAATATACTGACTTGACATTCACAAAGGAAAGAAAGGTTCTGTGAGAAAAAGTTGCTTAAATATAGGTTTTGAGATGGATTCAAGTCCACAGAACCAATACAGTGCTTGGTTCCTAGTAGGTGTCCAGTAAGTGTTTGTGACATAATTTGTTTATTGAGGACCTCCTATCAATCAAGCACTGTGCTAGGCTCTGGGACTACATAGATAAGTTATTCAACATCCTACATTTTGAGGTACTTAGGCCTAGTGGTGGTTACAGTAGAGTGATTAATATTTTGACAAAGGTACAAACGGGTAGGAGAGGATCTACCCCAGAAACAGAACCAGATTTCAGTGTGTTGAGGGGTGAAAAGGAAAAGAGTAAGTGAAGATGGTGAATGTAAATGGTTCTTTAAAAGTTTTTAAACTGTTCTTAAACTGCTTTTAAAAAGCTTGGTTAGAAAGAAAAGGAGAGACAGGGCAACAAACAGAGAAAGAGATAAGGTGGAGGGACTGTTTCTTAAATGATGGGAGGTTTCAGCATATTGTTGTGCAGAGGACAAAGAACCATTGGAGAGGGAAGGAGTGAAGATTCGAAGTTAGGACAGTGATTGATGAAAAGAGATGTCTGAATATATAGGAAGAGATGGAAGAGAAAGTTGGCCAGGAACTCCTGAAGAAGTTATCATGTGGTGCCAATAACTCTCCTGAAGAAGGAAACCATAAATTTTCAGGTGGTACCAGGTCAAAATGTGGTTAAAACTAGAGAAAAGAAAATGGTTGCAATAATAGATTATAGAGCCTAGGCAAGTCAGAAAAAATAATTAGGATGGACTGATAAACTGACAGAAACCAGGAGCCCATAGAATAGGAGTAGTATGGGCAAGGAAGTAAAAGCCCTCACTGGAAAATAAAAGTAGCTGAAGAGTAGGGTATACGAATTTAAGATTTCAGAAGTAGAGCTGTTCTGGATGATGAAAAGACCCTGCATGGGCCATGGATGTGGATAAATGAAGTGTAGAAAAAGTCACTGGAATTGAGTCAAGCAAGTGAGGCTTTATGGTTAATCCCCATGGAAGCCCCTCTGTGATGGTACAAAGATTTGTACCAGAAGTCGAATGTTCAATTTATGTTTGTGAGAAACCAGGAAGTAAAGAGATGTCAGTGATGAGACTCTTTGGTAGGGAAATGCTAGTTGTCTTAGTTGTCATTCACCCACCCTCCCAAATAAAGAGACAGGTGAGAGAAGGTGTGCTGCATATCTGTGAACTTGGCTTCCCCTTCTCTAAGAGCTTCAAAGGGAATGAGATGGCAGACTCAGGCTGCTTAGGGAGTTTAATCTGTGAATGTGTAGTTCAGCCTGTCCTAGTGGTACCAGCTGCATGCAGATGTAGCCAGCAAGATAAGGCAGTTCAATGTCTGCGGCTAGCTGGAAACATGTAACTCCTCAGAAGTGGTGAGAGGTGTAGGAATGAAGAGGAACTGAATCACACAAAGGAGATGAAAACAACACGTCTGGGCTGAGTAATTCTGCAGAAAGTGTGGTGAGCTGGCGGTCTGTCCATGTATTTCCATGGTCTTTACAAGAATAGTAGTGAGTAATAACATATGAAACAGTTTATCACTGATGCTTTGAGATGAACATCAGGCAGAGAAGCCAAGTTTTCCATGTGTCTAGGAGAGCTTTTGAGGTACAATTTTGGCTACCAACTGGCTCCACAGTTTAGATCTTGGTGGGGAAAATATTCTAGAAGAAGAGTAGTGACAGCAACTCCCATCTTTGGAGGTACCTGTGAAGAAAACCCAGAGAAAATAGGGAATAGCTTCAGGAAGCCCTAAGCTGTCCTCTTTCACAATAGCAACAATAATAGTGATGATGACAACAGCTGAAACTTATGTAGCACTTACTCTATGCCAGGCACTGTTTTAAGCACTTTATTCATATTATTTCTTTCAGTGCTTAAAATAATCCTGTGAGGTAGGTACTAATATCCTAATTTTCCTAAGAGAACGATACTTTGTTACAATTCCCAGGATCCCCTCCTACTTACCCCTACCTACTATGGCTTGGCTTCTGAGTATGTAACATAGAGGTAGAGGCCAGTGGCCTGGCTGAATCTTTGAAGATGATTTTGGTCACATGGTAAAGACCATGCCACGGGAATCTGGTGTTGTTCTGAAGTAAACCTGACAGACAGAGAAGCCTTCACAAAGGTTTTATAAGATCCAAAATTATAATTATGGTGTGTGTGTGTTTCTAAATGTAGATTAGATTATCTCTGGTATCACAAAGTAACACAAGGAACTTTTAACAGTGTTTTCTTCTAGCAAAGTTAACTGACTTTCAAACTGTATATAGCCTTTTGAATATGTTAGAATTGTTTACCATGTGCATGCATTTCCCTTTCAAAATCTAAAACAAAACAAAAACCTCCAAACAAATGTTAAAAAAGAATAAATTTCCAAATAATCTTTTGAAAACTCCATTTCCTCATCTTCCCATTTTCCCCTGTCTCACTCCTATACTTATGACAGGACTTTGGATAGAGGAAAGAAACTTAGCAGGAGCGAAGCTTGCTGCTGCAATTTTTGCCATGTTTTCTGGGAAGTCATATTGCATCCTGTAACATTCCAAATAAGCCCATAACAAACCTCAAAAGTGTACATTCTCAATTTTATATTCCAAATAGTATAACATCGTGAATATGTCCATAACAAACCTCAATAGTGTACATTCTATACTTTATATTCCAAATAGAGAAACAGAGAGACTTTTGCAGCCATTTCTATCTATTTTTATTTGAATGGAGGTTATAACCAGGTTTGAATTCTAGTGAGTGTTTGCTTAACTGAAACATTCCATTCCAATTAGCCCGAGCGACTTAAAGCAAAGAAAACCATCAAGTAGAAGTCTGGCCTTTCAAAAGAATTTTCTGTACCCTTGGAATTCATTGCAAATTCTGTTTTAATATTAGACACACTTATGCTACATGCACTGGCTTAGTTTTGCCTGTGCTCCTTCATCTTTGCCAATACCATCTTGCATCTTCCCTTCAAGGTCATGTGCCAGTCCTCCTAACAGTGAAATTATTTTCCTGGTTCAACTTTCCCACACAGTCCAGAGCCTCTCTCTATTCCCAGCTCAAACTCTTCCTCTCATTTCTGTTTGTCTGAGGGAACCGTTTATTATAGTTAAGTTTCAAGGTGAATTAAAAAATCTCTAAGGTCACCTCCTGCTCTATAATCTCTGGTTCACTTGAAGGAACTATTTCACATTCCAAAGGCAAACCTCCCTCTATTGGTTCTCCTCTACCTTCCTTATGATTTATTGTCAAGGGTTGAATATACTTCTTTTTCCAGGGACAGCCCTGGGAATTCACACACCTTAAACCAAAGAAATGGATTGTTAACATTAACAGTGAAATGTCTAGTCTCAAAGAGGCTGATGTTCAGGTGGAAGCCTTCATAGTGTCCCTCACATCCATCCACCCTTGTAAACAGCTGTTCTTCCCCTGCCCTAAGTAAGGAATAGATCAAAAAAACAAAACTCCATCCTTCTTGTGGAGCCTCCCTTGATATTCCTCCACATCTCAATATTATCTTTGCACTTTTGAGGTTATCTGCTAAAGCAGGCTTGCTTGGTCTGGTTACTGTGTAGATTACAGCCACATTGTTAAAAAGGCCTCCAACACCTGGGCCATTTGAAGCCCTTGTGGGTTCTTCTGGCTCCAGGTCCCTGGTTGGGGATTTCATCTTATGTATTTGTACTGCCCCAAAACTAGTTGTTGCTGGCCTCAGAATCAGATTGAGAATTCTGGGAAAATTAAATCCTTATGCTTTGCCCTAAGGCAAAACACTCCCTTTTATTATCTTAAGTGCCCGATTTCCATTAATCGCTTTATTTTTCTGGGTGAAAATTAATACCATATTTAAGGAAGATAAAGTCACATGGTCTCCAGTACCAATATCAAACATTGAGTGCTACATAGTGGGAAGTAAGAGACAGGAAGAATAGCTCTGCTCTCTAAGGCTAAGGTCCTGGACCTGTAGCACTATTCCAACTTAGGCTAGGTTAGAAGAGATCCCTTGCTTGGAAAGTTGGAACACACGCACGCATGCACGTACACCCTTCCCCGACCCCCGCCCCCCACATAAAATTGTCTCAGGCTTCTCTTCTAAACAGATGACATGACAACAAAAGGGAGAAGTAGAGGGCTCTGGTAGGATCTGGAATGATGTCTTCTCCTCTTCTTAGTCCTAAGGGTGATCCAGCTATGTCCTAGCTCATAAAGTCTGCTTGGCCTTGGTGTCAACCTTAATTGACAGCAATGGCAAAAGCCCACAGATGACTGAGTCACATAATCAGAAAGATGCTCTAGAGGTTATTTAATTGACCCCATTCTTCTTTCCTCTGCCCTTAGCTCCCATGAAGGATTATACCTAAAACAAGCTCTTACCTGCAGAACTTGTCAGGAAAGGCTGTAGGATTATTATTTTCATTGCCACTCAGGGAAAGTGGAGTCCAAAAAAAGCAAAGTAATTGGCAACTCAGCTTTACTTGCCAGCCTGGCTGCACATGGGATTAGGTTTGGAATGTCAACTTTCCAGAAAACATACATGGACAGAGAGAAAACAAGAAGAGAGTGAGGACAGAATGGGGCCTTCAAATAAGCCATCCAAGTTGTGAAGCTTCTGGTGTCTCCCTGCTGCTTTCTATCTATAAGAAAATTTCACTTCTGACAAAGTCTCCCTCCCCAAGGTCTCTAGGCCCCCAATCACTTCTTACTCATGGTTCTCAGTAGATCTCTGAGCTTTGAGGCAAAAAGCTTGTGGATGAGTGCACACACATATGTCCACTTTGTAGGACACTTCTTCAGTCATAACCAGAGAAAGTAATTTTTAAAAAAAAATTCTTCTAAAAATTGGGATACATATGCAGAATGTGCAGGTTTATTAAATAGGTATATGTATGCCACGGTGGTTTGCTGCACCTATTGACCCATCCTCTAAGATCCCTCCCCTCGCCCCCCACCTCCTAACAGGCCTTGGTGTGTGTTATTCCCCTCTCTGTGACCATGTGTCCTCCATGTTCAACTCCCATTTATGAGTGAGAACATGCATTATTTGGTTTTCTTTTCCTGTGTTAGTTTGCTAAGGATGATGGCTTCCAGCAAGATCCATGTTCCTGCAAAGGGCATGATCTCATTCTTTTTTATGGCTGCATAGTATTCCATGGTGTGTATGTACCACATTTTCTTTATCCATTCTAACATTGATGTGCATTTGGGTTGGTTCCATGTCTTTGCTATTGTAAATAGTGCTGCAATATACATACATGTCTATGTGTCTTTATAGTAGAATGATTTACATTCCTTTGGGTATATGCCCAGTAATGGGATTGCTGGGTCAAATAATATTTCTGGTTCTAGATCCTTGAGGAATTGCCCCACTGTCTTCCACAATAGTTGAACTAATTTACATTCCCACCAACAGTGTAAAAGTGTTCCTTTTTCTCCACAGCCTCGCCAGCATCTCGTTTCCTAACTTTTTAATAATCGCCATTCTAACTAGCTGAGATGGTATATCATTGTGATTTTGATTTGCATTTCTCTGATGATCAGTGATGTTAAGCTTTTTTGTTCATGTTTTTCGGCTGTGATGCTAGTTTCCTTTGCTGTGCAGAAGCTCTTTAATTAGATCCCATTTGTCCCATTTTTCAATTTTGACTTTTGTTGCCATTGCTTTTGGCATGCCCTGTATGGTATTGCCTAGATTTTCTTCTAGGGTTTTTATGGTTTTGGGTTTTACATTTAAGTCTTTAATTCATCTTGAGTTAATTTTTCTATAAGGTGTAAGGAAGGGGTCCAGTTTCTGTTTTCTGAATATGGCTAGCCAGTTTTCCCAGCACCATTTACTGAATAGGAGATTCTTTCCTCATTGCTTGTTTTTGTCATGTTTGTCAAAGATCAGATGGCTTTAGAAGTGTGGTGTTATTTCTGGGATCTCTGTTCTGTTCCATTGGTCTATATGTCTGTTTTGGTACCAGTACCATGCTGTTTTGGTTACTGTAGACTTATAGTATAGTTTGAAGTCAGGTAGTGTGATGCCTCCAGCTTTGTTTTTTTGTTCTTCTTAGGATTGTCTTGGCTCTATGGGGACTTCTTAGATTCCGTATGAAATTTAAGGGAGATCTGGCAAGAAGGCCGAATAGGACAACTCCAGTCTGCATCTCCCAGCGAGACCAATGCAGAAGGAGGTGATTTCTGTATCTCCAACTGAGGTACCCGGTTCATCTCATTGGAACTGGTTAGGTAGTGGGTGCAGTCCACACAGGGTAAGCAGAAGTAGGGTGGGGCATTATTTCACCTGGGAAATTCAAGGGTCCATGGACCTCACTCCCCAAGCCAAGGGAAGTGTGAGGGACTGTGCTGTCTGGTTGAGATACTATACTTTTCCCATGGTTTTTGCAACCCACAGACCAGAAGATCCCCTCATGTGCCTACACCACCAGGGCCCTGGGTTTCAAGCACAAAACTGGGTGACTGTTTGGGCAGACACTGAGCTAGCTGCAGGAGTTTTTTTTGTTTTGTTTTTCCCCCAGTGGCACTTGGAACCCCAGTGAGACAGAACCATTCACTCCCCTGGAAAGGGGGCTGAAACCAGGGAGCCAAGTGGTCTTGCTCAGGAGGTCCCACTCCCACAGAGCCTAGCAAGCTAAGAACCACTGACTTGAAATTCTCTCTGCCAGCACAGCAGTCTGAACTTGACCTGGGGTAATCACTCTTAGTGGAGGGAGGGGCGTCCACCATTACTGAGGCTTGAGTAGGCGATTATCCCCCAACAGTGTTAAGAAGGCTGGGAAGTTCGGACCAGGTGGATCTCACCACAGTGCAGCAAAGGGGCCATGGACAGACTGCCTCTCTAGAGTCCTCCTCACTGGGCAAGGCATCTCTGAAAGAAAGGCAACAGCCCCAGTCAGGGGCTTATAGATAAAACTCCCATCTCCCTGGGACAGAGTAACTAGGGGAAGGTGCGGCTGTGGGCACAGCTTCAGCAGACTTAAACATTCCTGCCTGCGGGCTCTGAGGAGAACAGTGGATCTCTCAGTGCAACGCATGACCTCTGCTAAGGGACATACTCCCTCCTCAAGTGGATCCCTGACCCCTGTGCCTCCTGACTGGAAGACATCTCCCAGCAAGAGTTGACAGACACCTCATACAGAAGAGCTCTGGCTGGCATTGGGCAGGCGCTTCTCTGGGAGGAAGCTTCTAGAAGAAAGAGGAGGCAGTAATCTTTGCTGTTCTGCAGCCCCTGCTGGTGATAGCCAAGCAAACAGGGTCTGGAGTGGACCTCCAGCAAACTCCAGCAGAATAGGGGCCTGACTGTTAGAAGGAAAACTAACAAACAGAAAGCAATAACATCAACATCAACAAAAAGGACCCCCATACAAAAACCCCATCCAAGGAACATTAGCATCAAAGATCAAAGGTAGATAAACTCATGAAGCTGAGGAAAAACCAGCACAAAAATGCTGAAAATTCCCCAAACCAGAATGCCTCTTCTCCTTCAAATGATTGCAACTCCTCTCCAGCAAGGACACAAAACTGGATGGAGAATGAGTTTGATGAATTGACAGAAGTAGGCTTCAGAAGGTGGGTAATAACAAACTCCTCTGAGCTAAAGTAGCATGTTTTAACACAATTCAAGGAAGGTAAGAACCTTGATAAAAAGGTTCTTGTAACCTTTTTGAGAAAAAGTTTCCTGTAGGAACTGCTAGCTAGAATAACCAGTTTAGAGAAGAACATAAATGACCTGATGGAGCTGAAAAACACAGCATGAGAACTTCATGAAGCATACACAAATATCAATAGCTGAATCAATCAAGTGGAAGAAAGGATATCAGAGATTGAAGATCAACTTAACAATTTAAAGTGTGAAGACAAGATTAGAGAAAAAAGAATGAAATGGAATGAACAAAGCCTTCAAGAAATATGAGATGGTGTGAAAAGACCAAACTAACAATTGATTGGTGTACCTGAAAGTGACGGGGAGAATGAAACCAAGTTGGAAAATATACTTCAGGATATTATCCAACAGAAGTTCCCCAACTTAGCAAGACAGGCAAACAGTCAAATTCAGGAAATACAGAGAACACCACTAAGATACTTTTCAAGAATAGCAACCCCAAGACACATAATAGTCAGATTCTCCAAGGTTAAAACAAAGGAAAAAATGTTAAGGGCAGCCAGAGAGAAAGGTCAGATTATCTACAAAGGGAAGCGCAACAGACTAACAGCAGATCTCTCTGCAGAAACCCTACAAGCTAGAAGAGAGTGGGAGCCAATATTCAACATTCTTAAGGAAAAGAATTTTCAACCAAGATTTCATATCCAGCCAAACTAAGCTTCATAATGAGAGGTGACAGCGTGCTGGCAGTCCTCATAGCCCTCACTCACTCTTGGTGCCTCCTCTGCCTGGGCTCCCACTTTGGTGGCACTTGAGGAGCCCTTCAGCCCACCACTGCAGTGTGGGAGCCCCTTTCTGGGCTGGCCAAGGCCAGAGCCAGCTCCCTCAGCTTGCAGGGAGGTGTGAAGGGAGAGGCACGAGTGGGAACTGGGGCTGCGCATGGTGCTTGTGGGCCAGCTGGAATTCTGGGTGGGTGTGGGTTTGGCAGACCCCACACTCAGAGCAGCCCCAGGCAATGAGGGGCTTAGCACCCAGGCCAGCAGCTTCAGAGGGTGTACTGGGTCCCCCAGCAGTGCCAGCCCACTGGAACTGCGCTCGATTTCTTGGCGGGCCTTAGTTGCCTTCCCGCGGGGCAGGGCTCAGGACCTGCAGCCTGCCATGCCTGAGTCTCCCACTCCCTCTGTGGGCTCCTGTGTGGCCTGAGCCTCCCCGATGAGCACCACCCCCTGCTCCACAGCACCCAGTCCCATCCACAACCCAAGGTCTGAGGAGTGCGGGTGCATGGCACAAGACTGGCAGGCAGTTCCACCTGCAGCCCCAGTGCGGGATCCACTGGGTGAAGCCAGCTGGGCTCCTGAGTCTGGTGGGGACATGGAGAACCTTTATGTCTAGCTCAGGGATTGTAAATACACCAATCAGCACTCTGTATCTAGCTCAAGGTTTGTAAACACACCAATCAGCACCCTGTGTCTAGCTCAGGGTTTGTGAAAGCACCAATTGACACTCTGTATCTAGCTACTCTGGTGATGACATGGAGAACACTTATGTCTAGCTCAGGGATTGTAAATACACCAATCGGCACTCTGTATCTAGCTCAAGGTTTGTAAACACACCAATCAGCACCCTGTGACTAGCTCAGGGTTTGTGAATGCACCGATCGACACTCTGTATCTAGCTACTCTGGTGGGGCCTTGGAGAACCTTTTTGTCGACACTCTGTATCTAGCTAATCTGGTGGGGAGGTGGAGAACCTTTGTGTCAAGCTCAGGGATTGTAAATGCACCAATCAGCACCCTGTCAAAACAGACCACTCGGCTCTACCAATCAGCAGGATGTGGGTGGGGCCAGATAAGAGAATAAAAGCAGGCTGCCCGAGCCAGCAGTGGCAACCTGCTCGGGTCCCCTTCCACACTGTGGAAGCTTTGTTCTTTCTCTGTTTGCAATAAATCTTGCTGCTACTCAATCTTTGGGCCCACACTGCCTTTATGAGCTGTAACACTCACTGCGAAGGTCTGCAACTTCACTCCTAAAGCCAGTGAGACCACGAACCCACCGGGAGGAAAGAACAGCTCCAGATGCACCACCTTAAGAGCTGTAACACTCACCGCGAAGGTCTGCAGCTTCACTCCTGAGCCGGTGAGACCACGAACCCCACCAGAAGGAAGAAACTCCGAACGCATCCGAACATCAGAAGGAACAAACTCCAGACATGCCGCCTTTAAGAACTGTAACACTCACCGCGACGGTCCACGGCTTCATACTTGAAGTCAGTGAGACCAAGAACCCACCAATTCCGGACACAATAAGAGAAGGAGAAATAAAATCCTCTACAGACAATCAAACGCTGAGGGATTTTGTCACCATCAGGCCTGCCTTACAAGAGCTCCTGAAGGAAGCACTAAATATGGAAAGAAAAAACCAGTGCCAGCAACTGCAAAAACACACCAAAATAAAAAGACCAATGACACTATGAAGAGACTACATCAACTAATATGCAAAATAACCTGTTATTATCATGAAGACAGGAGAAAATTCACGCATAACAATATTAGCCTTAAATGTAAATGAGCTAAATGCCCCAATTAAAAGATACAGACTGGCAAATTGGATAAAGAGTCAAGACCCATCGGTGTACTGTATTCAGGAGACCAATCTCACGTACATAGGCTCAAAAGAAAGGGATTGAAGAATATTTACCGAGCAAATGGAAAGCAGAAAAAAGCAGGGGTTGCAATCCTAATCTCTGACAAAACAGATTTTAAACCAACAAAGATAAAAGAAGACAAAGAAGGGCATTACATGATGGTTAAAGAATCAATGCAATAAGAAGAGCTAACTATTCTACATATATATGCACCCAATACAGGAGCACCCAGATTCATAAAAAAAGTTCTTGGAGACCTACAAAGAGATTTAGATTCCCACACAATAATTGTTGGAGACTGTAACACTCTACTGTCAATATTAGACAGATCAACGAAACAGAAAATTAGCAAAGATATTCAGGTCTTTAACTCAGCTCTGGACCAAGCGGACCTAATAGAGATCTACAGAACTTGCCACCCCAAATCAACAGAATATACATTCTTCTAAGCACCACATCACACTTATTCTAAAATTGACCACATAATTGGAAGTAAAATGCTCCTCAGCAAATGCAAAAGAACGGAAATCATAACAAACAGTTTCTGAGACCACAGTGCAATCAAATTAGAACTCAAGATTAAGAAACTCACTCAAAACTGCACAACTACATGGAAATTGAACAACGTGCTCCTGAATGACTACTCAGTAACTAACGAAATTAAAACAGAAATAAAGAACTTCTTTGAAACCAATGAGAACCAAGAGACAACATGCCAGAATCTCTGGGACACAGCTAAAGCAGTGTTAAGAAGGAAATTTGTAGCACTTCATGCTCTCAACAGAAAGCTAGAAAAATCTAAATTCATCAACCTAGCAACACAATGAAAAGAACTAGAGATTCAAGAGCAACCAAATTCAAAAGGTAGCAGAAAATGGAAGCTATTTATGACAAACACATAGCCAATATCATACTGAGTGGGCAAAACCTGGAAGCATTCCCTGTGAAATCTGGCACAAGACAATGATGCCCTCTCTCACCATTCCTGTTCAACATAGTATTGGAAGTACTGTCCAGGGCAATTAGGCAAGATAAAGAAATAAAGCATATTGAAATAGAAAGAGAGAAGTCAAATTATCTCTGTTTGCAAATGACATGATTGTATATTTAGGAAAACCCACCATCTCACTCCAAAAACTTCTTAAGCTGATAAGCAACTTCAGCAAAGTCTCAGGATACAAAACCAATGTGCAAAAATCACGAGCATTCCTATACATCAATATTAGACAAACAGAGGGCCAAATCACGAGTGAGCTCCCATTCACAATTGCTACAAAGAGAATAAAGTACGTAGGAATACAACTTATAAAAAAAGTGAAGGACCTGTTCAAAGAAAACTACAAACCACTGCACAAGGAAATAAGAGAGGACACAAACAAATGAAAAAACATTCCATGCTCATGGATAGGAAGAACGGATAATGTGAAAATGGCCATGCCACCCAAAGTAATTTATAGATTCAATGCTATTCCCATGAATCTACTGTTGACTTTCTTCACACAATTAGAAAAACTATTTTAAATTTCATATGGAACCAAAAAAAGAGCCCGTATAGCCAAGACAATTCTAAGCAAAATTAACAAAGCTGGAGGCATCATGCTACCTGATTTCAAACAATACTACCAGACTACAATAACCAAAAAGGCATGGTACTGGCACTAATTAGATATAAAGACTAATGGAGCAGAGCAGAGGCCTCAGAAATAACACCACACATCTACAACCATTTGATATTTGACAAACCTGACAAAAACAAGCAATGGGGAAAGGGTTACCTATTTAATAAATGATGCTGGGAAAATTGGCTAGCCATATGCAGAAACAGAAACTGGCCCCTTCCTTACACATTATACAAAAATGAACTCAAGATGGATTAAAGACTTAAACATAAAACCTAGAGCCATAAAAACCCTGGAAGAAAACCTAGGCAATACCATTCAGGACATAGGCATGAGAAAAGACTTCATGATTAAAACTTCAAAAGCAATTGCAACAAAAGCCAAAATTTACAAATGGGATTTAATTAAACTGAAGAGCTTCTGCACAGCAAAAGAAACTATCGTCAGAGTCAATTGGCAACTTACAGAATGGGAGAATATTTTTGCAATCCATCTGACAATGGTGTACTATCCAGAATCTACAAGGAACTTCAACAAATGTACAAGAAAAAGACAACCTCATCAAAAAGTGGGTGAAGGGTATGAACAGACACTTCTCAAAAGAAGGCATTTATGCGGCCAGTAAACGTATGAAAAAAGCTCATCATTACTGATCATTAGAGAAATGCAAATCAAAACCACAATTAGATACCATCTCATGCCTATTAGAATGGCGATCATTACAAAGTCAGGAAACAATGGATGCTGGAGAAAATTTGGAGAAATAGGAACGCTTTTACTCTGTTGGTGAAAGTGTAAATTAGTTTAACCATTGTGGTAGACAGTGTGGTGATTCCTTAAGGATCTAGAACCAGAAATACCATTTGACCCAGCAATCTCTTTACTGGGTACCTACTCAATAAATTATAAATCATTCTACTATAAAGACACATACATATGTATGTTTACTGCAGCACTATTTACAATAGCAAAGACTTGGAACCAACCCAAATGACCATCGATGATAGACTGGATAAAGAAAATTTGTCACATATACACCATGGAATACTATACAGTCATAAAAAGAATGAGTTCATGTCCTTTGCAGGGACATGGATGAAGCTGGAAACCATCATTCTCAGCAAACTAACACAGGGACAGAAAATCAAACACTGCCTGTTCTCACTCATAAGTGAGAGTGGAACAAAGAGAACAAATGGACACAAGGAGTTGAACATCACACACCAGGGCCTGTCAGGGGGTGGGGGCCAAGGGGAGGGAGAGCATTAGGACAAATAACTAATGCATACGGAGCTTAAAACCTAGATGACAGGTTGATGGGTGTAGCAAACCACCATGGCACATGTATACCTATGTAACAAACCTGTACGTTCTGCATATGTATCCCAGAACTTAAAATTAAAAAAATAGAAATTTAAAATAGTCTTTTCTAATTCTGTGAAGAATGTCAATGGTAGTTTGATGGGAATAGCATTTAATCTGTAAATTACTTTGGGCAGTATGGTCAAAATATTGCATGAGGATGGAATATTTTTCCATTCGTTTGTGTCCTCTCTTATTTCCTTGAGTGGTGGTTTGTAGTTCTCCTTGAAGAGGCCCTTCACATCCCTTGTTAGCTGTGTTCCTAAGTATTTTAGTCTCTTTGTAGCTATTGTGAATTGGAGTTCATTCATGATTTGGCTCTCTCCTTGTCTATTGGTGGTGTAAAGGAATTCTTGTGATTTTTGCACATTGGTTTTGTATCCTGAGACTTTGCTGAAGTTGCTTATCAGTTCAATAAGTTTTGGACTGAGATGATGGGGTTTTCTAAATATAAAATAATGTCATCTGCAAACAGAGACAACTTGAATTCCTCTGTTCCTATTTGAATACCTTTATTTCTTTCTCTTGCCTGACTGCCCCGGCAAGAACTTCCAATCCTATATTGAATATGAGTATTGAGAGAAGACATCATTGTCTTGTACCGGTTTTCAAAAGGAATGCGTCCAGCTTTTATCCATTCAATGTGATATTGGCTGTGTGTTTGTCATAAATAGCTCTTATTATTTTGAGATATGTTTCATTAATACTTAGTTCATTGAGTTTTTTTTTTTTTAGATGGAGTCTCGTTCTGTTGCCCAGGCTGGAGTGCAGTGGTGTGATCTTGGCTCACTGCAAGCTCCGCCTCCTGGGTTCCTGCCATTCTCCTGCCTCAGCCTCCCAAGTAGCTGGGACTAGAGGCACCCGCCACCACGCCTGGCTAATTTTTTGTATTTTTTAGTAGAGATCGGGTTTCACCATGTTAGCCAAGATGGTCTTGATCTCCTGACCTCGTGATCCACCTGCCTCGGCTTCCCAAAGTGCTGGGATTACAGGCGTGAGCCACCACCCCCAGCCGAGAATTTTTAATATGAAGGAATGTTGAATTTGATTGAAGGCCCTTTTCTGCACCTATAGAGATAATCATGTGGTTTTTGTCTTTGGTTCTGTTTATGTGATGGATTACGTTTGATTTCAATATGTTGAACCATCCTTTTATCCCAGGAATGAAGCCAATTTGATCCTGATGGATAGGTTTTTTGATGTGCTGCTGGATTCAGTTTGCCAGTATTTTACTGAGGATTTCACATTGATGTTCATCAAGGATATTGGCCTGAAGTTTTCTTTTTTTGTTGTGTCTCTTCCCGGTTTTGTTATCAGGATGATGGTGGCTTCATAAAATGAATTAAGGAGCCTCTCCTTTTCAATTTTTTTGGGGTAGTTTCAGATGGAATGGTACCAGCTCCTCTTTGTATTTCTGGTAGAATTCAGATGTGAATCTGTCTGGTTCTGGGCTTTTTTTGGTTGGTAGGCTACTAATTACTGCCTGAATTTCAGAATTGTTATTCGTCTATGAAAGGATTCTACTTTTTCCTGGTTTAGTCTTGGTAGGTCGTATGCATCCAGGAATTTATCCATTTCTTCTGGATTTTCCATTTTATTTGTTTAGAGGTGTTTATAGTATTCTCAGATGGTCGTTTGTATTTCTGTGGGGTCAGTGATGATATCTGCTTTATCATTTTTTATTGTCTCTGTTTGATTCTTCTCTCTTCTTCTTCTTTATTAGTCTATCTAGTGATCTATTTTGTTAATTTTTCAAAAAACCAGCACCTAGATCCATTGATTTTTGAAGGGTTTTTCATGTCTTTATCTCCTTCAGTTCTTCTATGATCTTAGTTATTTCTTGTCTTCTGCTAGCTTTTGGATTAGTTTGCCCTTGCCTCTCTAGCTCTTTTATTTGTGATGTTACAGTGTCGATTTGAGATCTTCATTCTGATGTGGGCATTTAGTGCTATAAATTTTCCTCTTAACACTGCTTTAGCTGTGTCCCAGAGATTCTGGTAGGTTGTCTCTTTGTTCTCATTGGTTTCAAATAACTTCTTGATTTCTGCCTTAATTTCGTTATTTACCCAGGAGCCATTCAGGAGCAAGTTGTTCAATTTCCATTAAATTGTGTGGTTTTGAGTGAGTTTCTTAATCCCAAGTTCTAATTTGATTGTACTGTGGTCCGAGAGATTGTTTGCTATTATTTCAGTTCTTTTGCATTTGCTAAGGAACATTTTACTTCCAGTTATGTGTTGGATTTTATAATAAGTGCCATGTGGCACTGAGAAAAATGTATATTCTGTCGATTTGGGGTAGAGAGTTCTGTAAACGTCTTCTAGTTCCAGTTGATCCAGAGCTGAGTTCAAGTCCTGAATGTACTTGTTAATTTTCTGTCTTGTTGATCTGTCCAACACTGAGAGTGGGGTGTTAACATCTCTGGCTATTATTGTGTGGGAGTCTAAGTCTCTTTGTAGGCCTCCAAGAACTTGTTTTATGAGTCTGGGTGCACCTTTTTTGGGTGCATATATATTTAGAATAATTAGCTCTTCTTGCTGAATTGTTCCCTTTACCATTATGTAATTCTTTTTTTTCTCTTTTTTGTTCTTTGTTGGTTTAAAGTCTGTTTTATCAGAGACTAGGTTTGCAACCCCTGCTTTTTCATGTTTCCATTTGCTTGGTAAATTTTCCTCCTTCTCTTTATTTTGAGCCTGTGTGTGTCTTTGTATGTGAGATGGGTCTCCTGAGTTCAGCACACCAATGGGTCTTGACTCCTTATCCAAATTGCCAGTCTGTGTTTTTTAATTGGGGCATTTATCCCATTTATTTAAGGTTAGTACTATTATGTGTGAATTTTTTCCTGTCATCATGATGCTATTTATTTATTTTGCACACTAGTTGATGCAATTTCTTCATAGTGTCATTGGTCGTTATATTTTGGTGTGTTTTTGCAGGGGCTGTATTGGTTTTTCCTCTCCATATTTAGGGGCTCTTGCAGGGTAGGCCTGGTTGTAACAAAATTCCTCAGTCTTTGCTTGTCTGGAAAGCATTTTATTTATCCTTTACCTATGAAGCTTAGTTTGGCTGGATATAAACTTCTGGGTTGAAAATTCTTTTCTTTAAGAATGTTGAATATTGGCCCCCAATCTCTTCTGGATTGTAGAGTTTCTGCTGAGAAGTCCACTGTTAATCTAATGGGCTTCCCTTTGTAGGTAACCTGGCCTTTCTGTCTGGCTACCCTTAACAGTTTTTCCTTCATTTTGGCCTTAGAAAATCTGATGATTATGTGTCTCGGGGTTGAACTTCTCATGGAGTATCTTAATGGTGTTCTCTATGTTTCCTGAATTTGTATGTTGGCCTGTCTGGCTAGGCTGGGGAAGATATCCTGGACAATATCCTGAAGTATGTCTTCCAGCTTGTTTCCACTGTCCCCATCTCTTTCTGGTACTCTGATCAATCATAGGTCTGGTCGTTTTATGAATTTCCATATCTTTTGGAGGCTTTGTTCATTCCTTTTCATTCTTTTTTCTCTATTCTTGTCTGCATGTCTTATTTCAGTAAGGTGGTCTTCAAACTCTGATATCCTTTCTTCCACTTGGTCAGTTCAGCTGTTGATACTTGTGTATGCTTCACAAAGTTCTTGTGCTATGTTTTTCAGCCCCATAAGGTCATTTATATTCCTCTCTAAACTGGTTATTCTAGTTAGCAATTCCTTTAACCTTTTATCAAGGTTCTTAGCTTATTTGCATTGGGTTAGAACTTGCTCCTTTAGGTCAGTGTAATTTTTTATTGCTCATCTTCTGAAGCCTACTTCTGCCAATTTGTCCATCTGATTCTCCATCCAGTTCTGCACCCTTGATGGAAAGACACTGTGATAATTTGGAGAGAAGAGACACTTTGTTCTTTTGGATTTTCAGCATTTTTTCGTTGATTATTTCTCATCTTCCTGAGTTTTTTTTTATTTTTGGTCTTTGAGGCCGATGCTTGGATGAGGTTTTTGTTGGGGCCTTTTTTGCTGTTGTTGATGATGCTGTTACTGTAGCTTTCTGCTTGTTTCTTTTTTCTTGCAATAGTCAAGTCCCTCTTCTATAGGGCTGCTGCAGTTTGCTGGGGCTTCACTTCAGGCCCTATTCATCTGATTTGCTCCTGAGCCTGGAGATGTCACTCAAGGAGGCTGGAGAACAGCAAAGATGGTTGCCTGCTCCTTCTTCTGGGACCTCTGACCTCGAGGGGCACCAACCTTATGCCAGTAGGATTGCTCATGTGTAGAGTGTCTACAACCTCTGTTGGAAGATCTCAGCCAGTTTGATGGCATGGGGAGCAGGACCCATTTAACAAAGCACTTTGTCTCTTGGTGGAGAGTGTGCACTTCACTGGGGAGTAACCCATTCGTCTGGGCTTCCTGGATTCCTCAGAACTACCAGGAGGAGAGGCCGTCTGCTGGTCTGCAGAGACTGCAGCCACCTCTCCCACTAGGGGATCAGGCCTAGGGAGATCCAAATTCTGTCCCTGAGCCTCTGGCTGGAGTTATTAGAGATACTGCAGGGAAGCCCCACCCAATGAGGAAGGATGAGTCAGATTTAGGCCTGAAGAGGCACTCTGGCTGCAGACTGCACAATCAGTGTGTTGAGCTGTAGGGACAAGTCTTGGGACCAAGCACTCCAGCCCCTCTGGCTCCAGCAGGGGAGAAGCACAGCCTGGAGCTATAGAAATGGGTACTGCCCTTCCCCACTCCCAGGGAGCTTAGCGTGTTAGGCAGTTGTGAGTCCCAGTGCTGGCTGCTGCCCCTCCCCCAAGGAGCTCAAATAGCTTAGACAGCAGGCAGCCACAGTTGGTGCTGGTAACCCCTCCCCCGGGGAGTTCAATAGGTTTTAGCAGATTCCAGCTGGGAGGTTGTAAGAATCTGCACGTTCTGGGGTTGGGACGTTAGGCCCTGGTGGCATGGTTTTGCGAGTGGGTTCTTATGATCCATGGGTTGCACAATTTCATGGAAAAAGCACAGTTTTCCTGGCTTGGTAGCACGCTCACTCACTGCCTCCCTTGACTGTGGGGAAGGGGTTCCCCTTCCCTGTGTGGCTCTCAGGTGGGCCACCACACCACACTGTTCTGCCTTCTCTCCATGAGTCACATCAGCCTTCTAGTCAACTTTGATGAGAGAACCTGGATACCTTGGTTGCTGGTGAAGGATTCATATGCTTATTATGGTTTGTTTTGAAGGGAGCCTCTGAAAGCAGCTGCTTCTAGTCAGACATATTGGCCCGATGGAGGAGGTAATTTTAATGGGATGTTTCTATGTAAGCAGGGTATTAAATGTCTGATTACTGCTTTGGCATTCCAGCCAATTTTCAGTATAATGTCTATGGCTACTGGTAGAACAGAGTTGTCAAGGAAGGTAGAAGACCCTCAGAAGTTACCACATTAGGTCCTTTGATCATTCCTGGGAGGAAATACAGAGCTTTACAAGAGTGCTATGAAATCCAGTAGGCGACCAACAATATTGGCAGTCATGCTGAGAAGGGGGAATGAGGGTATATTTTTATTTTTGGATGTTTACTTTGTTTCACTAGGTATGCAGCATATACCAGTTATGCAGAATATATTTTAATATTGTCACAAGGAAAATGTCACGTAAAAAGAAAAAATATAAAAAGAATGTTGGTAAGGAGAAAATTATTTTAAAAACATAGGTGGAAAAGTAAAAGGATAAGAAAAAGGAAATGAGAAAATATTAAAGCAAACAAAGGAGAGAAAAGAGGAAGAGGAGGGAAAATGGAAGAAAAATGGAAACAAATAAGGAAACAAACAAATGTAAAAGAAGAGAAAGAAATACTTTTCAAAAGTTAGAGGAGTTGAAAAAATATAAGGAAGGGGGCATGTTAAAGGAACACAGGAGCTGACCTGAATGGAATCCCAATCTCAAAGCTGGACCAGTTGGAGCAGCAAAATAAATAATGTGGTACCGGATTCTAAATCATTTTTATAGATACTCTCCCAAAAGATGGATCTTAATCTCAGTCATCCTAAGCATGGAGCAGACTTAGTAACTTGATCCAAAAAGCACATCATGCAAAGGGGGAAAAGTAACTTTATAGTAAAGAAACTTGGCAAACACACCTCAGCCGAGTGATAAGATTAACATCAATAGTGATAAATCATGTCGATAGTATGTACTCTTGTTTTAATGTGATGAGAAGAGCACTTCACCTCTGTAGTTTTCCTCTCCAAAACACATTACCTCAGTGTAATTATGAGATAACCATTGGAAAAATCCCATTGTAAGGACATTCTATAAAACACTTGACTAGTACGCCTCAAAACTGTTAAGGTCATCAAAAACAAGGAAAGTCTGAGAAGCTCTCCAAACCAAGAGCAGTCTAAGGAAACATGACAACTAAATGTAATATGGTATCCTATATGAGATCCTGGAACAGAAAAAAAAATTAGTTAAAAACAAAAACAAAAAAATGAATAAAATATAGACTTTAATTAAAAATTGTGTATCAAAATTGGTTCATTAATTGTAACAAATACATTAAAGTAATCTCATACTAACCATACTAATGTAAGATGTTAATAATAAGGGAAACTGGGTGTTGAATATATGGGAACCCACTGTACTGTCTTTGCATCTTTTTTGTAAGTTTAAAACTATTCTAAAATAAAAATACTATTTAAAAATGAAAAGACAAAAAGTGAAAAATGACAGACAAATAAGAAGAGACAAAAGGATTTTAAAAATTAAAAAAATAGCATAGAAAAAGGGAAAATTTTTTTTTAATTTCATTTGATTATTATTATACTTTAAATTCTAGGGTACATGTGCACAATGTGCAGATTTGTTATATATGTATACATGTGCCATGCTGGTGTGCTGCACCCATTAACTCGTCATTTAGCATTAGGTATGTCTCCTAATGCTATCCCTCCCCCCTTCCCCCACCCCACAACAGTCCCCAGAGTATGATGTTCCCCTTCCTGTGTCCACGTGTTCTCATTGTTCAATTCCCATCTATAAGTGAGAACATGCGGTGTTTGGTTTTTCATCCTTGCGATAGTTTACTGAGAATGATGATTTCCAATTTCATCCATGTCCCTACAAAGGACATGAACTCATCATTTTTTATGGCTGCACAGTATTCCATGGTGTATATGTGCCACATTTTCTTTTTTTTTCTTTTTTTTTTAGTGAGCACCAGCAGCACCTGAATTTATTCAAAACACGAAGATATCATGAGATCGTACTGACATTCCCAGTTCAAACTTACCTGTATATGGATTTTATTTTATTTCTTTGGTTTTATAAAGGTATCTCTCTGTTTACACTAAAATTCTGACACCTTAGCAATATGCACATAATTAATGAACTTGCTTATTTTTTATATAAGACTTTTAAAATGTAATAAGACTTTCAAACAAAATTTAAGATTGCTTGGCATCACTACTTGTGCTTTGAAAGTGTTGATGAAGGATAGTCAGTGAAATAACTCTATTCACTATGTAATGACCTCACTTTGTTTCCAATTATCATTTATCTTGGGATTTTTAAATTTTACTTATTTATTTATTTATTTTTTAGTATTATACTTTAAGTTTTAGGGTACATGTGCACAATGTGCAGGTTAGTTACATATGTATACATGTGCCTTGCTGGTGCGCTGCACCCACTAACTCGTCATCTAGCATTAGGTATATCTCCCAATGCTATCCCTCCCCCCTTCCCCCACCCCACAACAGTCCCCAGAGTGTGATGTTCCCCTTCCTGTGTCCATGTGTTCTCATTGTTCAATTCCCACCTATGAGTGAGAATATGCAGTGTTTGGTTTTTTGTTCTTGTGATAGTTTACTGAGAATGATGATTTCCAATTTCATCCATGTCCCTACAAAGGACATGAACTCATCATTTTTTATGGCTGCATAGTATTCCATGGTGTATATATGCCACATTTTCTTAATCCAGTCTATCATTGTTGGACATTTGGGTTGGTTCCAAGTCTTTGCTATTGTGAATAATTCTTCAATAAACATACGTGTGCATGTGCCTTTATAGCAGCATGATTTATAGTCCTTTGGGTATATACCCAGTAATGGGATGGCTGGGTCAAATGGTATTTCTAGTTCTAGATCCCTGAGGAATCACCACACAGACTTCCACAATGGTTGAACTAGTTTACAGTCCCACCAACAGTGTAAAAGTGTTCCTATTTCTCCACATCCTCTCCAGCACCTGTTGTTTCCTGACTTTTTAATGATTGCCATTCTAACTGGTGTGAGATGGTATCTCATTGTGGTTTTGATTTGCATTTCTCTGATGGCCCATGATGGTGAGCATTTTTTCATGTGTTTTTTGGCTGCATAAATGTCTTCTTTTGAGAAGTGTCTGTTCATGTCCTTCGCCCACTTTTTGATGGGGTTGTTTGTTTTTTTCTTGTAAATTTGTTTGAGTTCATTGTAGATTCTGGATATTAGCCCTTTGTCAGATGAGTAGGTTGTGAAAATTTTCTCCCATTTTGTAGGTTGCCTGTTCACTCTGATGGTAGTTTCTTTTACTGTGCAGAAGCTCTTTAGTTTAATTAGATCCCATTTGTCAATTTTGGCTTTTGCTGCCATTGCTTTTGGTGTCTTAGACATGAAGTCCTTGCCTGTGCCTATGTCCTGAATGGTAATGCCTAGGTTTCCTTCTAGGGTTTCTATGGTTTTAGGTCTGACGTTTAAGTCTTTAATCCATCTCTAATTAATTTTTGTATAAGGTGTAAGAAAAGCATCCAGTTTCAGCTTTCTACATATGGCTAGCCAGTTTTCCCAGCACCATTTATTAAATAGGGAATCCTTTCCCCATTGCTTGTTTTTCTCAGGTTTGTCAAAGATCAGATAGTTGTAGATATGTGGTGTTATTTCTGAGGGCTCTGTTCTGTTCCATTGATCTATATCTCTGTTTTGGTACCAGTACTATGCTGTTTCAGTTACTGTAGACTTGTAGTATAGTTTGAAGTCAGGTAGCGTGATGCCTCCAGCTTTGTTCTTTTGGCTTAGGATTGACTTGGTGATGCGGGCTCTTTTTTGGTTCCATATGAACTTTAAAGTAGTTTTTTCCAATTCTGTGCAGAAAGTCATTGGTAGCTTGATGGGGATGGCATTGAATCTATAAATTCCCTCGGGCAGTATGGCCATTTTCACGATATTGATTCTTCCTACACATGAGCATGGAATGTTCTTCCATTTCTTTGTGTCCTCTTTGATTTCATTGAGCAGTGGTTTGTAGTTCTCCTTGAAGAGGTCATTCACGTCCCTTGTAAGTTGGATTCCTAGGTATTTTATTCTCTTTGAAGCAATTGTGAATGGGAGTTCACTCACGATTTGGCTCTCTGTTTGTCTGTTATTGGAGTATAGGAATGCTTGTGATTTTTGCACATTGACTTTGTATCCTGAGACTTTGCTGAAGTTGCCTATCAGCTTAAGGAGATTTTGGGCTGAGACAATGGGGTTTTCTAGATATACAATCATGTCATCTGCCAACAGGGACAATTTGACTTCCTCTTTTCCTGATTGAATACCCTTTATTTCCTTCTCCCGCCTCATTGCCCTGGCCAGAACTTCCAACACTGTGTTGAAAAGGAGTGGTGAGAGAGGGCATCACTCTCTTGTGCCAGTTTTCAAAGAGAATGCTTCCAGTTTCTGCCCATTCAGTATGATATTGGCTGTGGGCTTGTCATAGATAGCTCTTATTATTTTGAGATATGTCCCATCAATGCCTAATTTATTGAGAGTTTTTAGCATGAAGGGTTGTTGAATTTTGTCAAAGGCCTTTTCTGCGTCTGTTGAGATAATCATGTGGTTTTTGTCTTTGGCTCTGTTTATATGCTGGATTACATTTATTGATTTGTGTATATTGAACCAGCCTTGCATCCCAGGGATGAAGTCCACTTGATCATGGTGGATAAGCTTTTTGATGTGCTGCTGGATTTGGTTTGCCTGTATTTTATTGAGGATTTTTGCATCAATGTTCATCAAGGATATTGGTCTAAAATTCTCTTTTTTGGTTGTGTCTCTGCCCAGCTTTGGTATCAGCATGATGCTGGCCTCTTAAAATGAGTTAGGGAGGATTCCCTCTTTTTCTATTGATTGGAATAGTTTCAGAAAGAATGGTTCCAGTTCCTCCTTGTACCTCTGGTAGAATTCGGCTGTGAATCCATCTCGTCCTGGACTCTTTTTCGTTGGTAAGCTATTGATTATTGCCACAATTTCAGAGCCTGTTATTGGTCTATTCAGAGATTCAACTTCTTCCTGGTTTAGTCTTGGGAGGGTGTATGTGTCCAGGAATTTATCCATTTCTTCTAGATTTTCCTGTTTATTTGCGTAGAGCTGTTTGTAGTATTCTCTGATGGTAGTTTGTATTTCTGTGGGATTGGTGGTGATATCCCCTTTATCATTTTTTATTACATCTATTTGATTCTTCTCTCTTTTTTTCTTTATTAGTCTTGCTAGTGGTCTATCAATTTTGTTGATCTTTTCAAAAAACCAGTTCCTGGATTCATTAATTTTTTGAAGGGTTTTTTTTTGTCTCTATTTCCTTCAGTTCTGCTCTGGTTTTAGTTATTTCTTGCCTTCTGCTAGCTTTGGAATGTGTTTGCTCTTGCTTTTCTAGTTCTTGCAATTGTGATGTTAGGGTGTCAATTTCGGATCTTCCCTGCTTTCTCTTGTGGGCATTTAGTGCTATAAATTTCCCTCTACACACTGCTTTGAATGTGTCCCAGAGGTTCTGGTATGTTGTGTGTTTGTTCTCATTGGTTTCAAAGAACATCTTTATTTCTGCCTTCTTTTCGTTATGTACCCAGTAGTCATTCAGGAGCAGGTTGTTCAGTTTCCATGTAGTTGAGTGATTTTGAGTGAGTTTCTTAATCCTGAGTTCTAGTTTGATTGCACTGTGGTCTGAGGGACAGTTTGTTATAATTTCTTTTCTTTTACATTTGCTGAGGAGAGCTTTACTTCCAACTATGTGGTCAGTTTTGGAATAGGTGTGGTGTTGTGTTGAAATAAATCTATATTCTGTTGATTTGGGGTGGAGAGCTCTGTAGATGTCTATTAGGTCCACTTGGTGTAGAGCTGAGTTCAATTCCTGGGTGTCCTTGTTAACTTTCTGTCTCGTTGATCTGTCTAATGTTGACAGTGGAGTGTTGAAGTCTCCCACTATTATTGTGTGGGAGTCTAAGTCTCTTTGTAGGTCACTCAGGACTTGCTTTATGAATCTGGGTGCTCCTATATTGGATGCATGTATATTTAGAATAGTTATCTCTTCTTGTTGAATTTATTCCTTTACCATTATGTAGTGGTCTTCTTTGTCTCTTTTGATCTTTGTTGGTTTAAAGTCTGTTTTATCAGAGACTAGGATTGCAACCCCTGCCTTTTTTTGTTTTCCATTTGCTTGGTAGATCTTCCTCCATTCTTTTATTTTGAGCCCATATGTGTCTCTGCACGTGAGATTGGTTTCCTGAATATAGCACACTGATGGGTCTTGACTCTTTATCCAATTTGCTAGACTGTGTCTTTTAATTGGAGCATTTAGTCCACTTACATTTAAAGTTAATATTGTTATGTGTGAATTTGATCGTATCATTATGATTTTAGCTGGTTATTTTGGTCGTTAGTTGATGCAGTTTCTTCCTAGCCTCGATGGTCTTTACTATTTGGCATGATTTTGCAGTGGCTGGTACCGGTTGTTCCTTTCCATGTTTAGTGCTTCCTTCAGGAACTCTTTTAAGGCAGGCCTGGTGGTGACAAAATCTCTCAGCATTTGCTTGTCTGTAAAGTATTTTATTTCTCCTTCACTTATGAAGCTTAGTTTGGCTGGATATGAAATTCTGGGTTGAAAATTCTTTTCTTTAAGAATGTTGAATATTGGCCCCCACTCTCTTCTGGCTTGTAGAGTTTCTGCCAAGAGATCTGCTGTTAGTCTGATGGGCTTCCCTTTGAGGGTAACCCGACCTTTCTCTCTGGCTGCCCTTAACATTTTTTCCTTCATTTCAACTTTGGTGAATCTGACAATTATGTGTCTTGGAGTTGCTCTTCTTGAGGGTATCTTTGTGGCATTCTCTGTATTTTCTGAATCTAAATGTTGGCCTCCCTTACTAGATTGGGGAAGTGCTCCTGGATAATATCCTGTAGAGTGTTTTCCAACTTGGTTCCATTCTCCCCGTCACTTTCAGGTACACCAATCAGATGTAGATTTGGTCTTTTCACATAGTCCCATATTTCTTGGAGGCTTTGTTCATTTCTTGTTATTCTTTTTTCTCTAAACTTCCCTTCTCGCTTCATTTCATTCATTTAATCTTCCATCACTGATACCCTTTCTTCCAGTTGATCGCATCAGCTCCTGAGGCTTCTGCATTCTTCAAGTAGTTCTTGAGCCTTGGCTTTCAGCTCCATCAACTCCTTTAAGCACTTCTCTGTATTGGTTATTCTAGTTATACATTCGTCTAAATTTTTTTCAAAGTTTTAACTTCTTTGCCTTTAGTTTGAATTTCCTCCTGTAGCTCGGAGTAGTTTGATCATCTGAAGCCTTCTTCTCTCAACTTGTCAAAGTCATTCTCCATCCAGCTTTGTTCCATTTCTGATGAGGAACTGCATTCCTTTGGAGGAGGAGAGTTGCTCTGCTTTTTAGAGTTTCCAGTTTTTCTGCTCTGTTTTTTCCCCATCTTTGTGATTTTATCTACTTTTGGTCTTTGATGATGGTGATGTACAGATGGGTTTTTGGTGTGGATGTCCTTTCTGTTTGTTAGTTTTCCTTCTAACAGACAGGACTCTCAGCTGCAGGTCTGTTGGAGTTTGCTAGAGGTCCACTCCAGACCCTGTTTGCCTGGGCATCAGCAGTGGTGGCTGCAGAACAGTGGATTTTCGTGTACTGTGAATGGTGCTGTCTCATCGTTCCTCTGGATGTTTTGTCTCAGAGGAGTACCCGGCCGTGTGAGGTGTCACTCTGCTGCTACTGGGGGGTGCCTCCCAGTTAGGCTGCTCAGGGGTCAGTAGTCAGGGACCCACTTGAGGAGGCAGTCTGCCCGTTCTCAGATCTCCAGCTGCATGCTGGGAGAACCACTGCTCTCTTCAAAGCTGTCAGACAGGGACATTTAAGTCTGCAGAGGTTACTGCTGTCTTTTTGTTTGTCTGTACCCTGCCCCCAGAGGTGGAGCCTACAGAGGCAGGCAGGCCTCCTTGAGCTGTGGTGGGCTCCACCCAGTTTGAGCTTCCCAGCTGCATTGTTTACTTAAGCAAGCCTGGGCAATGGTGGGCGCCCCTCCCCTAGCCTGGCTGCCACCTTGCTGTTTGACCTCAGACTGCTGTGCTAGCAATCAGGGAGACTCCGTGGGCATAGGACCCTCCAAGGAAGGTGTGGGATATAATCTCCTGGTGCACCGTTTTTACAGCCCGTCCGAAAAGCACAGTATTATGGTGGGAGTGACCCGATTTTCCAGGTGCCGTCTGCCACCCATTTCTTGGACTAGGAAAGGGAACTCCCTGACCTCTTGCACTTCCCAAGTGAGGCAATGCTTCATCCTGCTTCGGCTCACGCATGGTGCACTGCACCCACTGTCCCTTGCCCACTGTCTGGCACTCCCTAGTGAGATGAACCTGGTACCTCAGATGGAAATGCAGAAATCACCTGTCTTCTGTGTCGCTCACGCTGTGAGCTGTAGACCAGAGCTGTTCGTCTTCGGCCATCTTGGCTCAGGAATCTTAAAGTCTTAAATTCTAAAAAAAATCTGAAAACTCCGAACAAAAACCCTAAAAAACAAGAAAAACAATTAAAACCCAAATAAAGAAAGAAAGCATGGATAATAAAAAATACAGAAAAGAAAAAAAAAAACAAGCAAACAAGAGGAAGAATTTCAAAAATGGAAAATATAAAATAAAAGCGCCAAACAAAAAAGAAACAAAACAAACACAAAACTCACACAACACACAAAACAACAAAGCAAAAAGAGAATCCCAAACTGCCAAATCCCAAATCACAAAAATTTAAAACAAATCCCTGAAAACAGAAAAGGGAGCTGTCCTAAAAACACAAAAACAACAACAAAAGAAAACATGGAGAAATGAGAGGAAGGAAAGGCAAAAGAATCATCATCAACAACAATAACAAAGAAAAAAAATACCCCAACACTAAAAAGGATAATAAGAAAAAAAATCCAATAGACTAAAAGCAGAAGAGAAAGAAAAAAAGAAGAAGAAAAGAAAAAGCAAAGGAAAGGGAAAAATTCAATACATTGTTTTAAAGTTTGGGAGAGATTAAAAATGATCTGCTTTCTTTGGGTAGGTGTATGGAGTGGGATAGAGGTACCCACAAAGTGTGACTGTCCACAGCACATGGCCTTTGGGAGCTGTTGGAAGGAACGCAAAGAGCATGTTATTGTAACATAGGCAGACAGCTATTTAAGTGGCTTATTACCACCATATTAGCTTTTTCCTATGTGAGTCCAGGAAGCTGATTGTTTTACCCTGAGACCCTGAGCTCTGTTTTATTATTTGAGGGTCTGAGAGATAAACATCTACTGATGTGCCAGATCCAAGATCTGTATTGGGCTTGTGCCTGTTCAGATAGAGATACTGGTTTCTTTTTCAAACGTTATTGTTATGAATAAAGGCAGTTTTCTAGTTGGTCCACTGCTAAGTGACTATGCAGTTCCTTCCTATACTCTGCTGAGTCAGGACCCTGACAGTTGCTAACCACCAACTAACCAGGAGCCAGGAGGCCGTCTTTGCCATCTGCTTTTAAATGATTCCTGCCCACCTAAAGGGGTAAAGAAATGGAGATTATCCCAAACAGTCAGAATCCCAAATAGCAGCAATCCCAAATAATGAAAGTTCCAAATAGCAGGAATCTCAAAAGCATTTGGGTTTGGCTTTATAACATATTATGTGGTGTTTTTGGTTAGTATTATTTGCTTTAACTTTAAAATTCTGTTCAGTTTAGGATGATGCTAAAATCCTTTTAGATAATCAGATTGAGTCTTGATTGAGTGGTGGAAGGTGGTGGTGACTAGGATGAAATATGTGTCTTAGATAATCCATAAGCAAAGTAGTCTCAACGAAGACCATTGAAAGTTTTATGATAATGATGATACCTGGGCATGCATTTTGATACACAAGTACACTCCTCTGGCGTTCGTCTAACTAGAAGTGGTAGCAACAGATAGCTACAGCAATAGGACTGTTGGGGCACTTATCTCCCACAAATCACATCAGTGGGTGGCCAGGAGCCAGAGACATTTATACTCCCAGTAATCTTGTAATCCTCTTGGTCCTGGAGCCTGATGTTTCTTTGGCCTGGCAGCTAGAATTGTGATGCTGCACACAAGCATCTAGACAGCACATACCACAATATCGTTGCCCAGCTGATGGGTCATACCCAGAAACTGAGTTAACATGCATACAGAGTAAACATGTGGGCTCAACGAAGGATTATGAGATCTAGAATGAAGTTCTAGGATTTATTCCTGGCTCAATCCCCTATGTACCATGTGATCTTGGGCAAGTCACTTAACCTCTCTAAGCTTCTTTTATACAATGTACTTACCTCACAGAAATTGGGTGTCTGTTGCTTTTTTCCTCAAGATGAAAATTTGAATTAAGCCACAAAGGATAAATATAAATAGGTAATGGAAGAGCTATTGCTTATTAAATTAGGGTATTACAATAATTTGAAGTTGCTATAACAAAAAATAGGTATTGATCACAAGCCAGTTTGTTTCTCCATGTTCTGTCATGTGCTTCTTTTCTTTTTTTGGTTTATCCTCCAGCCCACATCCCAGCTAAACCAGTGTGTTTCTCGAATCTATGGGCTCAAGTGATGCTCCCGCCTCAGCCTCCCAAATAGCTGGGACTACAGATGCACACAATCACACCTGGCTCAAACCAGTTTTTTTCTAGTGCATTGTTCACCATGTAACACTTTTAAGTGGCATATTCAGTGGGTTCAAAAACTCTTAAGGTCAGAAGAGAAATTGGGTTGAGTGGTGATATTCTGCCTAATGGCAGGAGATTGGACTAGACTAGTGATACAAGACTTATGGTTTTCACATGCCAAATATTTTCCAAAAAATATCAAGGTGTCATATAAGGCTGCTAATTTATTATTTTGCTAATTAAGGACATCATAAAGCAACAGCTACTCTCTGTGATTTTCATCATTTCAAAAAAGAAGTATTTTCACATCAAGAAATAAGAAAAGACATAGTCTCAAAATTAAAAATAGTCAAAAGTTTTTAACTTTTTAAAGCAATCACCACATAGTTCTTATTTTGCTCATTTTTCATTTGGACCAGTGAAAATTTCATTATGAATTGATATTTAGGAACCACCCAACTAGATTTGGGTTCTATTCTTCACTCTGCCACTAACTTACTGTGTAACATGTTTTGGCCATGTTTCTTCCTAATTTGGGGCCTCATTTTTCTCATCTCTACAATGGGACAATTAGGTTAAAGGAGATTTAAAGGTTTTTTTTTTTTTTCCAGCTCTAGTGTTCAGGATACTGTGACTTTTAGAGGTTTTTTTTAGTCCTTGGAATCTGAATTTGTGCTGGAAAAAAAGAGACTTTACTTATAATTACAGACCCCAAATCAAGTAGCAGGTGATTCACATTCCTGGCATGCACATTGCAGACAGCATTTGTATCAGCCATGATGCAAGACATCAGGATTTTTCCTTTTTATATTCTTTACATTTTGTGAGGGAGAGTTACTTCTTGGAGATCAAGTTGTCACTTCTCTAACATTCCCTATGATCATTTCTTTTACTGTTTTACTTCATGTTTACTCCAAAATCATACAAACCCAAAACCTCCAGGCCATCCTCTGGTGTGTGTGTGTGTCTGTTTGGGCTTGGTTGCTATAGAAAGATTTTTACTTCTTGTCTCTTTCCTCTCCCGTCTGCCCCAATCCCCTAATATGCACTTTCCACGAATCCTTCCCTATTTATTTTTTCTTTCTTTTTTTTCCCTTTAGACAGAAAGCGTGACCTCAGCTGTTGGCATGGTCCATAAATGGCATTATCTAAATTCTTGGCAAAATCTCAATTGGGGAATGCTGGGCTTCAGTTAGTTCTAGGTAGCTAGAGGGAATATAAAATTAATTAGCAACATAATTTTGGGCTTTACCTGCCCTGTAAAAGTGCACTAGTGTTTGTACTAGAAAGCATGTTCTGGCCAAAATCCTACCCTGCTGTTTTAAGAAGAATTGGAGTTTAAATGAGACATTTTGAGCAAAGTGGTCATTTTATTGGCAACCCCAGCTTCATTAGTCCTGGGCAAAAAATGCAAGAGTAAATTCAGGACTTTAAGGCTACTGTCTTGAAGTTAAAGAAGAGTTCATTCTGCACTTGTCTTAAGAGGCCCTAAATCTCCAAAGATGAAGTTCTGCTTCCTTGCCTCCAGTTCTGCCTCCAGTGTCTCTCTTCATAGATTGTTTTCTTGGCATCTGTTTATGTGATATCTGAAGAGTGGTTCACTGTAAAGAAAAAATAAACATGGTATTCATGAAGTAGCCCAAATTATAGTGCTTTTAAAAATTGAATTTATTTTAAAATAAGTGATACAGCCCAAAATCCAATTTTGAATTTAGTTCCTCCGGTTGTTGACTGTTAAGGATGATACATTGTTTTGTTTCTGGGAAGGCTTGAGCTGAGGCCATTTCCATGTGATCCACAGCTTGCCCATTCCCCTGCTTGCCTTCCCACTCCAGCCTTCTTCATTGCCCTAGCACTGGGCCTTCACAGCCTGGGGTAGAGGGAGTGTGGCACACTGTACTTCTGGATTCTTCCAGCTGTACTCTCACTGGGGAAAAATCAACTTTGAAGAAAAGCTGGGGACCTGCCAAAGAACTGAAAAGAGGTTATTAAAAATGGTATTTTTCAAACCACGAATGATGTTTTGCTAGCAGAGGGTAACAGGTTACTTGGAATCTGAACTGCTTTGGGTTTTGGATTAAATTGCAAAGTTGGCTGAGATTTCAGACCCCCAGGGTCCTGAGGGCTGAGGGCACAATTGAGAGCAGATTAGATGCTGGCTGCATCTATACAATACCAACCAGCTAGTTAAAAATGGATAATTCACTAGAATCTATTTCTTTAGTGTCATGAACACAAAAACATAAAGTTTGAGTTTAGCCTTGTTCTTTTTTTGATATAGTTTTATTTATTTGGGTTTATTTTACTAAATTCATAATAGAATATATTTTGAGTATGGAAATAGCCTGTATTTTTATTGTAAGGATCATATTGTTTACGTTTTCACTATATTACCCCTCCTATTTCTACCCCCAACAGTTTTTAGTGGTGATGATTCTATATTAAGGAAAAAAAAGAGTTATATAGATTCTTTAGTAGGTCACTATCTTATTCTACTCTCCCAATTGTTTTCCCTACTAAACTATGACAGTACCTGAAATTTTACAAATAGCATTTTAACCTTTTGTTCATTCAGGTACCTAAAGGAGTTTTGATTTTCAAGACTCTTCATTTTAATCTTTGTTTGTAGTTTATCTAGCTCTTTTGCATCATCTCTTCTGGATCATAGTTGATAACCCCACAGCATGAAAGAGCTTTCTGTCCTTGTGTCCTACTGTTAGGTTTTTAGAGGTGTTTCCTTCTATCTGTCCTCAAGAACTTTCCCAGCCTCATGTTCCATGATTCCCTTCCATTAGATCATTTGCTGTTCCCTTAACATGGTTGGATGCATTACCTGAGCTCTGAGCACTGGCTGTGGTGGTCTTGAGCTGTGTTCTCTGGGATACCTCCTGTTCATATGGTAAGGTTTGCTAGGTAAAATTCTTAGGGAAAAGCTTACCTTATTATCAGCTCATAAACTGGCATTTATGGCTTGGAAACCTGCAGTTTTGAGTTGTTCTTGCTTTGAGCATGACTACCTGGATTTTTGTTGTGGGCATAGTCTTGAATTGCCTACTCTTCTTTCTCCTTTCCAGGGCTAGGAGATCCCCAAGAGAAATGGCTTGGGGAAGCTATGGCCAAACCCTGTTGAGATGGATGGAGGTTGGGAATGGGGTGGACAATAACTTTCCGAGTATCTAATCCCATTTGAGTGTTTTCCAGATTCAGAATCCCAGAAGTTACTTAATCTCCTAGGCTGTTAGATATCTTCTAGTTAAACCTCCCCATTTTTATGATGAGGAAACCAAGGTTGGAGTAGGAATTTCACCAAGGTCACATAGCTTGCAAGTGAGAGAACTGGGATGAGAGCCTTGAACTGTGGAATATGTTGTCTAATGTTATAGTTATTAATAGTAATCAATGGTGCTAGAGTCATTCCCTGGCCATTTGAACTCCCAAGCAACTCTTTCCACTCTTCCTCCCATTCTACTTGATAAGAGAAATGCTAACTGACAAAATAGTAAGAACACAGAAAATACCAACACAGGTGTTAGAAATTTTTAGGTCTTGATAAGAGAAATGCTAACTGACAAAATAGTAAGAACACAGAAAATACCAAAACAGGTGTTATAACTTTTTAGGCCTTGATATTTCAGCTACATCATCTTAGGCCCTGCCCTGCCTCCCACAGCCCCCCTCCCCATAAGATATCTGAGGTGGGAGCTCTTTACTGTCCAGGGTAGTCCATGGAGGGAAGGTGAGAGAATTTTTCTGCCTCCAAGGAAGACCAATACTGGCTTAAGACCAGCTTTCCTGATTTTCTCCCAGGCGGACTCCACAATAGATGGGGGTAGGAGAGACGTAATTAGCCCAGACTGTTTTTATTTGGTCTCAGTTTAGGAGATCAGAGGTCCTGAAAGAGAATTGAAAACACTTCTTTCTTTGGATTCCTGGGGCTGTGTAGGGGGAGGTTGGGCCCCCACTTGGCACAGAGTTTGTTACAACATTCAAAAAAAGCTCCAATATTGTTGCCCAAGGCTGAATGGAAAGTTTTCCTTCCAGTCAGGGCCGACTCCTAAACTCCAAGCTTCTTAAGCCTCTGATTAGCAGACACCTGCCACCAAGGAGACCAGCAAACAATAAAGCTGTGAGGGGCTGCTCCTGATCAGCATTAACAGAGCCTGGATGGGAGGAGTAAAATGATGTGACACCTCTGCCTGATCCTGAAGGACACAAAAACTCAGCACATTTTGCTGAGATTTAAAAAATCTTTCTTTGAATCTGTTGAAAGTAGTGTTTTCTGTTTTTGACTCATTCACATATACTGAACTTATAAAAGTTTCACTTTCTCAAATGCCACTGTGTCCAAAGAGTTAACCCATGTCTTCCATTTTTCATTTAGGGTGAGAATGCTAACCATCTCACCTTTTATCATCTCTTATTCAAAATGTTTTAAAGAGACTAGAGGTAGAAAGATTGCTATATTACTAATGACCACTTCAGGTTAATTTTTAGCTTAAAAGAAGGTGTTTGAAGAAAGTTATGATGAATTCAAAGGAAAAAAGAATAATGACTCACAAACAGGAACTTCAGACATACTGGGATGACTAGAGCTTTTCTAGAACCCTCAGCAACTTGCCTGCATATGAGACTATCTCTGGAAATAAGCCTCCTTTCATCAGCATAAATAACTATTTAAAATATTAATGGTTATTATTTATACCCATGTACTTTCAAAACATATTTTGGATTGCTAAGAGTAAGGATTTTTATCTGATGGGAGGTCATTGCAAAGAGGCTCCTTCTGCAACTGGCCCTGATGAGGTATTTACCCAGAGCAAAGCACATTGGCCTAGTTGTCTTGGTGATAGACAACTTGGCAGCAAGAGCTGTCTGCACAGCTCTGAGGTGGGGTTGAGCTGTCTGTAATGTCTCCATTCAAGTTTGGCTAATTGAAATCAGGAAGAAAAATTAATGTAGAAAGAAGGCAAAAAAATTACATCTCCAGTCGAGTTTTGCATGCCTGTAAATATGCTGGGTTAAAAAAAAGGTTTGGGGAGTTCCTGTTCTGTCATTTTTACTATGTTATTATTATACCTGAGCTGGCACATTAGCCTCCATGACAGGATTAGCAGCTGTGGCAACATGCCAGTCTCCTAAGGACCGCAAATGAAGTTGAGCTGTGTCACTATCCATACTTCATCAGCATAGTATCTGAAGAAGAGAGAAAGTAAGAAACATGTCTCTGGAAGTGACTCTGCTAATATCCAGCTAATAATGTTATATATTTAGCCAGGAAAGCAAGCTCAGGCCCAAAGGAACCAAGACAGAGGCCCTTAACTTCAAGTCTATGAAACCCTAGAAATCATAAGCAAAAAAATTTTTGTGTGTATATGCATATGTGCATTTTTCTGGAGTCCTTAGCTTTGATCAGATTCTCTAAGGATGTGGAATCCTCAAAAAGTTAAGAACCACTGCTACATAGATTCAGATTTACAGGCTTTGATCCAGTTATTTCCTCCAGGTTTTTAAGTATCGAGTGACAGGAGAATGGTGGAATCTTATATATTCGTCATGTAGACCCATTAGCAAGACATGCTGTAGTTTATGATAGTTGAGTGTGGAGATTATTTAGCATTTTATTCGTTAAGTAAAATAAAAGCATAATATTAATCTTTATTCTTTCTTAGATATGCTGTAGTATATTATGTAGAGTAAGGGTTAAAGAAATATAAACACATATGTACACATTTAAAATTTTCTTATCTATTTTTGTTGCTATTTAATCCTGTCTTCATTGCTTTATCTCTTGCTTCCATGCAGTATTGAAAGGCTTGTATCCACTTCTCCCTTTTATAAAGTCACTGTGCATCTTTATGTAGCTGTTGACATTAGTGGAGTCTCATTTGATGACAGTTTTCATCCTGATGATGTTCTTAGTTATTACTAGTTAATCAATCTCTTTTATTCTGGTATTCTATGTTTTCCAGTTCAGCCACCATCTCCTACTACCAAAAATCTAAAGCAAGACATTTTGACTTTGTCATTTCAATGAAACTGTTCCAACTAGGAGCAGTTACTATTGTTTTAAACTTCTCAGTTTTTGTGTGTAGCACACAGCTCTATCTAACTCCAATACTATTTAGTAGAGTTTTTCACTTTCTCCTGTATTAATTTCTTGCTTTAAAAAAATTGACATGTCTTTTATAATTAGGAAAAAAGAAAATTTAAAATACATATATATTGAGACAACTAGGCTAACTTCTAGGGAGTTATCAATTAAGCTTTTGAAAACCCTCAATTAAAGGAGCAGTATGATAGCAAATATATGTATTTTACTGAGATGCCCGAGATTACTGTGAGACATTTAACTGAAGATTTCCTGTACAGTCTGGATCTCAGAATAGGATATTATAATGTGGCTTGAATATCTTATCTCTCCAACATCTCTGATGTTTAGGGAAAAATCAGAATATTTGAAGGGTATATTAAGATACATGTAAATTCTCAGAATGAGAAGATAGTTTACTGAGTATGATTGTTGGCCACTTATGAGGTGACCAAGGGTGGTCAACACACAATTCTTGGTAAATGAAAAGTATAAATATGCCAAATCCCCACTCTATCCCTGAACCTCTCCTTCTTATAAAGACTAGCATTATGGTGAGTCTTGGGAGTGGGGTAAGGTAAGGTGTTTTACACATTATAGGTAATTTATAAAACAGCTGAAAGTGTAATGACATTTTTTTTTTTTTTAGGCCTCATCAAAATGACTGGGTTAAGGTAACCGGGTCAAAAAGTTCTTGGTATCAGAATGATTGTATAGCAATCTGAATTGATGCTCAGCTCAAGTGCTGTCTCTTTCAGGGGACTTTCCAAGATATCCCGAGTCACAATTAACTGCTCTCCTTCTACTCTCATAGTCCTTATTCTGGTACTGCATTGCAGCACTTATTTTAGATTTCAGTACACTGTATGTACAACTGATTCTTCTTATTATTTCATAAGCTTTTTGAGAGCATTAACTATGTCTTAGTGTCTTAGTCATCATTGCTGGCTACAAAGTACCTTTTATTAATTAATTAATTTGGTTATCAAATATTATTAAATGCATATTTATGCCAGATATTCTAGTGCTGGGATCTTAAGATGAAAATACATAATTCTTGCCCTCAAAGAGCCTAGAGTTTGACATAGTAGGAGCTTAAGACATATTGAACTACTACATTTTTCTGGATTCTTCTATTATTTTTGCTTAGAATAGAAAAAGATAATTGTATAAGGAAGTTTCCATTTTTCTAATTCCTGTGTCCTTCTGAAGAACATGCCATTTTTCTTTTTTAATCATTTCAAATAAACACTTTTGAAATACAGAAGTTTCTTCACAGCTACTACATTTCTTCACAGCTACTACATTTCTTTTGGGTGCCTGCATGTGCCCTAAATTTAAAGCATTTAGTGTGAAATCTTATTATTTAAATCTTAACTGGAAATCATAATACACTGGAATGGGAGGTAGGTTAGAGTCAACAAAGAACATATTCTAGAGAATCTTTAAATGTTGCAGTGACTGTACCAGGTAGATATGTGGTATGTGTATGGTAGGAGGAAGGGGAAGTGAGTGTGTAAGATAATCTGATTAAGTCAAGTTGGGTCTCCAACTTTATGAAGTCTTCTGGAATTAATGAGAGGAGAGGTGAAGACTCCCTTGGTATCACATTATTGAAACAGAAAAATATTTCTACTAGTTCTATCTTACTGCTATGGTAAAGAGTATGACCTGAATGCATATATCTTAGTGGTTGTTCACATCTTTCATTTAATGTTTTGATCTCATTTGTGTATATATATATATTTTCCTATAACTATATATTTGGCTCAACTTAGACTATGAGCTACCAGTGAGCATGCCTAAGCCTATGTAAATTTTGGTCCAATACCCCTGTGTGGTAAGTTTCTTACTAAATGCTTTTTGGTGCTACTGATTATGCAGATAGTGATTTATGGAATGTTATATTAAGAATGAAAACTGATTAAAGTCTTTCTCACAGTGAAGTGGAAAAATCTGCATCAGTATTTTAATGTGTGAATAACACATCTAAAAATGTTCCCATGGTCCATCTTGAGTATATCATGTTAACAATAAGTTACTATTTGCGATTTTATTTTCCATAAATTATCTCTTAATTCAGGGGTTTCTCTGAGTTTGCTTTGGCTTGGCACATTTAACATATACCAGAAAAAAGGGCAAATTCTTATGTTACATGTGAGAATCTTTCAGGAGCTCTGTGCCCCCTCCCCCAAGTATTTCTGTCTATTCTTATCAGTTTATTTAATGGAGTGAATATAATCTGTTAAATATGCTTGCTTGATAGATTAAATAAATTGATAGAACTGACAAGTAGTTATACTGAATTAATTAGTTGTGAGGCAGAACTGACCTAGTAGACTGAATTATCTATTTGAATGAACTAGTATTTTGCATTGGCTAGCAGAACGTTTCCTTGACCAAATTGATTTAATTTTGTTAGATCGACTTGAAAAATTAATTCAACTGTTTGTATAACTAAATCAACTCTCTCGTTGCTAGAGACATCTAATTTGCTTAATTAAAATGGTTTATTTGATGGCCCATGTTAACCATAAGCAAAGTTGAAAAGAGTTGCAGAATTGGACGTATTCATCTTCTGGGACTGTAGAAGTTCAAAAGGAATGATTCTGAATTGAAAGTCTGAGTTTTGGGCTTGCAGTATGCCTCATATTTTCTATCTAGGCCTATTAACTCTTCCTAGAGAGGTCCATTGGACTGATGAATTGGAGTTTCAAGCTACACTCCTCTTTTGGGAGATTGCAGTTTTCCAAGAGCAATATGAGTTCTCTGTTGGGCACTGGCTCATTCCTGGAACCAGATGAAAAATTCAGAATTAGTTATTGGGAATTGTGTGTGATCTGAAGAAGCAACTGAAATCACTCATTTTAAAAATAACATTAGAAATAAATGTGTCAGAGGAGGGTAGAGAAAACACATACTAAAAATACACTTAGAATTTTCTGTAAGCATCATAAATTCTACTTTAACAGACTGCTGGAAATCAAGATGATGCTATCCTATCTGCTGGGAGATGAGTGACTGGTATGGGGATGAGGCAATCAGAATTATGCTGGCAGAGTGAACTCTCATCTTTGGATCTCATCTTTGGATTAGTTTTGGCAGAGGAAGCCGTTTGATGCATCCCTTTCCCTTTCCAGGTTTATTCTTCCAGCATTTAAAATAGGACTTAAATTTCTTTCATCTGTTTAAAATCACCCCTAGCTCCCACCCTGCCTTCAATTTACTTTTTTAAGTTCTCTTTTATTTTGAGACATGGCAAAAATCTTGTATCCCTGTGAGTCCGTGGCTTTATGATCAATAAGGGCTACTGATTGAACCTACCCTGTAAATTCAAATGTGTAAAGTCAAACACATTTACTTTCTGTGTACATCCCTTCCCGTTTCTTCTTGACTTCCTTTCCAGATCAAATTCTCTATGATATCTTCTTAACTGGACTTGGGAAAGTTTCATGATATACTCCTCACTGAGCTGGCTCAAGGGAGCTGGGCTACTCTATTTACAACTCTAAGAAGCAATAAACATAAAAAGTATGTGAAAGTTCTCCCCACCCTTTCATTCTTTGGAGCTGTTATGATTCAAGAGGGCTCTAACAATTGGTTTTCCCATCAGGCAGGAGGCCAGTGGGGCCAGAGAAGTTCAGTATGGATTTACTTGGAAACAGGTTTTGGGGAACCCCTTTATCACGCCTACTTGGGGGGAGTTGGCTCTCACATTTTTCATGGAAATATATAAACTTGGAACTGTCCCTGGTTACTGGAGCAAATTCACAGCTTCCAAATAAATAAAAATGTATTCAATCTTGATTACCAGGTGGCATACCTTAAGTGTTTGGAAAGTTCTCAAGAGTTGGCCATATATATTACATTTTAGGGTTGAGGATAGAATTTAGAGGCAAGTCCATCTCTGAGCATGCTAGGGTTTAGCTCTTAGGGCTTGGGCAGCCATCAGATATGTATAGCTGATATCTTTACTTGATGGATAATTTGACAGTCACTGCCACAATCAAGTTACAGATAACTGGAATAAAATGCCTAACATTTGTTGAGTATCTACTAAGTGCCAGGTAATATTCTAATTATTTTACATAAATTTACTCATTTATTCTTCAACACAACCCAAAGAAATAAGTACAATTATTATCTCTACTTTACAGATAAAGAAAGTGAGGAAAAGATAGTGCCTGATCGCAGGTGGCTGAGTCAAGATTTAAATCCAGCCAATCTGACTCTAGACTTAGTACAATTCATAGAAATTATTATTATAACTACCACTTTACATTGATAACATTTGCTTATTATAACACTTGTGCACATGGGTATTTATATATACCCTATCTCAGAGGTCCCTAACCTCTGGGCCATGAACTAAACTGGTACCGGTTCGTGGCCTGTTAGGAACTGGGCTGCACAGGAGGAGGTGAGTGGTGAGCGAGCAAGCATTACCATCTGAGCTCTGCCTCATGTCAGATCAGCCGCATTAGATTCTCACACGAGTGTGAACCCTATTGTGAACTGCACATGCAAGGGATCTGGGTTGTGTGCTCCTTATGAGAATCTAACTAATACTTGATGATCTGAGGTGGAACAATTTCATCCTGAACCCATTCCCCACTCCCTTGTCCGTGGAAAAATTGTCTTCCACGAAACTGGTCCTTGGTGCCAAAAAGGTTGGGGACCACTGCCCTATCTTATTCCAGAAAGTATATCAGCTTAGAACACTATGTCAGGTATAAAGTACAGGTGATATTATTTTTCTTTTATGAATAAAGACACAGGCATATATACATTCAAATAAATAGCAGGACTCCCAGGAAAAGAACCTGAGTTTACTAACTCATAAAGAGACATATGGAATTGTTTATTTGACAAATGTTTATAAGGGATGAAAATAATTAAATGTGTAGTAGCATTCCAGTGTCATTGGAGTGGTCTGGTACATAGATAATATTTTGTAAGTATTAGGACACGCTGTTTGGGGAACCGATGCCATACAGATAAATTAGACAAAATCTTTATCCTAAAAAAAACTTATGGTGTAGTCAGAGAGTTAACCATGGTTATAATAGTATAACTCATGATATGGTGAGAGATGAGGCAGGCAGAGAGCAAGTCATGGATGACTGTATACTATGCTTAAGAGATTCAGGATTTTGTCCCCAAAGCAATGCGGACCTATTTAACTAGGGCAGTAATCTGATTATATTTGTGGGAAAGTTTACTCTGATAGAAGTATAGAGAGTACATTGGAAAAAGATGAGATTAGAAGCTTTCAACCTTGACTAATTTTTGATTTTGTTTTATGTAGTTCATATATGTCTTCTATTTGCTAATTTTTTGATTCATTCAAACATTTCATTGGGTATCCACTATATTTGTTAGGTATAATGGAAATATAAATGTAAAGAACTGCCCTCAAAGATCCCACAACACACCTCGAGGGGCATTCATTATGGACATACATTTGACAATACAACCTCTGAAATGTTTAGTTGTCCTATAAACACCAAGCATACATTTGACAATACAACCTCTGAAATGTTTAGTTGTCCTATAAACACAGTGTTAGGAAAGCACAAATTGGAGTGTCAATAGGGTTATTGAATTGTAAGAGTTCCTTGAGGAAACATGACTGTGTCTTTTGATTTCCTGTATCCATTGAAAACAGCGTAGATTCACAGCTAAAACTAAATAAAAATGTGTTGTTGTTGTTGTTGTTATTCAGGGTCTAGTATTTCCACCAACAGTGAGCCCTATAGTGGCAGCTCAGGGCTTAGGTCTGTTACGCTTCCTTCTCATCTTAGTCAACTCTTTTCACCTCTTGGTAAAGTTATGTATATGAAATCATAAATAAAAATACTTTTATGGATCACCCTCCTCTTCCTAATGCAACATGCGTAGTAATTGGAAATATTCAGTAACACATTAGATAAGACCCTACTTTAGATACCCAAATTTAAGCCTTTTTTTTTTTTTTGGTTTTGAAAGCCTTGCTAGACAGGGTTTCATGCCACATAAACTCAGAACCATTGACACCCAAAAGAACAGGCTTTGAGAGTCAAGTTCCTTTTTTGTAATATCAAGATGATATCCAGTAGAGGAATTGCAGCTGGACACAGAGAGAACTAGATTCACTGATTTAGTAATAGCCCTTTGGGAAGTCTTTGGAGGACTTAGACTTCAAAGAAATCTGCTCAAAATTTATGCTGGAAGCTTTTCAGTCACATCTTGTACTGGAAAAAGACTGTTGGTTATGGACAACTGCTTTTGTTTTCCACTGATTCACAGGCATTCACAATAGGGCTGCAACTTGTGACTCCAGCTTGCCTTTAATTTATGGCCAAATAGTGATGACTGACCTTAAATATATTTTTCAAATGTTCAGATATGAACATTTTGTCATATCCTGGGTTTCCTTGCAAGATAATGAGGTTGGTAAAAATGCAGTAGGAGTGAACATCTGTGGCAGAGGTCAAGTTTGCTATTTTTTAAAATACTATTTTTCTTCTACATGTGTTTATCTGATTTCCCCAGCACCATTTGTTGAATAGAGTGTCTTCTCCCCAGTGCATGTTTTTGTCTGCATTGTTGAAGATCAGTTGGCAATAAGTATTTGACTTTCTGGGTTCTCTATTCTGTTTCATTGGTCTATATGTCTACATTTATACTAGTAACATGCTGTTTTGGTTACTATAGCTTGGTAGTATAATTTGAAGTCAGGTAATTTTAATGCCTCCAGATTTGTTCTTTTTACTTAGGATTAGTTTGGCAATTTGGGCTCTTTTTTCACTCTCTGTGAATTTTAGGGTCTTTTTTTTTCTAATTCTGTGAAAAACAGTGTTGGTATTTTGATGGAAATTGTATTGAATCTGTAGATTGCTTTGATCATTATGGTCATTTTCATGATATTGACTCTTTTAATCCATCTCTCACTACATGTAGAAATTAACCCAAGATGGATTGAAGACTTAAACTTTAAACCACAGAAATTCTAGAAGAAAATCTAGAAAAAACACTTCTGGACATTGCCACAGGCAAAGAATTTATAACGAAGTCCCCAAAAGCAAATGCAACAAAAACAGCAATAAATAAATGGGACCTAATTAAACTAAAAAGCTTCTGCACAGCAAAAGAAATAAAAAGAAGGTAAACAGACAACCTACAAAATGGGAGAAAATATCTGCAAACTATGCATCTGAAAGAGGATTAATATGCAGAATCTCAAACAAAGCAGCAAGAGAAATCAATCCCATTAAAAAACAGGCAAATGACATGAACAGACATTCCTCACAAGAAGATATACAAATGGCCAACAGACATATGAAAAAATACTCAATATAACTAATCATCAGGGAAATACAAATTAAAACCACAATGAGAAAACCACCTTACCTGAGCCAGAATGGCCATTATTAAACACCCAAAAACAATAAATGTTGGCATGAATGTGTTAATGAGGGAATGCTTATAAACTGCTAGTGGGAATAGAAATTAGTACAACCTTTATGGAAAACAGTATGGATAATTTTCAAAAAACTAAAAGTAAATCTACCTTTTGATTTAACAATCCCACTACTGGATATCTACTCAAAAGAAAAAAAAAGTCTTTATATAAAAAAGACACCTGCACACATATTTTTATTGCAGCACAATTCACAATTGGAAAGATATGGAATCAACCGAAGTTTCCATCAACTGAAGAGTGGATAAAGAAAATATGGTATATATACAGCATGGAATACTACTCATCCATAAAAAATAATCTAATAGTGTATTTTGCAGCAACTTGGATTGAATTGGAGGACATTATCCTAAGTGAAGTAACTCAGGAATAGAAAACTAAATACCTCATGTTCTTACTTATAAGTAGGAGATAAGCTATGAGTATGCAAAGGCATACGGACTGGTATAATGGACACTGGAGACACAGAAGGAGAGAAGGTGAGAGGAGGGTGAGTGATGAAAAACTTGTTGGGTACAATGTACACCATTCAGGTGATGGGGTTACTAAAATTCCAGATTTCATCACTGTACAATTTATCCATGTAATCAAAAACCACTTGTACCCCTAAAGCTAATGAAATTTTAAAAATATAAAAAAATATTATTTTAAGGCCCACTCTTAGCTGGGGAGCCTCAAGTGGTCAAATTGTGGTTGGTCTTTTCTGAATTAATTTATATTTAATTGAGGAGAAGTAGTTTCCATTTCTCATACATAATTATAAAAGGAAGTTTAGTTGGCTGACCGGAGCCCTTAGAAGCAGATATTTTTCTTCTTATTCTGTCTCACCACTTTTACTCATGTTGTACCTCAAATTTGGAATGCCATTTTATTCTCCTCTCAATTAATAAAAATCCTATTCATGCTTCAGGGCAGGATTCAATTTTGGCTTGATTATGAAGCCTTTCTTGGTCATTCTAAAACATGATGCTCTCTCCAAACCTGTGGAATCGATCGTACACATTACAGTATTTGCTTTAATCTTTAGGAAAAAAAACTTTTAAAGAAATTCCCCATTTATGGCATACCTACTATATGTGAGATTCTATGGGAAATATAAAACTGTCAACAGAGTCTTACAACATATACATGGGCATAGCTACTTATTTGGACTTGAGTCAAAACCATAATAATGGAGCAGCATAAATGTTTTAATTGTAGCTTCAACAAAGAGGTAGATGTTGATGGTGAAGCATGGGCGGTTTTGACCTGAGACTAGGTAAAGTGTGGAGTGAAGGGGATTCAAAACAAAGCAGGACAGACTTGAAAACTTGCTAGGACTAGGGATTCTAAGAGGAAGCTAAAGGGCACAGAGGTGAAAACAGATGGAAATGGAAAAAACAAGAACTTGTATGTTAAGGCAACTGATACTTCTGTGTCTACTCCAGCATGTAAAGCATTTGGAATTTATCATTCCCATCCTCATAATGAGGAAAGAAGAAGAAATGAAAAATCAGCAACTCTTCTCAGATGAATCAGAGAGCTGAGGTCACAGGGAAAACCACGATTCCCTAAATTGAGCACATAGGCAGCTAAAGAGAACCACAGCTTACTGAAGCAGAAGCTCAGGAGCAGAAATTACCACTGGAGCCAGTATCAGGGTAGAAAAACAAACTGTAATTGAAAAATTGCTGGAGGCATGGTGTGGACAAGCTTGATAGTAAAAACTCCAGAAGAGGGCAGTTTTAGAGGAGCCCTCACATTTTCATGAATTTTATCTCCAGGAGCCCTACTACGTTCTATAGTGAAGATCTGAGAATAGTCTTCTTGTGCTTTCTGCAAGTGGATGGGGGAAGTAGCTATCTTGAAATGCACCTGGAGCATTCTTCTCTCTGTGAAAAGGTCTGCCTGCAAAGGAAGCTATTCTACCAGAGACTAAATGGTTGGAGTTCTATGAGAGTCTAGCTGACCTGGGGGAAGGAAAATACCCAACTCCAGTCCCTTTATCCTTCCTGTCTTGCCTGAAGAAGAAAAAAGCTGAGAAGTGCTTGTGAAGGTCACAGTCCTGGGGCACAGGCTCATTAAAGGCTAAAGCCTAATTATAAGACTATAGAATACTTCCCACCATATCTGTAAGGTTCCTGTATAACAACAGGGGAGTATAACTGAAATAACTGCATGTCTCAGATCTTATTTGAGAAGTCTGTAGGAAAACCCAAAGGCAACTAAGAGGAATAATTTTAACCTTCAACATCTACAGCTATTGAAAACAGTAAACACAGTCTAATCTCTAGCCAGATAAACATAAAATCTCACACTAAAAGCTTATCTACCTCAGTTCCTTTTACCAACTACATCATGTCTAACTAACAAAAACAAAAAACTACAGAAGCATACAAAATGACAAAAAACACAGATTGAAGAGACAGGGTAAACACCAGATTCAAACTTAGATGTAACAAAGATGTTGAGATTATAGGGCTGGGAATTTAAATGAAATAGAATATGCTAAGGAATTTAATGGAAAAAGTGGATAACATGGAAGAACAGATAGGTAATATAAGCAGAGAGGTGGAAACTCTTGGAAATAATAAAAAGGAAATGGTAGAAATCAAAACCACTATAACAGAAATGAAGAAATATAGATAGACTCATTAATAGGACAGAGCAAAGAAAAAAAATAATGAGCTTGAAGAAATGTCAAGAGAGATGGCCAAAACTGAAATGAAGAGAAAATTAAAAACAAAAGAGGCAGAATGGAATACACAAGAACTGTGGAACAATTACAAAACGTGCAACATTTACATAATGCAAACATCAGAAGGATAAGAGAGAAACAGAAAAAATATTTCAAGTAATAATGGCTGGGGACTTTCCAAAACTAACGAAAGGCACCAAACCACAGATGTAGGGAGCTCAGTGAATACGAAGCAGGATAAATACAAAAAAAAAAAAAAAAATCAGTTTTTTAGGCAGATCGGAATCAAACTACAAAAAATCAAAGACAAAGGAAAAATCTTGAAATAATGAAATATTTAAAGTATTGAAAGAAAAAAAAACCCATGGACATAGAATTCTGCACCCAGTGAAATTACACTTCAAAACTGAAAAAGTACTTTCTTGGACAAACAAAAATGAAGGGAATTTGTCACCAGTTAACCTGCCTTGTGAGTGTGAGAAATGTTAAATAAGTTCTTCAGAAAGAGGGAAAATAATACAGGTCAGAAACTTGGATCTACATAAAGATAGGAAGAACATTAATAAAAGAATAAATGAAGGTAAAATAAGATTTATTTTTGTATTCTTAGTTTAGCTAATAAATAAATAGCAACATTGCAATTGAAGATTATATATTATGGGCCAAGCACAGTTGCTCATGCCTATAATCCCAGCACTTTGGTAGGCTGAGGCGGGTGGATCACAAGGTCAGGAGTTTAAGACCAGACTGACCAACATGGTGAAACCCTGTCTCTACCAAAAAAATTACAAAAATTAGCCAGTCATGGTGGCATGTGCCTGTAATCCCAGCTACTCAGGAGGCTGGGGCAGGAGTATCACTTGAACCTGGGAGGTGGAGGTTGCAGTGAGCCGGGATTGTGCCATTGCACTCCAACCTGGGCAACAGAGCGAGACTCTGTCTCAAAAAAAATTAAATTAAAATAAATAAATTGTTTAAGCTCTGTTATGCGATATTTGTACTACCCATGAAATGGTACAGTGTTATTTAAAAGTATACTTAGATTAGTTGTAAATGTATATTGTGAATTCTAGGGCAACAAATAAAATCAGTGAAAAAATAAGTATAACATATGCTAGGAAAAGAGATAGAAAGGAATCATATAAAGTGCTCATTTAAAACCAGAAAGAGCAGTAAAAAGGAGGAAAAAAAATAAAGAAAGGCAAAAGATAGAAAAACAGTAAAAAATGTGGTAGATATTAAACCAACAATATAAATAGTCACTTTGAATGTCAATAGTATAACTATCCCAAATAAAAGTCAGAGACTGTCAGAGTGGATAACAGAAGAAGACTCCAACTATATGTTATCTACAGGAAACCCACTTTATTTATAAATACACAGATAGATAAAAAGTAAAGGGATAGAGAAAGATACCATGCTACCACTAATCAAAAGAAAGCTGAATGGAGAGTGGGCAAGATGGCTGACTAGATGCAGCCAGGAGGAACATCTGCCACTGAGGAACCAGGATATCAGGACTGGTGCACTCCAACTTGATCTTTGGAGGCAAGGCATTGAGAGTGGACAGAGGGAGGACACAGATGCTGGGTTAAAGGGAGAGGAAGCTAAAAACCTTTCACGGGGCTACTGCACACCAGGACTCATTCCTAGCTCTCAATGTCTCCTGGGAAAAGGGTAAGTTGAACAGGCAAGGAGAGATATCCTGTCTCCACAGATCTCTGGAATCCTGGCAGCAGGAAATCCCATGACCCAATGGATACTCGAGCTGGCAGGCAAAGCTGCTTAGAGAGATGAGAGGGACAGGACTCTAACCTGTGAAGAGCTCAGGGGGTTTGTTGTGAGAACATTTGCAGTGGAGCATGGCCTGGGATGCCCATTTCTAAAGGCTCACCATGCTCCCCTAGGAGACTTTAGCCTTAGGGAAATGATTGGACTTGAGCAGAACAGGACAATCTTACCTGTAGGATGGGGTCAGTCCAACATCAGCACCCCCGTCTGCTGTTATTTTCCAGGGCCTCAGCCAAGCCATGCCTACTTGCAATGCATCCTCAGATGCCCAATGTCAGTGCCTCCTGGGGGCCCTGAACATAGATCCTGACTGGCAAACCACGCCTGACCTTCAGAGAGCTCCAGCAGAGTGACCGCCATCAATGCATAGCAGCTCACCTGTACCCTCCCCCTACTGAAGCCTCCCCTGTACCACTTTGCCAACACACATTCACGCATGGCCACCCCTCATTACTTTACTGGTGCATGAGCACATGGACCTCACTACTCCTCCCTGGATGGTGCATGTTCGCACATGCACCCCAGCACACAACTGCTGATGGTGTGAGGGCAGCACACCACCCCCTGCTGCACTGGCATTGTGAACCTGAATGCACACAGAAAGTCCAGTGCCCCCCAACCCTGTGCCACCACTGCTGCCAATGTGAACCCATGTATGAAGGCTAGTCCCATGTTGCCAAAGCCAATGGCATGAAGGCATGCATAGAGGCTGCCAGCCCTGCACTCACTAGCACCCTGTCCCAGTGCTGATGCTGCCACTTGGGTGAATGCATGCACAGAGACCACCAACAGTCCCACCACCCATACCATGACACCAATACTGCCTGTGTGAATGTGCAAACAGCAGCCATCAGTGGCCTTGGCCCCCCATGCCACCACTGTTGTCACCGTGAACATCACAGAATCTGGCAGCACTATGTTCACCAACACCCTGCTCCACCTGATGAGTGTGGACCCCACTGTGTTTCTACTGCTGGCATGTGTGAAAGATCACAGCCAGCATCTGATGAAGCACTTTGGCTGGCAGCACCCATTAGAGTGTTGTGGCCAGCAGTTGGAGACCACCATGGCCACTCCCCAAGAACAGCAGGTTTCTAATTTCAAGGGGCCAGAGAACAAAATGGTGGGCCTAAAAGCAGCCCCCTAGAGTGAGGTCACACAGCCCAGGTGTGCTGAACTGAGCCTTGGCCCCCTAAAATCTTTCAGAAATGAAGCCACTCAATGGAATCCATGTTATAACACAATAGAAACCCCAAGAACATAAAAGAAGATACAAAAAATAAAAAAGACAGCAAATTGAAAGATGAAAGGAACATCAGCCCACACAGATGAGAAAGAACCAGTGCAAAATTCTGGCAATTCTAAAATCCACAGAGTCTTCTTACCTCAAAATGACCACACTAGTTCCCCAGCAATGTTTCTTAACCAGGCTGAAATATCTGGAATGACAGAAATAGGATTCAGAATGTGTATAGGAACAAAGATCATTCAGGAAAAAGTAGAAACCCAATCCAAGGGTTCTAAGGAATAAAATAAAATGATACAGAGAATGAAAGATAAAATGGTCATCTTAAGAAGTAACTAAATTTATCTAATAGAACTGAAAAACTCACTTGAAGAGTTTCAGAATGCAATCAAAAGCATTAGCAACAGGATTAAGCAAGGTGAGAAATGAATCTCAGAGCTTGAAGACCAGTTCTCTGAAATAACTGTCAGAAAAAAAATGAAGAAAAAAGACTTAAATAAGAATGAAGAAAACCTCTGAAACATCCCTAAAAGAGAGTGAGAAAAAGTAAGCAACTTGGAAAACATGTATGAGAATATCGTCCATGAAAATTTAGCCAACCTGTCTAGAGAGGCCAGCTTCAAATTCAGAAAATGCAGAGACCCTCTGCAAAATACTTCACAAGACAGCCATCTGCAAGACACGTAGTCATCAAATTCTCCAAGGTAAAAATGTAAAAGGCAGTTAGAGAGAAGGGGCAAGGCATTTACAAAGGGAAACCCTTCAGGCTAACAGCATGCCTTTCAGCAGAAACCATACAAACCAGAAGATATTGGGGGACTATGTTCAACACTCTTATTTATTTATTTATTTATTTATTTGTAAATGTGTTTTTTAATTATATTTTAAATTCTAAGGCACATGTGCACAACGTGCAGGTTTGTTACATATGTATACGTGTGCCATGTTGGTGTGCTGCACCCGTTAAGTCGTCATTTACATTAGCTATATCTCCTAATGCTATTACTCCACCCTCCTCCACACCATGGCGGGCCCTGGTGTGTGATGTTCCTCACCCTGTGTCCAGGTGTTCTCATTGTTAAATTCCCACCTATGAATGAGAACATCTGGTGTTTGGTTTTCTGTCCTTGCCATAGTTTGCTCAGAATGATGGTTTCCAGCTTCATTCATCTCCCTACAGAAACAAGAACTCATCTTTTTTAAGGCCGCATAGTATTCCATGGTGTATATGTGCCACATTTTCTTAATCCAGTCTATAATTGATGGACATTTGCGTTCGTTCCAAGTCTTTGCTATAGTGAATAGTGCCACAATAAACATACGTGTGCATGTGTCTTTCTGGTAGCATGATTTATAATCCTTTGGGTATATACCCAGTAATGGGATGGCTGGCTCAAATGGTATTTCTAGTTCTAGATCCTTGAGGAATCACCACACAGTCTTCCACAATGGTTGAACTAGTTTACAGTCCCATCAACAGTGTAAAGGTATTCCTATTTCTCCACATCCACTCCAGCACCTGTTGTTTCCTGACTTTTTAATGATCGCCATTCTAACTGGTGTGAGATGGTATCTCATTGTGGTTTTGATTTGCATTTGTCTGATGGCCAGTGATGATGAGCATTTTTTCATGTGTCTTTTGGCTGCATAAATTGTCTTCTTTTGAGAAGTGTCTGTTCATATCCTTTGCCCACTTTTTGATGGGGTTGTTTGATTTTTTCTTGTAAATTTGTTTAATTTCTTTGTAGATTCTGGATATTAGCCCTTTGTCAGACGGGCAGATTGTAAAAATTTTCTCCCATTCTGTAGGTTGCCTGTTCCCTCTGATGGTAGTTTCTTTTGCTGTGCAGAAGCTCTTTAGTTTAATTAAATCCCATTTGTCAATTTTGGCTTTTGTTGCCATTGATCTTGGTGTTTTAGATATGAAGTCCTTGCCCATGCCTATGTCCTGAATGGTATTGCCTTGGTTTTCTTCTAGGGTTTTTATGGTTTTAGGTCTAACATGTAAGTCTTTAATCCATCTTGAATTAATTGTTGTATAAGGTGTAAGGAAGGGATCCAGTTTGAGATTTCTACATATGGCTAGCCAGTTTTCCCAGCACCATTTATTAAATAGGGAATCCTTTCCCCATTGCTTGTTTTTCTCAGGTTTGTCAAAGATCAGATTGTTGTAGATGTGTGGTGTTATTTCTGAGGGCTCTCTTCTGTTCCATTGGTCTACATCTCTGCTTTGGTACCAGTACCATGCTGTTTTGGTTACTGTAGCCTTGTAGTATAGTTTGAAGGCAGGTAGCATGATGCCTCCAGCTTTGTTCTTTTGGCTTAGGATTGTCTTGACAATGCAAGATCTTTTTTGATTCCATATGAACTTTAAAGTAGTTTTTTCCAGTTCTGTGAAGAAAGTCATTCGTAGCTTGATGGGGATGGCATTTAATCTATAAATTACCTTGGGCAGTATGGCCATTTTCACGATATTGTTTCTTCCTATCCATGAGCATGGAATGTTCTTCCATTTGTTTGTGCCCTCTTTTATTTCATTGAGCAGTGGTTTGTAGTTCTCCTTGAAGAGGTCCGTCACATCCCTTGTAAGTTGGATTCCTAGGTATTTTATTCTCTTTGAAGCAATTGTGAATGGGAGTTCACCCATGATTTGGCTCTTTGTTTGTCTGTTACTGGTGTAAATGAATGCTTGTGATTTTTGCACATTGATTTTGTATCCTGAGACTTTGCTGAAGTTGCTTATCAGCTTAAGGAGATTTTGGGCTGAGACAATGGGGTTTTCTAGATATACAATCATGTCATCTGCAAACAGGGACAATTTGACTTCCTCTTTTCCTAATTGAATACACTTTGTTTTTTCTCCTGCCTAATTGCCCTGGCCAGAATTTCCAACACTATGTTGAATAGGAGTGGTGAGAGAGGGCATCCCGGTCTTGTGCCAGTTTTCAAAGGGAATGCTTCCAGTTTTTGCCCATTCAGTATGATATTGGCTGTGGGTTTGTCATAAATAGCTCTTATTATTTTGAGATACATCACATCAATACCTAGTTTATTGAGAGTTTTTAGCATGAAGGGCTGCTGAATTTTGTCAAAGGCCTTTTCTGCATCTATTGAGATAATCAGGTCTTTGGTTCTGCTTATATGATCGATTGCGTTTATTGATTTGTGTATGTTGAAGCAGCCTTGCATCCCAGGGATGAAGCTAACCTGATCGTTGTAGATAAGCTTTTGATGTGCTGCTGGATTTGGTTTGCCTGTATTTTATTGAGGATTTTTGCATTGATGTTCATCAGGTATATTGGTCTAAAATTCTATTTTTTGTGTGTATGTCTCCGCCAGGCTTTGGTATCAGGATGATGCTGGCCTCATAAAATGAGATAGGGAGGATTCCCTCTTTTTCTATTGATTGGAATAGTTTCAGAAGGAATGCTACCAGCTCCTCTTTTTACCTCTGGTAATATTCAGCTGTGATTCTGTCTGGTCCTGGGCTTTCTTTGGTTAGTAGGCTATTAATTATTGCCTCAATTTCAGAGCCTGTTATTGGTCTATTAAGGGATTCAAATTCTTTCTGTTTTAGTCTTGAGAGGGTGTATGTGTCCAGGAATTTATCCAGTTCTTCTAGATTTTCTAGTTTATTTGCATAGAGGTGTTTATAGTATTCTCTGATGGTAGTTTTATTTCTGTGGGATAGGTAGTGATATCCCCTTTATCATTTTTTATTGGGTCTATTTCATTCTTCTCTCTTTTCTTCTTTATTGGTCTTGCTAGTGGTCTATCAATTTTGTTATATTTTCAAGAAACCAGCTCCTGGGTTCATTGATTTTTTGAAGGTTTTTTTTGTGTCTCTATCTCCTTCATTTCTGCTCTGATCTTAGTTATTTCTTGCCTTCTGCCAGCTTTTGAATGTGTTTCCTCTTGCTTCTCTAGTTATTTTAATTGTGATGTTAGGGTGTCAATTTTAGATCTTTCCTACTTTCTCTTGTGGGCATTTAGTTCTATAAATTTCCCTCTACACACTGCTTTAGATGTGTCTCAGAGATTATGGTATGTTGTGTCTTTTTTCTCATTGGTTTCAAATAGCATCTTTATTTCTGCCTTCATTTCGTTATGTACCCAATAGTCATCCAGGAGCATGTTGTTCAGTTTCCATGTAGTTGAGCAGTTTTGAGTGTGTTTCTTAATCTTGAGTTCTAGTTTGATTGCACTGTGGTCTGAAGACAGTTTGTTATAATTTCTGTTCTTTTACATTTGTTGAGGACTGCTTTACTTCCAACTATGTGGTCAATTTTGGAATAAGTGTGATGTGGTGCTGAGAAGAATGTATATTTTGTTGATTTGGGGTGGAGAGTTCTGTAGATGTCTATTAGGTCTTCTTGATGCAGGGCTGAGTTCAATCCCTGGATATCCTTGTTAACTTTCTGCCTTGTTGATCTGTCTAATGTTGACAGTGGGGTGTTAAAGTCTTCCATTGTTGTGTGGGACTCTAAGTCTCTTTGTAGGTCTCTAAGGGCTTGCTTTTTTGAATCTGGGTGCTCCTGTATTGGGTGCATATATATGTTTAGGATAGTCAGCTCTTCTTGTTGAATAGATCCCTTTATCATTATGTAATGGCCTTCTTTGTCTCTTTTGATCTTTGTTGGTTTAAAGTCTGTTTTATCAGAGACTAGGATTGCCACCCTGCTTTTTTTTTGTTTTCCATTTGCTTGGTAGATCTTCCTCCATCCCTTTATTTTGAGCCTGTGTGTGTCTCTGCACATGGGATGGGTTTCCTGAATACAGCACACTGATGGGTCTTGACTCTTTATCCAGTTTTCCAGTCTGTGTCTTTTAATTGGAGCATTTAGCCCATTTACATTTAAGGTTAATATTATTATGTGTGAATTTGGTCCTGTCATTATGATGTTAGCTGGTGATTTTGCTTATTAGTGCCTGCAGTTTCTTCCTAGCATTGATGGACTTTACAATTTGGCATGCTTTGCAGTGGCTGGTATCAGTTGTTCCTTTCCATGTTTAGTTAGTCTGTTGGGCTGTTAGTCTGATGGGCTTCCCTTTGTAGGTAACCTGACCTTTCTCTCTGGCTGCCCTTAACATTTTTTCTTTCATTTCAACTTTGTGGAATCTGACAATTATGTGTCTTGGAGTTGCTCTTCTTGAGGAGTATCTTTGTGGGGTTCTCTGTATTTTCTGAATTTCAATGTTGGCCTGCCTTGCAGGTTGGGGAAGTTCTCCTGGATACTTCCTGAAGAGTGTTTTCCAACTTGTTTCCATTCTCCCGATCACTTTCAGGTACACCAATCAGACCTAGATTTGGTCTTTTCACATAATCCCACATTTCTTGGAGGCTTTGTTCATTCTTTTTACTCTTTTTTCTCTAAACTTCTCTTCTTGCTTCATTCCATTCATTTGATCTTCAAGCACTGATACACTTTCTTCCACTTGATCAAATCAGCTACTGAAGCTCGTGCATGTGTCACGTAGTTCTCGTGCCATGGTTTTCAGCTCCATCAAGTCATTGAAAGTCTTCTCTATGCTGTTTATTCTAGTCAGTCATTCATCTAATCTTTTTTCAAGGTTTTTAGCTTCTTTGCAATGGGTTCGAACATCCTCCTTTAGCTCAGAGAAGTTTGTTATTACCGATCGTCTGAAGCCTTCTTCTCTCAACTCATCAAAGTCCTTCTCCATCCAGCTTTGTTCCATTACTGGCGAGGAGCTGCACTACTTTTGAGGAGAAGAGGCACTCTGGTTTTTAGAATTTTCAGCTGTTCTGCTCTGTTTTCTCCCCATCTTTGTGGTTTTATCCACCTTGGTCCTTGATGATGGTGATGTACAGATGGGGTTTTGGTGTGGATGTCCTTTCTGTTTGTTAGTTTTCCTTCTAACAGTCAGGACCCTCAGCTGCATGTCTGTTGGAGTTTGCTGGAAGTCCACTCCAGATCCCATTTGCCTGAGTTGCACCAGCAGGGGCTGCAGGACAGCAAATATTGCTGCCTGATCCTTCCTCTGGAAGCTTTGTCTCAGAGGGGCACCCAGCTGTATGAGGTGTCAGTCAGCCCCTATTTGGAGGTGTTTCCCAGTTAGGCTACATGGGGGTCATGGACCCACTTGAGTAGGCAGTCTGTCCATTCTCAGATCTCAAACTCCATGCTGGGAGAACTACTACTTTCTTCAGAGCTGTCAGACAGGGACATTTAAGTCTGCAGAAGTTTCTGCTACCTTTTGTTCAGCTATACCCTGCCCCTGAGGTGGAGTCTGCAGAGGCAGGCAGGCCTCCTTGAGCTGCAGTGGGCTCCACCCAGTTCAAGCTTCCTGGCCTCTTTGTTTACCTACTTAAGCCTCAGCAATGGTGGACTCCCCTCCACCAGCCTTGCTGCACCTTGCAGTTCGATCTCAGACTGCTGTGCTAGCAGTGAGTGAGACTCCATGGGTGTGGGTCACTCTGAACCATGCTCAGGATATAATCTCCTGGTGTGCCATTTGCTAAGACTATTGGAAAAGCACAGTATTAAGGTGGGAGTTTCCCGATTTTCCAGGTACCATCTGTCACGGCTACCCTTGGCTAGGAAAGGGAATTCCCTGACCCCTTGCACTTCTTGGTGAGGCAATTCCCCGTGCTGCTCCATGGGCTGCACCCACTGTCTGACAAGCCCCAGTGAGATGAACCCACTACCTCAGTTCGAAATGCACAAATCACCTGTCTTCCACATCACTCATGCTGGGAGCTGTAGACTGGAGCTGTTCCTATTCAGCCATCTTGGAACCTCCCCCCCTCAACACTCTTAAATGAAATGAATTTCAACCAAGAATTTCATATCCAGCCAAACTAAACTTCATAAATGAAGAAGAAATAAGATGTTTTTAAGATAAACAAATTTTGAGGGAATTTATTACCACCAGACTTGCCTTACAGGAGGTCCGGAAGGGAGTGTTAAATACCGAAAAGAAAGACTGTTACTGGCCACTACAAAATCACACTGAAATATATAGACCAGTGAAACTATAAAGCAACCACACAAACAGGTCTGCATAATCACCAGCTAACAGCATGATGACAAGGTCAAATTTGCAAATATCAATGCTAACCTTGAATGCAAACAGGGAAAACACCCCACTTAAAAGGCAAAGAGTGATAAGTTGAAAAAAGAAGCAAGACCCAATGGTATGCTGTCTCACATGCATTGACACCCATAGGCTCAAAGTAAACGGATGGAAAAAAAAATCTACCAAGCAAACAGAACACAGAAAGCAGTAGGGCTTGCTATTTTAATTTTAGACAAAACAAAGTTTAAACCAAGAAAGATCAAAAAAGACAAAGAAAGGCATTACATAATGGTAAAGGGCTCATTTCAACAAGAAGAATGAGCTAGCCTAAATATATATGCATCCAATACAGGACCACCTATATTAATAAGTAAGTTCCTAGAGACCTAGGAAGAGATTCAGATAACCACATGATAATAGTGTTGGACTTCACCTCTCCACTGACAGTATTAGAAACATAATCAGAGTCAAAAACTCACAAAAATAAAGCATACCAGAATCTCTGGGACACAGCTACGGCAGTGTTAAGAGGACAGTTTATAGCACTAAACACCCAAATCGAAAAGTTAGTAATATGTCAAATTAAAAACCTAACATAACACCTAGTGGAGGTAGAGAAACTAAAGGAAATCAATCCCAAAGATAGAATACAATAAATAAAAATCAGAGCTGAACTGAAGGAAATTGAGATGTAAAAAAAAAAAATACAAAAGATAAACAAATTCAGGAGTTGGTTTTTTGAAATAATAAGATAGGTAGATCAGTAGCTAGACTAATAAAGAAAAAATTAGAGAAGATCCAAATAATAAGATAGATAGACCACTAGCTAGACTAATAAAGAAAAAAAGAAAATATCTAAATAAACATAATTAAAAATGAAAGAGAAGATGTTACCACTAACCCCACATAAGTACAAAAAAAAAAACCCTCAGAGACCACTACATAAACCTCTATGTACACAAGCTAGAAAATCTAGAAGAAATGAATAAATTCCTGGGAACATACAACTTTCCAAGCTTGAACCAAGAAGAAATTGAATCCCTGAAAAGAACAATAATGAGTTCCGAAATTGAATCAGTATAAAGTAGCTTACCAACCAGAAAAAGCCCAATGCTAGAGAGATTCACAGCTGAATTCTACCAGATTTATAAAGAAGAGCTTGTAGAATTTCTATCAAAACTATTCAAAATAATGGAAGAGGAGGGATTCATTCCTAACTCATTCTGTGAGGCCAGCATCATCCTGATACTAAAACCTAGCAGACACAGACACACACACACACACACACACACACACACACACACACACACACACACACAGAGAGAAAAATTCTGGCCAATATCTCTGATGAATGTATGTGCAAAAATCCTCAACAAAGTAATAGCAGGCTGAATCCATCAACGCATCTAAAAGGTAATCCATCATAATCAACTAGGCTATCCCTGTGATCCAAGACTGATTCAACATATGCAAATCAATAAATATGATTTGTCACATAAAGAGAATTAAAAACAAAAAACAAATGATTATCTCAACAGATGCAAAATAATCTCCTGATAAAACTTAATATCACTTCATGTTGAAAACCCCTCAACAAACTAGGCATTGAAGGAGGAATATACTTCAACATAACAAGAGCCATCTATAGTAAACCCACAGCCAATACGATACTGAATGAGAAAAATCTTGAAACATTCTGCTTGAAACCCAGAACAACACAAATATGCCCACTCTCACCAATACTATTCAATATAGTACTGAAAGTCCTAGCCAGTACAATCAGACAAGAGAAAGAAGTAAAAAGCATCCGAATAGAAAGAGAGGAAGTCAGACAGTCCCAGTTTGCATATAATATGATTTTATACCTAGAAATCTCTGCCCAAGAGATCCTTGGTATGATAACCAATTTCAGCAAAGTTTCAGAATATAAAATCAGTATACAAAAATCATTAGCATTTCTATACACCAACAATATTCAAGTTGAGTCAAATTAAGAATGCAATGTCTAAGTCTTTAATCCATCTTGAATTGATTTTTGTATAAGGTGTAAGGAAGGGATCCAGTTTCAGCTTTCTACATATGGCTAGCCAGTTTTCCCAGCACCATTTATTAAATAGGGAATCCTTTCCCCATTACTTGTTTTTCTCAGGTTTGTCAAAGATCAGATAGTTGTAGATATGCGGCGTTATTTCTGAGGGCTCTGTTCTGTTCCATTGATCTACATCTGGATCAATGCTGGTACCAGTACCATGCTGTTTTGGTTACTGTAGCCTTGTAGTATAGTTTGAAGTCAGGTAGTGTGATGCCTCCAGCTTTGTTCTTTTGGCTTAGGATTGACTTGATGATGTGGGCTCTTTTTTGGTTCCATATGAACTTTAAAGTAGTTTTTTCCAATTCTGTGAAGAAAGGCATTGGTAGCTTGATGGGGATGGCATTGAATCTGTAAATTACCTTGGGCAGTATGGCCATTTTCACGATATTGATTCTTCCTACTCATGAGCATGGAATGTTCTTCCATTTGTTTGTATCCTCTTTTATGTCATTGAGCAGTGGTTTGTAGTTCTCCTTGAAGAGGTCCTTCACATCCCTTGTAAGTTGGATTCCTAGGTATTTTATTCTCTTTGAAGCAATTGTGAATGGGAGTTCACTCATGATTTGGCTCTCTGTTTGTCTGTTGTTGGTGTATAAGAATGCTTGTGATTTTTGTACATTGATTTTGTATCCTGAGACTTTGCTGAAGTTGCCTATCAGCTTAAGGAGATTTTGGGCTGAGACAATGGGGTTTTCTAGATATACAATCATGTCGTCTGCAAACAGGGACAATTTGACTTCCTCTTTTCCTAATTGAATGCCCTTTATTTCCTTCTCCTGCCTAATTGCCCTGGCCAGAACTTCCAACACTATGTTGAATAAGAGTGGTGAGAGAGGGCATCCCTGTCTTGTGCCAGTTTTCAAAGGGAATGCTTCCAGTTTTTGCCCATTCAGTATGATATTGGTTGTGGGTTTGTCATAGATAGCTCTTATTATTTTGAAATACGTCCCATCAATACCTAGTTTATTGAGAGTTTTTAGCATGAAGAGTTGTTGAATTTTGTGAAAGGCCTTTTCTGCATCTATTGAGATAATCATGTGGTTTTTGTCTTTGGCTCTGTTTATATGCTGGATTACATTTATTGATTTGTGTATATTGAACCAGCCTTGCATCCCAGGGATGTAGCCCACTTGATCATGGTGGATAAGCTTTTTGATGTGCTGCTGGATTCAGTTTGCCAGTATTTTATTGAGGATTTTTGCATCAATGTTCATCAAGGATATTGGTCTAACATTCTCTTTTTTGGTTGTATCTTTGCCAGGCTTTGGTATCAGAATGATGCTGGCCTCATAAAATGAGTTAGGGAGGATTCCCTCTTTTTCTATTGATTGGAATAGTTTCAGAAGGAATGGTACCAGCTCCTCCTTGTATCTCTTGTAGAATTCGGCTGTTAATCCATCAGGTCCTGGACTCTTTTTGTTGGTAAGCTATTGATTATTGCCACAATTTCAGATCCTGTTATTGGTCTATTCAGAGATTCAAATTCTTCCTGGTTTAGTCTTGGGAGAGTGTATGTGTCGAGGAATTTATCCATTTCTTCTAGATTTTCTATTTTATTTGCGTAGTGGTGTTTGTATTATTCTCTGATGGTAGTTTGTATTTCTGTGGGATCGGTGGTGATATCCCCTTTATCATTTTTTATTGCATCTATTTGATTCTTCTCTCTTTTTTTCTTTATTAGTCTTGCTAGTGGTCTATCTATTTTGTTGATCCTTTCCAAAAACCAGCTCCTGGATTCATTAATTTTTTGAAGGTTTTTTTGTGTCTCTATTTCCTTCAGTTCTGCTCTGATTTTAGTTATTTCTTGCCTTCTGCTAGCTTTTGAATGTGTTTGCTCTTGCTTTTCTAGTTCTTTTAATTGTGATGTTAGGGTGTCAATTTTGGATCTTTCCTGCTTTCTCTTGTGGGCATTTAGTGCTATAAATTTCTCTCTACACACTGCTTTGAATGTGTCCCAGGGATTCTGGTATGTTGTGTCTTTGTTCTCGTTGGTTTCAAAGAACACCTTTATTTCTGCCTTCATTTCGTTATGTACCCAGTAGTCATTCAGGAGCAGGTTGTTCAGTTTCCATGTAGTTGAGCGGTTTTGAGTGAGTTTCTTAATCCTGAGTTCTAGTTTGATTGCACTTAGACCTAAAACCATAAAAACCCTAGAAGAAAACCTAGGCAATACCATTCAGGACATAGACATGGGCAAGGTCTTCATGTCTAAAACACCAAAAGCAATAGCAACAAAAGACAAAATTGACTAATGGGATCTAATTAAACTAAAGAGCTTCTGTACAGCAAAAGAAACTACCATCAGAGTGAACAGGCAACCTACAAAATGGGAGAAAATTTTTGCAACCTACTCATCTGACAAAGGGCTAATATCCAGAATCTACAATGAACTCAAACAAATTTAGAAGAAAAAAACAAACAACCCCATCAAAAATTGGGCAAAGGACATGAACAGACACTTCTCAAAAGAAGACATTTATGCAGCCAAAAAGCACATGAAAAAATGCTCATCATCACTGGCTATCAGAGATATGAAAATCAAAACCACAATGAGATACCATCTCACACCAGTTAGAATGGCAATCATTAAAAAGTCAGGAAACTACAGGTGCTGGAGAGGATGTGGAGAAATAGGAACACTTTTACACTGTTGGTGGGACTGTAAACTAGTTCAACCATTGTGGAAGTCAGTGTGGCCATTCCTCAGGGATCTAGAACTAGAAATACCATTTGACCCAGCCATCTCATTACTGGGTATATACCCAAAGGGCTATAAATCTTGCTGCTATAAAGACACATGCACACGTATGTTTATTGTGGCACTATTCACAATAGCAAAGACTTGGAACCAACCCAAATGTCCATCAATGATAGACTGGATTAAGAAACTGTGGCACATATACAATATGGAACACTATGCAGCCATAAAAAATGATGAGTTCATGTCCTTTGTAGGGACATGGATGAAATTGGAAATCATCATTCTCAGTAAACTATCGCAAGAACAAAAAACCAAACACCACATATTCTCACTCATGGGTGGGAATTGAACAATGAGATCACATGGACACAGGAAGGGGAACATCACACTCTGGGGACTGTTGTGGGGTGGGGGGAGGGGGAGGGATAGCATTGGGAGATATACCTAATGCTAGATGGTGAGTTAGTGGGTGCAGCGCACCAGTGTGGCACATGTATGCATATGTAACTAACCTGCCCAATGTGCACATATACCCTAAAACTTAAAGTATAATAATAAGAGAAAAAAAAAAGAATGCAATGTCATTCACAAAAGCCAGAAAAAGAATAAAATACCTAGGAATACATCTGACCAGGGAGGTGAAAGATCTCTACAATGAGAATTATAAAACATTGCTCAAAGAAATCAGAGATGACACAAAGAAATGGAAAAACATTCCATGTTCATGGATTGCAAGAATCAGTATTTTTAAAATGGCCTCACTGCCCAAAGCAATTTACAGATGCAATGCTATTCTCATCAAGCTATCAAAGACATTCTTCACAAAACTAGAAAATTGTATTTTAAAATTCATAGGAAACCAAAAAAAGTGCTCAAAAGTCCAATGTAATGGTAAGCAAAAAATCCAATGCCAGCCACATCACTTTACCTGACTTCAAACTATACTACAATGCTTTGATAACCAAAACAGTATGGTACTGGTGAAAAACAGACACATAGAGCAAAGGAATAGAATAGAGGAAAGGCCCAGAAATAATGGCACACACCTAAAATAATGTAATCTTTGACAAAAAAAAATAAGCAATGGGGAAAGAACTCCCTGTTCAATAAATGTTGCTGGGATAACTCGCTAGACATATGAAGAATACAGAAACTGGACCCCTTATTTATACCATATACAAAAAATAACTCAAAGTGACTTTGGTGTAAAACCTAAAACTATAAAAATCCTGAAGGATAATCTAAGAAATACCATTTGGGATATAGGACCTAGCAAAGATTTCATGATAAAGATGCCAGAAGCAACTGCAACAAACCAGAATTTGACAAATGGGACGTAATTTACTGAAAGAGCTTCTGCAGAGCAATAGAAGCTATCAACAGAGTAAGCAGATAACATAGAGAACAGGAGAAAATATTTGCAAACTATGCATCCAACAAAGGTCTAATATCCACAATCTATAAAGAACGAAAACAAATTAACAAGTAGACACCAAACAATCCCTTTAAAAAGTGGGCCAAGGACATGAACAAACACTTCTCAAAAGAAGACATACATGCGGCCAATAAACATGAAAAAATGCTCAACATCACTAACCATTAGATAAATGCAATTCAAAACCACAATGAGATATCATCTCACATCAGTCAGAATGGCTGTTATTGCAAAGTCAAAAATAACAGTTGTTTGCAAGGTTGTGGAGAAAAAGGAATGCTTATAGACTGCTGGTGGGAATGGAAATTTGTTCAGCCATTGTGGAAAGCAGTTTGGTGATTTCTCAAAGTACTCACAGAAGAATTACCATTCGACCTATTATTGGGTATATACCAAAAGGAATATAAATTGTTCTACCATAAAGACACATGCATGCATATTTTCATTGAAACACTATTCACAAAAGCAAAGACATGAAATCAACCTAAATGCTCATCAATGCTAAACTGGATTTTAAAAATGTGGTACAAATATATCATGGAATACTACACAGTCATATGCAAGAATTAGATCATGTTCTTTGTAGCAAGAAAGATGGAGCTGTAGGCCATTATCCTAAGCGAACTGACATATTACACAGGAACAGAAAATAAAATACTTTATGTTCTCACTTATAAGTGGTAGATAAACATTGAGTACATATGGACACAAAGAAAGGAACAGACACTGGGCCTACCTGAGCATGGAGGGGGGATGAAGGTGAAAACCGAAAAACTAGCTATGGACTATTATGCTTATTACCTAGGTAATAAAATAATATGTACATCAAACAAAGCCCTGTGATATGCGATTTACCTATATAACAAACTTGCCCATGTTCCCCTAAATCTAAAATAAAAGTTAAAAAAAAGTAAGTAAAAATAAGGACAGAGTAGCAACATTAATTTCAGAATAAGCAGATTCAGAACAAGGAAAATTAACAAGGATAAAGAGAGGCATTAATAATATAACATTACAAGGGTTCACTTCTTCATAAAGACATAAAAATCCTTACGTATATGCATAAAAACAAAGAACGTGAGGCAAACACTTATAGCACTGCAAGGAAAAATTGAGAAGCCCACTGTTATATTGGCAGATTTCAACCCCTGTGTATTAGTTCTTGACAGATCTATAAGGCAGAAAATCAGCAAGAAGATCAGTGAGCTGAATAGCTCCATCAATCAATTGGATCCAATTGACATCTATAGAATACTTCGTTCAACAACAGTAAAATATACTTTCTTTTTTTTTAATGATACTTTAAGTACTGGGATACATGTGCAGAATGTGCAGGTTTGTTACCTAGGTATACAAGTGCCATGGTGGTTTGCTGCACCCATCAGCCCATCTATTCTAATGCTATCCTCCCCCCGCTCTCCACCCTTCTGACAAGTCCTGGTGTGTGATGTTCCCCTTTCTGTGTCCATGTGTTCTCATTGTTCAACTCCCACTTATGAGTGAGAACATGAGGCGTTTGGTTTTCTGTTCCTCTGTTAGTTTGCTGAGAATGATGGTTTCCAGCTTCATTCACGTCCCTGCAAAGGACATGAAATCATTCTTTTTTATGGATGCATAGTATTCCATGGTGTATATGTGCCACATTTTCTTTTTCCAGTCTATCATTGATGGGCATTTGGGTTTGTTCCAAGTCTTAGCCATTGTAAATAGTGCTGCAATAAATACATGTGCTTGTGTCTTTATAGTAGATTAATTTATCATCCTTTGGATATATGCCCAGTAATGGGATTGCTGGGTCAAAAGGTATTTCTGATTCTATATCCTTGAGGAATCTCCACACTGTCTTCCACAATGGTTGAACTAATTTCTATTCCCAGCAACAGTGTGAAAGCATTACTATTTCTCCACATCCTCTCCAGCATCTGTTGTTTCCTGAATTTTTAATGATCACCATTCTAACTGGTGTGAGATAATATCTCATTGTGGTTTTGATTTACATTTTTCTAATGACAGTGATGATGAGCTTTTTTTCATATGTTTGTTGGCCATACAAATGTCTTATTTTTAGAAGTGCCTGTTCATATTCTTCACCCACTTTTTGAAGGGGTTTTCTTAATTGTAAATTTGTTGAAGTTCCTTGTAGATTCTGGATATTAGCCCTTTGTCAATTGCAAAAATTTTCTCCCACTGTGTACGTTGCCTGTTCAGTCTAATAAAAGTTTCTTTCACTGTGCAGAAGCTCTATAGTTTAATTAGATCTCATATTGTCTATTTTGGCTTTTGTTGCAATTGCTTTTGGTGTTTTAGTCATTAAGTCTTTGCCCATGCCTATGTTCTAAACGGACTACCTAAGTTTTCTTCTAGACTTTTTATGGTTTTAGGCCTTACATTTAAGTGTTTAATCCATCTTGAGTTAATTTTTGTAAAAGGTGTAAGGAAGGGGTCCAGTTTCAGTTTTCTGCATATGGCTAGCCAGTTTTCCCAACACCATTTATTAACTAGGGAATCATTTCCCCATTGCTTTTTTTGTATAGTTTGCCAAAGATCAGATGGTTATAGATTTGTGGCATTATTTCTGAGGCCTCTGTTTTGTTCTATTGGTCTATATATCTGTTTTGGTACTATTACCATGCTGTTTTGGTTACTGTAGCCTTGTAGCGTAGTTTGAAGTCAAGTAACCTGATGCCTCCAGCTTTGTTCTTTATGCTTAGGATTGTCTTGGCTATATGGGCTCTTATTGGTTGTGTATGAAATTTAAAGTAGTTTTTTCTAATTCTGTGAAGAAAGTCAATGGCAGCTTGATGGAAGTAGCATTGAATCAATAAAGTACTTTGGGCAGTATGGCCATATTCACTATATTGATTCTTCATATCCATGAACATGAAATATTTTTTCATTTGCTTGTGTCCTCTCATTTCCTTGAGCAGTGGTTTGTAGTTCTCTTTGAAGAAGTTCTTCACATCCCTTGTAAGTTGTATTCCTAGGTATTTTATGCTCTTTGTAGCAATTGTGAATGGGAGTTCACTCATGATTTGGCTCTCTGTTTGTCTGTTATTGGTGTACAAGGATCCTTGCGATTTTTGCACATTGATTTTGTATCCTGAGACTTTGCTGAAGTTGCTTATCAGCTTAAGGAGTTTTTGGGCTGAGGTAATGACGTCTTCTAAATATACAATTATGCTATCTGAAAACAGAGACAATTTGACTTTCTCTCTTCCTATTTGAATAAATTTTATTTATTTCTCTTGCCTGATTGCCTTGGCCAGAACTTCCAATACTATGTTGAATAGGAGTGGTGAGAGAGGGTATCTTTGTGTTGTGCCAGTTTTCACAGGCAATGCTTCCAGTTTTGCCCATTCAGTATGATATTGGCTGTGTGTTTGTCATAAATAGTTCTTATTACTTTGAGATATGTTTCATCAGAACCTAGTTTATTGAGAGTTTTTAGTATGAAGGGGTGTTGAATTTTATTGAAGGTTTCTTCTACATATATTGAGATAATCACGTGTTTTTTCCATTGGTTCTGTTTATGTGATGGATGACGTTTATTGATTTGTGTATGTTGAATCAGCCTTGCATCCAAGGCATGAAGCCGACTTGATAGTGGTGGATAAGTTTTTTGATGTGCTGCTGGATTTGGTTTGCCAGTATTTTATTGAAGATTTTCTCATTGATGTTCATCAGGGATATTGGCCTAAAATTTTCTTTTTTTATTGTGTCTCTGCCAGGTTTTGGTATCAGGATGATGCTGGCCTCATAAAATGAGTTAGAGAGGAGTCCTTCTTTTTCCATTTTTTGGAATAGGTTTTACAGAAAAAAACATATGATTTATCTCAATAGATGCAGAAAAGGCATTTGACAAAATTCAACAACTCTTCATGCTAAAAACTCTCAATAAATTAGGTATTGATGGGACATATCTCAAAATAATAAGAGCTATCTATGACAATCCCACAGCCAATATCATACTGAATGTTCAAAAACTGGAAGGATTCTCTTTGAAAACTGGCACAAGACAGGGATGGCCTCTCTCACCACTCCTATTCAACATAGTGTTGGAAGTTCTGGCCAGGGCAATCAGGCAGGAGAAGGAAATAAAGGGTATTCAATTAGGAAAAGAAGAAGTCAAATTGTCCCTGTTTGCAGATGACATGATTGCATATCTAAAAAACCCTATCATCTCAGCCCAAAATCTCCTTAAGCTGATAGGCAACATCAGCAAAGTCTCAGGATACAAAATCAATGTACAAAAATCACAAGGATTCTTATACACCAATAACAGGCAAACAGAGAGCCAAATCATGAGTGAACTCCCATTCACAATTGCTTCAAAGAATAAAATACCTAGGAATCTAACTTACAAGGGATGTGAAGGACCTCTTCATGGAGAACTACAAACCACTGCTCAATGAAATAAAAGAGGATACAAAGAAATGGAAGAACATTCCATGCTCATGGGTAGGAAGAATCAATATTGTGAAAATGGCCATACTGCCCAAGGTAATTTACAGATTCAATGCCATCCCTATCAAGCTACCAATGACTTTCTTCACACAGTTGGAAAAAACTACTTTAAAGTTCATATGGAACCAACAAAGAGCCTGCATCGCCAAGTCAATCCTAAGCCAAAAGAAGAACGCTGGAGGCATCATGCTACCTGACTTCAAGCTATACTACAAGGCTACAGTAATCAAAACAGCATGGTACTGGTACCAAAACAGAGATATAGACCACTGGAACAGAACAGAGCCCTCAGGAATAACACCGCATATCTACAAACATCTGATCTTTGACAAACCTGACAAAAACAAGAAATGGGGAAATGATTTCCTATTTAATAAATGGTGCTGGGAAAACTGGCTAGCCAGATGTAGAAAGCTCAAACTGGATCTCTTCGTTACACCTTATACAAAAATTAATTCAACACGGATTAAAGACTTAAATGTTAGACGTGTAACCATAAAAACCCTAGAAGAAAACCTAGGCAATACCATTCAGGACATAGGCATGGACAAGGACTTCATGTCTAAAACACCAAAAGCAATGGCAACAAAAGACAAAATTGACAAATGGGATCTAATTAAACTAAAGAGCTTCTACACAGCAAAAGAAACTACCATCAGAGTGAACAGGCAACCTACAGAATGGGAGAAAATTTTTGCAATCTACTCATCTGACCAAGGGCTAATATCCACAATCTGCAATGAACTCCAACAAATTTACAAGAAAAAAACAAACAACCCCATCAACAAGTGGGTGAAGGATATGAGCAGACACTTCTTAAAAGAAGATATTTATGCAGCCAAAAGACACATGAAAAATGTTGATCGTCACTGGCCATCAGAGAAATGCATATCAAAACCACAATGAGATACCATCTCACACCAGTTAGAATGATGATCATTAAAAAGTCAGGAAACTACAGGTGCTGGAGAGGATGTGGAGAAATAGGAACACTTTTACACTGTTGGTGGGACTGTAAACTAGTTCAACCATTGTGGAAGTCAGTGTGGCGATTCCTCAGGGATCTAGAACTAGAAATACCATTTCACCCAGCCATCCCATTACTGGATATATACCCAAAGGGCTATAAATCTTGCTGCTATAAAGGCACATGCACACATATGTTTATTGTGGCATTATTCACAATAGCAAAGACTTGGAACCAAGCCAGATGTCCAACAATGATAGACTGGATTAAGAAAATGTGGCACATATACACCATGGAATGTTATGCAGCCATAAAAAATGAAGAGTTCATGTCCTTTGTAGGGACATGGATGAAGCTGGAAACCTTCATTCTCAGCAAGCTATCGCAGGGATGAAAAACCAAACACTGCATGTTCTCACTCATAGGTGGGAATTGAACAATGAGAACACATGGACACAGGAAGGGGAACATCACACACTGGGGCCTGTTGTGGGGTGGGGGGAGGGGGGAGGGATAGCATTAGGAGATATACCTAATGTTAAATGACGAGTTAATGGGTTCAGCACACCAACATGGCACATGTATGCATATGTAACTAACCTGCACATTGTGCACGTGTACCCTAAAACTTAAAGTATAATAAAAAAATAGAAAAGGAAATGGTACCAGCTCCTCTTTGTACCTCTGGTAGAATTCGGCTGTGAATCCGTCTGCTCCTGGGCTTTTTCTGGTTGGTAGGTTGTTAATTACTGCCTCAATTTCAGAACTTTTTATTGGTCTATTCAGGAATTCGACTTTTTCCTAGTTTAGTCTTGGGAGGGTGTATGTTTTCAGGAATATATCCAATTCTTCTAGATTTTCTAGTTTATTTGCCTAGGGGTGTTTATAGTATTCTCTGATGGTAGTTTTTATTTCTGTGAAATCAGTGGTGATCCCCCCGTTATCAATTTTTATTTTGTCTATTTGATTCTTCTCTCTCTTCTTCTTTATTAGCCTGGCTAGGGGTATATCTACTTTGTTAATCTTTCATAAAAACAGCTCCTGGATTCATTTAGTTTTTGAAGTTATTTTGGTGTCTCTATCTCCTTCATTTCTGCTCTGATCTTAGTTATTTCTTGTCTTCTGCTAGATTTTGAATTTGGTTGCTTTTGCTTCTCTAGTTCTTTTATTTGTGATGTTAGGGTGTTGATTTTAGATCTTTCATGCTTTCTCATGTGAGCATTTAGTGCTATAAATTTCCCTCTAAACAGTGCTATAGATATGTTCCAGAGATTCTGGTATGTTGTGTCTTTGTTGTCATTGATTTCAAGAAACTTAATTTCTGCAGTAATTTCTTTATTTACCCAGTAGTCATTCAAGAGCAGATTGTTCAGTTTCCACGTAATTTTATGGTTTTGAGTGGGTTTCTTAATCCTGGGTTCTAATTTGATTGCACTGTGGTCTGAGAGACTGTTTGTTATGATTTCTATTCTTTTGCATTTGCTGAGGAGTGTTTTACTTCCAATTATGTGGTCAATTTTAAAATAAGTGCAATGTGGTGTTGAGAACAATGTATATTACATTGATTTGGGGTGGAGTGTTCTGTAGATGTCTATTAGGACTGTTTGGTCCAGAGCTGAGTTGAAGTCCTTAATATCCTTGCTAATTTTCTGTCTTGTTGATCTGTCTAATATTAACAGTGGGGTGTTAAAATCTCCCAGTATTATTATGTGGGAGTCTAAGTCTCTTTCTAGGTCTCTAAGGACTTGCTTTATGAATCTGGGTGCTCCTGTATTGGGTGCATATATATTTAAGATAGTTAGCTCTTCTTATTGTGCTGATTGCTTTACCATTATGTAATGCTCTTCTTTGTCTTTGTTATCTTTGTTGGTTTGAAGTCTGTTTTATCAGAGACTAGGATTGCAGTCCTTGCTTTTTTTTTTTCGCTTTCCATTTTCTTGGTAAATATTCCTCCATTTCTTTGGTTTTAGCCTATGTGTGTCTGCACGTGAGATGGGTCTCCTCAACAAAGCACACCAATGGGTCTTGACTCTTAATCCAATTTGCCAGTATGTGTCTTCTAACTGGGGCATTTAGCACGTTTACATTTAAGTTTAATATTGTTATATGTGAATTTGATCCTGTCATTATGATACTAGCTGGTTATTTTGCTCATTAGTTGATGCAGTTTCTTTATAGTGTCGAGGATCTTTACAATTTGGTGTGTTTTTTCAGTGGCTGGTACCAGTTTTTCCTATTCAAATTTAAAGCTTTCTTCTGGACCTCTTGTAAGGTGGGCCTGGTGGTGACAAAAATCTCTCAGCATTTGCTTCTCTGTAAAGGATTTTATTTCTCCTTCGCTTATGAAGCTTAGTTTGCCAGGATATGATACTCTGGGTTGAAAATTCTTTTAAGAATGTTGAATATTGGCCATTACTCTTTTCTGGCTTTTAGGGTTTCTGCAGAGAAATCCACTGTTAATCTGATGGACTTCCCTTTGTGGGTAACCTGACCTTTTTCCCTGGCTGCCCTTAACATTTTTTCCTTCATTTCAACCTTGGTGAATCTGAAAATTATATGTCTTGGGGTTGTTCTTGTCAAGGAGTATCTTTGGGGTGTTCTCTGTATTTTTTGAATTCGAATGTTGGTCTGTCTTGCTAGGTTGGGGAAGTTCTCCTGGATTTTATCCTGAAGAGTATTTTCCAACTTGGTTCCATCCTCCCTGCCACTTTCAGGTACACCAATCAAATGTAGATTTGGTCTTTTCACATAGTCTCATATTTCCTGGAGGCTTGGTTCATTCCTTTTCATTCTTTTTTTCTCTAATTTTGCCTTCACAGTTTATTTCATTAAGTTGATCTTCCATCTCTGATATCTTTTTGTCTGCTTGATCAATTCGGTTACGGATATTTGTGTATGCTTCACGAAGTTCTAGTGCTGTGTCTTTCAGCTTCATCAGGTCATTTATGTTCAATAAACTGTTGTTCCAGTTAGCAATTCCTTTAACCTTTTTTCAAGGTTTTTAGCTTCCTTGCATTTTTTTAGAACATGCTCCTTTAGCTCAGAGGAGTTTCTCATTACCTTCCTTCTGAAGCCTACTTCTGTCAATTCATCAAACTCATTCTCTGTTCAGTTTTATGTCCTTGCTAGAGAGGAGTTGTGATCTTTTGGAGGAGAAGAGGCATTCTGATTTTTGGGATTTTCAGTCTTTTGCACTGGTTTTTCATCATCTTTGTGGATTTATCTACCTTTGGTCTTTGATGTTGGTGACCTTCGAATGGGGTTTCTGTATGAACGTCCTTTTTGTTGATGTTGATGCTATTCTTTTCTGTTTGTTAGTTTTCCTTCTAACAGTCAGGCCTCTCTGCTCTAGGTCTGCTGGAGTTTGCTGGAGGTGTACTCCAGACCCTGTTTACTTTGGTATCACCAGCAGATGCTGCAGAACAGCAAAGATTCCTGCCTGTTTCTTCCTCTGGAAACTTTGTCCCAGAGGGGCACCCACCAGTTGCCAGCTAGAGCTCTCCTGTATGAAGTGTCTGTCAACCCCTGCTGGGAGGTGTCTCCCAGTCAGGAGGCACAAGGGTCAGGGACCCACTTGAGGAGGCAGTCTGTCCCTTAGCAGAGCTCAAATGCTGTGCTGGGAGATCTGCTGCTCTCCTCAGAGCCAGCTGGCAGGAATATTTAAGTCTCCTGAAGCTGCACCCATAGCCGACCCTTCACACAGGTGATCTGTCCCAGCGAGATGGGAGTTTCATTTATAAGCCCCTGACAGGGGCTGCTGCCTTTCTTTCAGAGATGCCCTGCCCAGAGAGGAGGAATCTGGAGAGGTAGTCTGGCTACAGTGGCTTTGTGGAGCTGCAGTGGGCTCTGCCCAGTTCAAAACTCCTGGTGGCTTTGTGTACACTGTGAGGGGAAAACAGCCTACTCAAGCCTCAGTAATGGCAGATGCCCCTCCCCACACCAACCTTGAGTGTCCCAAGTTGACTTCAGACTGTTGTGCTGGCAGCAAGAATTTCAAGCCAGTGGATCTTAGCTTGGTGGGCTTTGTGGGGGTGGGATCCGCTGAGCTAGACCACTTGGCTCCCTGGCTTCAGCTCCCTTTCCAGGGGAGTGAACAGTTCTGTTTCACTGGCATTCAAGGGGCCATTGGGTTATGAAACAAACTCCTGCAGCTAGCTCAGTGTCTTCCCAAAAGGCCACCCAGTTTTATGCTTGAAACCCAGGACCCTGGTGGCATAGGCACCTGAGGTAATCTCCTGGTCTACAGGTTGTGAAAACCATGGGAAATGCATAGTATCTGGGCCAGAATGTGCTGTTCCTCCTGGCACAGTCTCTCACAGCTTCCCTTGGCAAGGGGAGAGAGTTCCACAACCCCTTGCACTTCCTGGGTAAGGCAACACCCAACCCTGCTTCAGCTTGCCATCCATGGGCTGCACCCACTGTCTAACCAGTCCCAATGAGATGAGCCAGATACCTCAGTTGGAAGTGCAGAAATCACCTGCCTTCTGAGTTGATCTCATTGGGTGCTGCAGACCAAAGCTGTTCCTATTCGGTCATCTTGCCAGCCACCTTGAATATACTTTCTTCTCTAGCTCACATTTGGTCACACTTCAGGCATAAAAGGCACCATAACAAACTTAAAAAATATATAAATTATACAATGTCTTCTCTTAGATAATAATAGAATCAAACTAGAAATAAATAACAGAATGATAGAAAACTTCAAAATACTTAGAGATTAAACAACTCACTTCTACTTGTTATTATACTTTAAGTTCTGAGATACATGTGCAGAACATGCAGGTTTGTTACATAGGTATACACATGCCATGGTGGTTTGTTGCACCCATCAACCCATCATCTACGTTAGGTTTTTCTCCTAATGTTATCCCTCCTCTAGACCCCCACCCCCCAACATGCCCCAGTGTGTGATGTTCCCCTCCTTGCGTCCATGTGTTCTCATTGTTCAACTCCCACTTATGAGTGAGAACATGTGTTTGATTTTCTGATCCTGTGTTAATGTGCTGAGAATGATGGTTTCTGGGTTCATCCATGTCCCTGCAAGGGACATGAACTCATCCTTTTTTATGGCTGCATAGTATTCCATGGTGAATATGTGCCACATTTTCTTTATCCAGTCTATCATTGATGGGCTTTGGGGTTGGTTCCAACTCTTTGCTGTTGTGAATAGTCCTGCAATAAACACACGTGTGCATGTGTCTTTATAATAGAATGATTTGTAATTCTTTGTGTAAAAGTCATGAAACAACAGATGCTGGAGTGGATGTGGAGAAATAGGAATGCTTTTACACTGTTGGTGGGAGTGTAAATTAGTTCAACCACTGTGGAAGACAGTGTGGTGATTCCTCAAGGATCTAGAACAAAACACTTCTAAATAACACATAGGTTGAATAAGAGCTCTGGAGAATAAGAGCTCTGAGAAATTTAAAAATATTTTGCATCAGATTAAGATGAAAATATAGCACATCAAGTTTTGTTGCATACAGCCAAGGCAGTCATTAGAGGGAAATGTATGGCACTTAATGTGTATATTAGAAAATAATGATCTAAAATTAGTCATCTGAGCTTCCACCTTAAAAGACTATAAAATGATTAGGTTTAGTCCAAAGAACCATAAGCAATAAAATAATAAAAGAGTAGAAATCAACAGAGAATATCAATAAAGCTAAATGTTTCTTTGAAAAGATTAACAAAATTGATAAACCTCTAGTGAGGTTAGCTGAGAAAAAAGAGAGAAGGCCGGGTTCGGTGGCTCACGCCTGCAATCCCAGCACCTTGGGAGGCTGAGGTGGGTGGATCACGAGGTCAGGGGTTCGAGACCAGCCTGATCAACATGGTGAAACCCTGTCTCTACTAAAAATTTACAAATTAGCCAGGTTTGGTGGTGCACGCCTGTAATCCCAGCTACTCAGGAGGCTGAGGCAGGAGAATCTCTTGAACCCGGGAGGTGGAAGTTGCAGTGAGCCACGATTGTGCCACTGTACTCCAGCCTGGGCGACAGAGTGAGACTCCATCTCAAAAAAAAAAAAAAAAGAGAGAGAGAGAAAGAGAGAAAATATCTAAAATGAAACAGGTACCATTACTATTAATCCCATAAATATTAATAGGGTAACCAAGGAATATTATGAACAGCTCTATGACCACAAATTTGATAACCTATTTGAAATGGGACAATTCATTGAAAGACAAAAATCTACCAAAACTCACACAAGGAGAAATAGATAATCTTAATAGGCATGTGTCTATTAAATAAATTGAATTAATAATTAATAACCTTCCCAAACAGAAAGTATCAGACCCAGATAGGTTCACTGGTGAATTCTGCCAAACCCTTAAATATTTTTTTAACCAATTATCTACAAATTCTCCCAAATAAAAAATAGAAACAGAAGGAGCAATTCTTAACTCATTTTATAAGGCAACATAATATAATACAAAGAACGCAAGACCAGGGGCTAACAGTTCTGAGTTCTAGTCTTGACTTCTATTACTTACTAGTATGTGAAAATCACTAAACCTCTTTGAGATTCAGTTTATCTTTTAATCAGCGAAGTATGGTTAATAATACTGTTACGAACTGAATTATATCTCCTCAATCCCCAAATTCATATGTTGAAGCTGTAACCTCAGTGTGACTGTATTCGGAGATAGAACCTTTAGGGATATAATTAAGGTTAAATGAGGTCATAATGGTGGGGCCCTAATGCCCCCCTGGTGTCATTATAAGAAGAGGAAGAGAAACCAGAGGTTGCTCTCTTTCTCTTCGTGCGTGCACAGAGGAAAGGCCGTGTGAGAACACAGTGAGAAGGTGATATTTATAAGCCAGGAAGATAGTCCTTATGCAAAATCAACCCTGACATCTTGACCTTGGACTTCTAGACTCCAGAACCATGAGAAAACAAGTATTTGTTGTTTAAGCCATCGAGTACATGGTATTTTGCTCAATCTGAGTTGTATTACAGTCTAAAGAGCAGATCTTCTAAGCTTGGGCGGTGGCAGTGGAATATACTGACATGTGGGGTGCCCCTGGTTTGAAGATTTTATTTGTATGTTGCTCTTTAGGTCTCATTTAGGACCCGAATTAAAGACTAGAACATATTTTGTTCAACCTCCTCTCCATTTTGCCATTCTTCCCTCTTTAACTCCAAGGTATTCAAACTATATACTCTCTGCTTTTTTCCCCCCAAGAGGCATTATCCAGGCACCAAAAACAGAGATGGAAAGAGACAGGTTTAATCCAAAGCACCAGTTTCCATTACTTTAAGCTGCCTCAATGATTTTTCTGATGGAGTATAATTCCTCACACTTGGTCTGAAGCCCAAGATATATGCAATACTTCAATCAAATTGCTTGCAACATATTGGAGTGAGTGCCTGGGAACGATGAGTTCCTCAAATATATTTTTTAAGAAAGGCTGAATACTTAATATACAGGCACTGAACTAAAGGAGGAACGGTTTTCAAAGTTTCTACATTGTGGGGAGTTACCCCAATGTTGAAGTTGTTCGGTTTTGCATGGCACACAAAGGTGTAGAGTCATAGCCTATGTCAGAAATTATAGATTCGAGGAGCTTCATTTCAAGCCCTCAATATTCTTGCTCTGGCTTCCTATTGCATTCTAATCTTCTATTACATTCACTCTTTTATCACTCTTTTAGTAGAGTGTCATATACATGTATTTGAGTGATTGCATCGTATTTGATGGCCACATGCTAGGCCCCAGAGATAGACAGATGAATCTATACAGGCCTTTCTCTTTTTTCAAAATTTTGGGAATGTAAGTCTCTCTATTGCTTTCCAGGCTGTAGTTCAGCAGCTATTCACAGGCACTATCGCAGTACACTGCAACCTTGAACTTCTGGGCTCAAGAGTTCCTCCTGCCTCATCCTCCTGAGTAGCTAGGAATACAGGCATGTACCACCATGTCTGGCTCTACAGTTCCTTCTCTTTTTTTTATTTTTTAATTTTATTATTATTCTACTTTAAGTTTTACGGTACATGTGCAAAATGTGCAGGTTAGTTACATATGTATACATCTGCCATGCTGGTGTGCTGCACCCATTAACTCGTCATTTAGCATTAGGTGTATCTCCTAATGCTATCCCTCCCCCCTCCCCCGACCCCACAACAGTCCCCAGAGTGTGATGTTCCCCTTCCTGTGTCCATGTGTTCTCATTGTTCAATTCCCACCTATGAGTGAGAACATGCAGTGTTTGGTTTTTTGTCCTTGCTATAGTTTGCTGAGAATGATGATTTCCAATTTTGTCCATGTCCCTACAAAGGACATGAACTCATCACTTTTTATGGCTGCATAGTATTCCATGGTGTATATGTGCCACATTTTCTTAATCCAGTCTATCATTTTTGGACACTTGAGTTGGTTCCAAGTCTTTGCTATTGTGAATAGTGCCACACTAAACATATGTGTGCATGTGTCTTTATAGCAACATGATTTGTAATCCTTTGGGTATATACCCAGTAATGGGATGGCTGGGTCAAATGGTATTTCAAGTTCTAGATCCCTGAGGAATCGCCACACTGACTTCCAAAATGGTTGAACTAGTTTACAGTCCCACCAACAGTGTAAAAGTGTTACTATTTCCCACATCCTCTCCACATCTGTTGTTTCCTGATTTTTTAATCATCGCCATTCTAACTGGTGTGAGATGGTATCTCACTGTCGTTTTGATTTGCACTTCTCTGATGGCCAGTGATGATGAGCATTTTTTCATGTGCTTTTTGGCTGCATAAATGTCTTCTTTTAAGAAGTGTCTGCTCATTTCCTTCACCCACTTTTTGATGGGGTTGTTTATTTTTTTCTTGTAAATTTGTTTGAGTTCATTGTAGATTCTGGATATTAGCCCTTTGTCAGATGAGTAGATTGCAAAAATTTTCTCCCATTTTGTAGGTTGCTAGTTCACTCTGATGGTAGTTTCTTTTGCTGTGTAGAAGCTCTTTAGTTTAATTAGATCTCATTTGTCAATTTTGGCTTTTGTTGCCATTGCTTTTGGTGTTTTAGACATGAAGACCTTGCCCATGCCTATGTCCTGAATGGTAATGCCTAAGTTTTCTTCTAGGGTTTTTATGGTTTTAGGTCTAACGTTTAAGTCTTTAATCCAACTTGAATTGATTTTTGTATAAGGTGTAAGGAAGGGATCCAGTTTCAGCTTTCTACATCTGGCTAGCCAGTTTTCCCAGCACCATTTATTAAATAGGGAATCCTTTCCCCATTTCTTGTTTTTCTCAGGTATGTCAAAGATCAGATAGTTGTAGATATGCAGCGTTATTTCTGAGGGCTCTGTTCTGTTCCATTGATATATATCTCTGTTTTGGTACCAGTATCATGCTGTTTTGGTTACTGTAGTCTTGTAGTATAGTTTGAAGTCAGGTAGCGTGATGCCTCCAGCTTTGTTTTTTGGCTTAGGATTGACTTGGCGATGCGGGCTCTTTTTTGGTTCCATGTGAACTTTAAAGTAGTTTTTTCCAAGTCTATGAAGAAAGTCATTGGTAGCTTGATGGGGATGGTATTGAATCTATAAATAACCTTGGTCCGTATGGCCATTTTCACAATATTGATTATTCCTACCCATGAGCATGGAATGTTCTTCCATTTGTTTGTATCCTCTTTTATTTCATTGAGCAGTGGTTTGTAGTTCTCCTTGAAGAGGTCCTTCGTGTCCCTTGTAAGTTGGATTCCTAGGTATTTTATTGTGTTTGAAGCAATTGTGAATGGGAGTTTCCTCATGATTTTGATCTCTGTTTGTCTGTTGTTGGTGTATAAGAATGCTTGTGATTTTTGTACATTGATTTTGTATCCTGAGACTTTGCTGAAGTTGCCTATCATCTTAAGGAGATTTTGGGCTGAGACAATGGGGTTTTCTAGATATACAATCATGTCATCTGCAAACAAGAACAATTTGACTTCCTCTTTTCCTAATTGAATACCCTTTATTTCCTTCTCCTGCCTGATTGCCCTGGCCAGAAATTCCAACACTATGTTGAATAGGAGTGGTGAGAAAGGGCATCCCGGTCTTGTGCCAGTTTTCAAAGGGAATGCTTCCAGTTTTTGCCCTTTCAGTATGATATTGGTTGTGGGTTTGTCATAGATAGCTCTTATTATTTTGAGATACGACCCATCAATACCTAATTTATTGAGAGTTTTTAGCATGAAGAGTTGTTGAATTTTTAAAAGGCCTTTTCTGCATCTATTGAGATAATCATGTGGTTTTTGTCTTTAGTTCTCTTTATATGCTGGATTACATTTATTGATTGGTGTATGTTGAACCAGCCTTGCATCCCAGGGATGACGCCCACTTGATCATGGTGGATAAGCTTTTTGATGTGCAGCTGAATACGGTTTGCCAGTATTTTATTGAGGATTTTTGCGTCAATGTTCATCAAGGACAGTGGTCTAAAATTCTCTTTTTTGGTTGTGTCTCTGCCCAGCTTTGGTATCAGGATGATGCTGGCCTCATAAAATGAATTAGGGAGGATTCCCTCTTTTTCTGTTGATTGGAAAAATTTCAGAAGGAATGGTACCAGCTCCTCCTTGTATCTCTTGTAGAATTCGGCTGTGAATCCATCAGGTCCTGGACTCTTTTTGTTGGTAAGCTATTGATTATTGCCACAATTTCAGAGCCTGTTATTGGTCTATTCAGAGATTCAACTTCTTCCTGGTTTAATCTTGGGAGGGTGTATGTGTCAAAGAATTTATCCATTTCTTCTAGATTTTCTAGTTTATTAGCATAGAGGTGTTTGTAGTGTTCTCTGATGGTAGTTTGTATTTCTGTGGGATTGGTGGTGATATCCCTTTTATCATTTTTTATTGCGTCTATTTGATTCTTCTCTCTTTTCTTCTTTATTAGTCTTGCTAATGGTCTATCAATTTTTTTGACCCTTTCAGAAAACCAGCTCCTGGATTCATTAATTTTTTGAAGGGTTTTTTGTGTCTCTATCTCCTTCAGTTCTGCTCTGATTTTAGTTATTTCTTGCCTTCTGCTAGCTTTTGAATGTGTTTGCTCTTGCTTTTCTAGTTCTTTTAATGGTGATGTTAGCGTGTCAATTTTGGATCTTTCTTGCTTTCTCTTGTGGGCATTTAGTGGTATTAATTTCCCTCTACACACTGCTTTGAATGTGTCCCAGAGATTCTGCTATGTTGTGTCTTTGTTCTCGTTGGTTTCAAAGAACATCTTTATTTCTGCCATCATTTCAATATGTACCCAATAGTCATTCAGGAGTAGGTTGTTCAGTTTCCATGTAGTTGAGTGATTTTGAGTGAGTTTCTTAATCCTGAGTTCTAGTTTGATTGCACTGTGGTCTGACAGTTTGTTATAATTTCTGTTCTTTTACATTTGCTGAGGAGAGCTTTACTTCCAACTATGTGGTCAATTTTGGAATAGGTGTGGTGTGGTGCTGAAAAAAATGTATATTCTGTTGATTTGGGGTGGAGAGTTCTGTAGATGCCTATTAGTTCCACTTTGTGCAGAGCTGAGTTCAATTCGTGGATATCCTTGTTAACTTTCTGTCTCATTGATCTGTCTAATATTGACAGTGGGGTGTTAAAGTCTCCCTCATTATTGTGTGGGTGTCTAAGTCTCTTTGTAGGTCACTGAGGGCTTGCTTTATGAATCTGGGTGCTCCTGTATTGTGTGCATATATATTTAGGATAGTCAGCTCTTCTTGTCGAATTGATCGCTTTACCATTTTGTAATGGCCTTCTTTGTCTCTTTTGATCTTTGTTGGTTTAAAGTCTGTTTTATCAGAGACTAGGATTGCAACCCCTGTCTTTTTTGTTTTCCTTTTGCTTGGTAGATCTTCCTCCATCCTTTTATTTTGAGCCTGTGTGTGTCTCTGCACATGAGATGGGTTTCCTGAATACAGCACACTGATGGGTCTTGACTCTTTATCCAAATTGCCAGTCTGTGTCTTTTAATTGGAGCATTTAGTCCATTTACATTTAAAGTTAATACTGTTATGTGTGAATTTGATCCTGTCATTATGATGTTAGCTGGTTATTTTGCTCGTTAGTTGATGCAGTTTCTTCCTAGCCTTGATGGTCTTTACAATTTGGCATGATTTTGCAGTGGCTGGTACTGGTTTTTCCTTTCCATGTTTAGTGCTTCCTTCAGGAGGTCTTTTAGGGCAGGCCTGGTGGTGACAAAATCTCTCAGCATTTGCTTGTCTGTAAAGTATTTTATTTCTCCTTCACTTATGAAGCTTAGTTTGGCTGGATATGAAATTCTGGGTTGAAAATTCTTTTCTTTAAGAATGTTGAATATTGGCCCCCACTCTCTTCTGGCTTATAGAGTTTCTGCCGAGAGATCCGCTGTTAGTCTGATGGACTTCCCTTTGTGGGTAACTCGAGCTTTCTCTCTGGCTGCCCTTAACATTTTTTTCTCCATTTCAACTTTGGTAAATCTGACAATTTTGTGTCTTGGAGTTGCTCTTCTTGAGGGGTATCTTTGTGGTGTTCTCTGTATTTCCTGAATCTGAATGTTGGCCTGCCTTGCTAGATTGGGGAAGTTCTCCTGGATAATATCCTGCAGAGTGTTTTCCAACTTGGTTCCATTATCCCCGTCACTTTCAGGTACACCAATCAGACATAGATTTGGTCTTTTTACATAGTCCTATATATTTCTTGGAGGCTTTGTTCGTTTCTTTTTATTCCTTTTTCTCTAAAGTTCCCTTCTCACTTCATTTCATTCATTTCATCTTCCATCACTGATACCCTTTCTTCCAGTTGATCGCATCGGCTCCTGAGGCTTCTGCATTCTTCACGTAGTTCTTGAGCCTTGGCTTTCAGCTCCATTGGCTCCTTTAAGCACTTCTCTGTATTGGTTATTCTAGTTATACAGTCGTCTTAATTTTTTTCAAAGTTTTTAACTTCTTTGCCTTTGGTTTGAATTTCCTCCTGTGGCTCGGATTCGTTTGATCGTCTGAAGCCTTCTTCTCTCAACTTGTCAAAGTCATTCTCCATCCAGCTTTGTTCCATTGCTCGTGAGGAGCTGCATTCCTTTGGAGGAGGAGAGTTGCTCTGCTTTTTAGAGTTTCCAGTTTTTCTGCTCTGTTTTTTCCCCATCTTTGTGGTTTTATCTACTTTTGGTCTTTGATGATGGTGATGTATAGATGGGTTTTTGGTGTGGATGTCCTTTCTGTTTGTTAATTTTCCTTCTAACAGACAGGACCCTCAGCTGCAGGTCTGTTGGAGTTTGCTAGAGGTCCACTCCAGACCCTGTTTGCCTGGGTATCAGCAGCGGTGCCTGCAGAACAGCGAATTTTCATGAACCGCAAATGCTGCTGTCTGATCATTCCTCTGGAAATTTTGTCTCAGAGGAGTACATGGCCGTATGAGGTGTCAGTCTGCCCCTACTGGGGGGTGCCTCCCAGTTAGGCTACTCGGGTTCAGGGGTCAGGGACCCACTTGAGGAGGCTGTCTGCCCATTCTCAGATCTCCAGCTGCATGCTGGGAGAACCACTGCTCTCTTCAAAGCTGTCAGTCAGGGACATTTAAGTCTGCAGAGGTTATGGCTGTCTTTTTGTTTGTCTGTGCCCTGCCCCCAGTGGTGGAGCCTACAGAGGCAGGCAGGCAGATCTCCTTGAGCTGTGGTGGGCTCCACCCAGTTTAAGCTTCCTGGCTGCTTTGTTTACCTAAGGAAGCCTTGGCAATGGCGGGCGCCCCTCCCCCAACCTCGCTACCGCCTTGCAGTTTGATCTCAGACTGCTGTGCTAGCAATCAGCGAGACTCCATGAGTGTAGGACTCTCTGAGCCAGGTGCGCGATATAATCTCCTGGTGCATCATTTTTTAAGCCCATTGGAAAAGTGCAGTATTAGGGTGGGAGTGACCCAATTTCCCAGGTGCTGTCTGTCACCCCTTTCTTTGAATAGGAAAGGGAACTCCCTGACCCCTTGCACTTCCCAAGTAAGGCAATGTCTCGCCGTGCTTCAGCTCGTGCACAGTGCACTGCACCCACTGTCCTGCACCCACTGTCTGGCACTCCCTAGTGAGATGAACCCAGTACCTCAGATGGAAATGCAGAAATCACCCGTCTTCCGCATCGCTCATGCTGTGAGCTGTAGACCAGAGCTGTTGCTATTCAGCCATCTTGGCTGCCAGCCTATGGGTCCTTCTTTAAGCAGCTTACAAGCTAATAGTCTCAGAGGGGAAAATTTTAAAGTGTCATGCATGATGAATAGAACTATAGAAGCTTGCTCCACATAAAGAAACCATACATGAGGGAATGGGGTCCACCCCTGCTCCATTTCTGACCACTAATTTCTCTAACAGCCTTGGGAGGCAGTACAAAACAGAAAATGGATCTTTTTCATGGGAAGTGTAAATTTTGGGTTCTAAGTCTTCTGTTGTATTGATTTTGATCAAGTCACTTCTTGTAGCATATACAAATGTAATATTATTTTCTTTCTTTACCATAGGGAAGGAGTTTAACAAACTTTAAGGAATGAGATATGCCCATCAATACTTTTTCTCCCAGTAGTGAGTCTCTGCCCCTGAGCAGGAGGTTTGGTCTTTTCAACAATTTAAAAAAAAAAAAAATCATGGAAAGCAGGAAAACATGGAAAGCAGGAAGTGTGCTGACATTTCAGCAGGATGGATGTGTGCAAAGGTCTTAAGTTTTAGGCATCTGAGAATGAAATTCTGGGAATAACAGGTACCCAGGTTTCACCTGTGTTTCCCCTTGATGTCCCATTTGACGCTAAGACACTTGCTGTAACAGAGGTGTAGATGTTTCAGCTGAGAAGAGGAAAAGATACTTGGGTGAGGGGAGGGAGTGATGCTGCTATATAGCACGGAAATTTGAGATGATGGGCATTGGGGGCTCCATACTTTTGCACTGTGTCCTCTTAATGGCGAGCCCCATTTCTCTAGGGATTTCCAAGGCCAAGGGCAGGAAGGAGATGTGAAGAAGGAGAGGAGGGGCTGTTGCCCAAATGGAAGTTTGGAGATCAGGATACCTGGATTCTAGTCCTAGTTCTGCCATTGACTTGCTGTGTAACCTTTGGCAAGCCATTTCTTAGGTCTGGTCCTCAGTTTCTTTATATGGAAAAAAGTGGTTCAATTTATTGATCTCCAAGGTTCTGACTCACTCTGACCTTCGATACTTTTGTGTCCTCAAGTTCTTTAGAGAGGAAGCAAATATCAAGACTGTTAGGCATCCTAACCTGGAAGTTATATAATATAGAATAATTTTAATAAACAATTTTAGAGTACAAAAACATGAGGTATGTGGCCGGGTGCAGTGGCTCACGACTGTAATCCCAGCACTTTGGGAGGCTGAGGCAGGCTAATCACTAGGTCAGGAGATCGAGACCATCCTGGTTAACACGGTGAAACCCCGTCTCTACTAAAAATATAAAAAAATTAGCCAGGTGTGGTGGCGGGCGCCTGTAGTCCCAGCTACTCAGGAGGCTGAGGCAGGACAACGGCATGAAGCTGGGAGGTGAAACTTGCAGTGAACAGACATGGTGCCACTGTACTGCAGCCTGGGCGACAGAGTGAGATTCCGTCTAAGGAAGAAAAAATAAAGAGGTATGCTTTGTGTTACTAGTTTTCTACTCTATGCACTTCCCAGAGTTTCCAGGATAAATACTCTGTCCTTTTGTCCCTAGAAACAATCCAAATATCTGGAAAATTGCAATGTTTCACCATTCCAATTACATCTCCAAAATTGCCCCATTCAATCAAAAAGGACTTCAGAATATCAAAGTTTTTTTTTTTTTCAACAGGAGTCAATGAACAATTTTTGCTTCAGAAACTAGAGTCGCCATAATTCTGTAGCACTTATCTGATCTTTTCTTTCTAGGTTTTCCTCATGTATATCAATTTCTTTATCAGTATAAATAATTATCAAAGCAATTGAAAGTTTGATCAATGTAATCAGTATGGATCACTTATTACTCATAAATGACATGTGCTTGGGAATATGAAGAACCAGTCTTAAAATTATACATTTACAATAAATGCTTGGAGTAGACAAAGAGGTCAACTAGGTTTCTCCACTGTAAGGTTCTGAAGATAATTAGAGAGCAGAAAAATTTGGGAAGTGGGGAGGACTAGCAACAAACAGGGAGAAGCTGGAAGTTTCAAATAGCCTTTGTATGTGGTCTTCACTTGTAGGGACTGGAAATTAGCAGGTTTGGACTTAGGTGAAGGATTGCGCAAGTGATGCCTGCCTGAAATTTTATCTTTAGCCCAAATCTCTATCCTCAGAATTTCACAGTGCCTGTTCTATCTCTCGATTTGACACCTCAAACTCATTTATCTTCCCTCCCAGACCCCTTTCCTTCTGTTACTGGCACCACTATTTTTTCCTGATCACTAAGAATAATAATCTTGGCAATATCTCTGAATCTTCCATTGCCCTGCTAAATCCAGTCAGTTGCCAAGTTCTATGGATATTCCTTTATAATCTTTCTCACAATCAGCAACCCCTTTCCATACTTACTGCCACCACTCTCATTTAGGCCTTCATGACTTCCCATTCTAAATACTATATTAACATATCTCATCCATTCCCTTTAAACCTTGTCATCTTCAATCAATAAAAATCTGCAGAAGCCTTTAGCTTAGTTTCTTTTTCTACCCTTAGTATTAGACCAAGTGTATGGGGAGATTACATTGTCAATTTTCAGTGGTATGGGTGCATTTTGCATAGAGGGAGGTAGAGAAAGAATAGCATTCTCAGTTACAAGGAACAGCATCAACTTGTGCAATTTCCTGGAATAGTTGGAGGCAATTTCAGAAGTACAAAGTAGCCTAGTGAAAGATTCTCCCGTACTTACATTAGTGTCAAACTTTGAAACACTCCCATTGTATATTTTACCTGCTAATTTGAACGTTAAAACAGACCTGACACCTATAATTTTCCTATGACAACAACCCCATAAGATTTAATCTTCTTTGCTTCTTTTATTAGATACTTATATCAGCTGAATGTTTTTCTGTTGCTTTTTGTCCTCTAGCCTCATCTGATCCATCTCACAGATGTTGGGGATTCAGGGATTTCCCTTAGGTTTAAGTATCTCCCATCATTACCAGCATTGGCCTCTTCCCACAGTCATGTTCCCATCAATCACATGGACTTGGCCACATGGCAGCTTTGCTGAAGGGCCCTGCAGCCATCTCCCACAAACCCTTGCCAAGAGGTGACATTCAATCTATCCACAGAGAATATTTCCATTCTGCCAAAACTGTAAAACTGTCTGGGATTGTAGTACCTTCCAGTTATGTGCACTAGGAGGCACCTTTTAAAGACATTAATCAGTTCCCTAATGATTTCATGGTACAGCAGGTGGAGCTCAGGTGACTTGTGGCAGGAAAGTAAGGCCACAGCAATGCTGGCCTAGTGGTTTAAGGTCAGAGCCCCTGAAACTCTTAAGTCACAAGGCAAGAAAAGTCCACTGGGCATTTCTGGGACCTGTCCCAAAGATGAGAGAATATCCTAAATACTAGGAGAACACAAATGTCCTAGTTGTCAGGTGAAGGATGCCCCCTAAATGGGGCTTATAGGATTACTCAGCCTATTACTGATCTCAGCCCCATCATTCTAGGGCTGCCATCTCCTCAGTGGGCCTTCTTGGCTGGATCTAGAAGCATCTCTGGAGGGCTTGCCCAGTGTCTCAGGCACGTACAATACTTCCACCTAACTCAAACCACATGCAGAAAGATTATGTCATACTTGGCATTTAACCAGTTGAGAAAGGCATCAGAGGGTGTCCAGACTTCAACTTGTTTGAACAAATGTTCAAAAAACATTTCTAAGGGGATATTCCAGAAAAACATACCCACTTAAGCTCTTAAAACAGATGGTCATTCTCTAGGATTGTGTTGCTTTTCAGCCATTATTATTGAGTGCTGTAAGTGATACCAAATCACTTTAAAGTTTGAATTATGATGGCTCTTCAGATTTTTCTTGCAGGTTTATTGTGGGTTAGGAGAAGGATGTGGCAGAGAGCAGTACACAATGCTGAGAAAGAAACATATTGTTGTACTTCAGAGTCTGGGCTTCAGAGTTGGGCAGGTAAAGGCTTAGATCCCTGACTAACTGGGTGACTTAACTTCTTCAAACCTCAGTTTCTTTATTTATAAAATTAAGATAATAACATTGCTTACTTGATGGGTTTGTGAAAGGAACTAAAAGAGATATCACATATAAAGGGTCACCATACTGCATGCTATGTAGTAGTAGTAGTACTGTTGCTGCTGCTATTTCTAATACAGGCAGTGGGGGCTATTCCCAAATTAGATGGAGAGTTGAAGAGGGCCTCAGGGTCATGATTTTCTAGCCTAAGAAGAAGGTGGTCAGACCATGGAGAAAGATTCCAGGACTGCAATTTTAGCTTGGAAAAGGGTAAATGCCAGAGCATGCAGGGACCTGATATTTGATTTTCCTCATCTGAGAACGAAGCTCTTCTTCCCTTCATTAGTTTGCTATGTGCCCTAGCTCAAGCCACTGTAGATCTCTGGGTTTCAGTTCCCACACTTGAAAACAAAACCCTATGGCATGTATTTGCAAGCTAGCTGGCCTAAACCAGTCTTAATCTGTGAATGGAACATGGCATATGCAAACTCGTCCACAAGGGACATGATATTAGTCTCTGAAGGCACTAAGCTAATCTAATCAGCTCCTAATCCAGAGATATGCTATAGCCATCACCAGCCATCATCATCATCTTTGTTAACAACAGCCAAGCAGTGATATCTTGGGCTCATTGCCAGAAGGAAGCATGTTCTTACTTTCAATATAGCCATCATGTTGGTATTTCACGTTGTAAAATGTTAGATTTTTAAATATGTATCATATGTTTGGACTTATGGTTGTACAACTCAATAAGAAGTTTTATAACTTTCTTTAAAAAGGACTGAATCAAAATTTTCTTTGCACTTACATTCTTTCATTTACTTTATGTAGTCTTCTACACATGCGTCTTAAAAAATACAGTATAGTTATTTGGCTATTACCTATGCTGTATTACATTTTTTATAGATAATCAATTATCTGGTTATATGTCAGGCCTGCAGAAATAGTGCCTTCTGATTTGATGCCAGTGTATGATCAAGTTCCTTGCCTTTTAACTAGTATTTATGTTATAGGCAGAATGTTAAATCAGGAATTTTAAACAATTCCTAGACAATATGTATAATGTTCATAAGTCATTCCTAGAAATTGTTCATAATGCCTGTAACATATATGCAAATAACAAGATGCCTGAAATACATAGGAAACCTTCAAGATGCTAACTGGCCATCTCTATGACATCTTTGGATTGCAACATTTGTTTTAGCAATTCTACTTATTTGTCTGTTTATATGTCTACATATTAATCATAATTCTAGTAATAATAATGCTACTTAATTTTTATAGCTCTCACAAATTCCTGAATTTTTACTAGCTGTTTGGTGATTCAGGGCTTTGAACACGCTCATTTTAAGAGGCACTAGAAATAAAAGAAACCAACAAACAGATATAAAGGGAAGCTTGTTTATCAGATCCTCTAAAGCCCCATCCAAATTTTCTTATTCCTGTTCACAAGCTTTAGCTCAAGCTTCCTTTCCTTTTCCCTACCTTACTCGACTCCATGTAAGCAGTTTTTAATATCCTAACTCCTCCAAGTTTTCCTAGGCTACTCAAAAGAAACCCAATAAATTGTACCAACCTCCTCTGTGTCAACATGAAACTTCCTTGCCTTTCCCTGCTCACCTCCCTGTTAATGGGCCTGAGTATGCACATGGTGTAATTGTTTTATCTATATATTTGATTCCCATCTGTATTTATCTTATTTTCATTTACTATTTTGAAATGATCTACACATTGGTTTATGTCAACATTGTCTATTATAGGTTATCTCTATATAATCATCCCCGACAATTTGGAGATGAAGAAGAAAAATGTTGAATTAGTTTAGCCTTTGAGAGTTAAGATCATATTGCATCACCGACTGGAATTCTTTTCTCTCTCAGGCTGGAGTATCTCCAGTCCATTCCAACAATTAAGCCATTTTGGTTAACTTCTGATTGACTAATGTAACTGGACCATCTCAGGAAGCCCAGTAAAATGAGGCCAGGGAATGAGCTAGCAACATGGGATGTGGAACCAAGGGGTAAACCTCTGATTTATTAGGCAGGGCCTTCTAACAATTGACATCAGAATCTATTATAGGTGCCAAGGAATTGACTGATGTTGTAAGATGCTGTTGAGCAATATTTGACAGTCATATAAATGGGTGCTTAAACCTGCTCAGATGAGAAACCTCACTCCCATTTTCATCTCTACTGTATCCAGAGATGACTCAACTGTCAGGGACCAGCTCAGATGTCTTTTCTTTGTGAAACTCCTCTAGTTGCTTTGGGTCAGACTGGCCTATCTTTTATTTTTTTTCTTTTTTCTTTTTTCTTTTTTATTTTTTTTGAGACGGAGTCTCATTCTGTCGCCCAGGCTGGAGTGCAATGGCACGATCTCTGCTTCCCGGGTTCACGCCATTCTCCTGCCTCAGGCTCCCAAATAGCTGGGACTACAGACGCCCGCCACCATGTGCGGCTAATTTTTTGTATTTTTAGTAGACACGGAGTTTCACCGTGTTAGCCAGGATGGTCTCGATCTCCTGACCTCGTGATCTGCCAGCCTTGGCCTCCCAAAGTGCTGGGATTACAGGCTTGAGCCACCGCGCTGGCCTGGCCCATCTTTAAAAAAAAAATAACAAAAAACTCCTCCAGCCCTTTAAGTTCATTTTGTCTCTAGCACTGAGTTTTGCCAATCTAATTATATACTGTATATACTTTTTATGTATGATAGTTTCATGTATGATTTTTTCACCTATGGTGACCATATTTTCCAAACTAAAAGTTGGAATACATTATCTGAAAATGTAGGTAGCCTATTTGAAATTAATAGTGCCTTGGAAAATGGATGCTCCTTCCCCTCTGTGTGCCTCACCTACTAAATATTCAATATTGGCTGCTATTGATGATACAAGGATAAAGAATGATGCAAGGTGGTATCTACTAAGTGTCAAGTGAAGGACACTAATATACTTTGGACTTTTTAGTACAGAGAACCATTGACCAAATACGTTGCTACTATGCTTGAGGAATGATGCATTGATTCTGAAAAAGAAAAGAAATATGGTGTGGGAAGGGAATAATGGCAACAAAAATACTAGTAGCGAGAGATATTACGTAAGAAACATGTCATATAAAACATCATATGAGGATAGTCTAAAAAGATGGGTGCTTGTTATTCAGAAAGACAAAAGTAAAAGGGGTATCACTGAAGTCTGTAAAAGGGTGGATCAGGTGGACTTGGATTTGTTTACTGGACTAGCTATATTCCTGAATACCAAAATTTCAAGTAAATTTAGGAAAATGAAAGGGGTGATGAGCACTTGGAATTTGTTATTTTGAGAAGTGGTAAAGGCTGAGAATATAGCTTAGGAGAAGAGTTTAGTTTTATTTAAGGCAAGGATATTAAACTGTTTTTATTCATTAACCTTTTAGCTGAATTAGTTAAGAAGGTAACTGGTTAATCCATTTTAGACAAGAAAGCAGTCATTTTATTTGGAGTCAGCTCTGATGATAGCAACAAGAAGAAATGTCTTTTTTTATTATTATACTTTAAGTTTTAGGCTACATGTGCACAATGTGCAGGTTAGTTACATATGTATACATGTGCCATGCTGGTGTGCTGCACCCATTAACTCGTCATTTAGCATTAGGTATATCTCCTAATGCTATACCTCCCTCCTCCCCCCACCCCCATGTCTTGCAGTGAGGGTAAGATAAATGTGGAGAAAATTATTAAAGAACAGCAATCAGGAATCAGCTTAGGGGATAACTTTCCTGCATACCTTAATTACCCTTAAGAGTAGCACAGCATAGTACAGTGATTCATTTTTATAATAGTAACCTTGAAACATTAAGGCAAATTTAGATTACATTCCATGTACTCAGTTCATGTGTACTTCATGGTTTTTAAAAATAGGACTCCAAGAAATTGTTTCTAATCAAATTGGAAACCTCATCACAACACCTTGGATGTTTTCATATCGAGAAAGAGGACTATAAGGTACAAATGATTTCCAAACATAGGAAGGAGTTATTTTTTTTAAGATTAACAGTCCAGTTGATGGAAGGCAAGATAGTATATTCCTGCTAGTAAAGCCGATTGAACTTTGAAAGGTCACAAACAAAAACTTATTTACATAGTACTGTTTTGACCCTTCTGCCAAATGCTAATAGCATTTTTTTTGGCAATTCAGGGAAATTAGAGAGCTCTGAAGTTCCAGCAGAGAGAGAGCAATCGTTATAGATATTCTTTAGATTGGATATCATCAACAAATACCAGAGTCCTTAGGAAAGCATTTTCAAATCTATTTTCTCTACTGAACAGTGCTCATGACTAATGGGCCCAAGGGACGGTGGCATTTGGAGGCCGTCATTCACTATGACAGCCTGCAAGCCAGCCACAGAGTAGGTGGTGGTATGCCAACAAAAACTGAAAGGAGGAGAGAAACACTTTTCGTTATGTAGCAAACCACTGGGTAAATTTAAGATTTATTGGAAAAGTTGGTTTTATTCCTTTTTCTCAGGAGGGTAAGCCATGCTTCTCATTATACCTAGCTTGGTAAATGATCTTTGGCATCAATGGTTTGTCCTGTATTTTTCACCAGTAATCCGGTCTACTAGATGTTAAGCTCATTGAAAGTAATGTTTATATCTGATTTTATCCTCTCTCCCCATTCATCCACCTTCCCCTCCACCTACCCAGCCACAATAGTGCCCTGCACATATTAACAGTTGCATAATTATTGCTAAAATAATAAATTTATTAAACAGTTTGTTAACTGCTATTAGCATATAAATAGAGTGTTATTAAACTGTAAGGGTTGGGGCACAAATGATCCCATCACCCAGGTACTTAGCATAGTATTCAGTAGATAGTTTTACAGCTCTTCCCTACCTCCCTCACTCCCACCTCTTGAAATTCTCATTGTCTATTATTGCCATCTTTATGTCCATGAGTGCTCAATGTTTCACTCCCATTTATAAGTGAGACCATGGGGAGTTAGGTTCTCTGTTCCTACATTAATTTGTTTAGGATAAAGGTGCATTCATGTTGCTGCAAAAGACATTATTTCCTTCTTTTTAAAATAGCCTCATAGTATTCCATGGTAGATATGTACCATATTTTCTTTAACCAGTTCATCATTGATGGGCACCTACGTTGGTCCTATCTTTCTGCTACTGTGAATAGTGTGGCAATAAACATATGACTGCATGTGTCTTTTTGGTATAATGATCTATTTTTCTTTGGATATATAGCCAGTAATCGGATTGCTGGGTCAAATGATAGTTCTGTTTTAAGTTATTTGGCAAATATCCAAACTGCTTCCCACAGTGACTGAACTAATTTAAATTCCCACCAATAGTGTATAAGTGTTTCCTTTTCTCTGCAGCCTCACTGGCATCTGTTATTTTTTGACTTTTCAGTAATAGCCATTCTGATTGGTGTGAGATGCTATCTCATTGAGGTTTTGACTTGCACTTCTCTGATGGTTAGTGATATAAAACATTTTTTTGTGTGTTTGTTGGTGGCTTGTGTGTCTTCTTTTAAGAAGTGTCTGTTCATGTCTTTTGCCTACTTTTTAATAGGGTTTTCTTTGTTATTGTTGTTGTTGAAATGTTTAAGTTCTTTATAGATTCTGGATATTAGACCCTTGTCAGGATGCATAATTCGCAAATATTTTATCTCATTGGGTAAATTTTCTGTTCACTCGATTGATGATTCCTATTGTTGTGCAGAAGCTCTTTAGTTTAATTAGGTCTCACTTGTCAATTTATGTTTTCTTTGCAATTGCTATTGAGGGCCTAGTCACAGACACTTTCTCAAGACCAATGCCTAGAATGGTAGTTCCTAGGTTTTCTTCTAGATTCTTATAACTTGAGGTTTTACATTTAAACCTCTAATCTAGTTTGAGTTAATTTTTGTATATGGTGAAAGGTAGGGGACCACGTTTAATTTCTGCATATGGCTAGCCAGCTATCCCAGAACCACTTATTGAATAAGGAATCCTTTCCTCATTGCTTGTTTTTGTTGACTTTGTCGAGGATCATATGGCTGCAGGTGTGTAGCTTTACTTCTGGGTTCTCAATTCTGTTCCATTGGCTTATGTGTCCATTTTCATACCAGTACCATGCTGTTTTGGCTACTTATAGTTTGAAGTCAGCTAATGTGATGTGACTGGCTTTGTTCTTTTTGCTTAGGATGGCTTTGACTATTTGTGCTCTTTTTTTGATTCCATATACATTTTAGAATAATGTTTTCTAATTCTGTGAAAAATGACATTGGTAGTTTGATAGAAATAGCGTTGAATCTTTAAATTGCTTTGGGCGGTATGGCAATTTAGTGATATTGATTCTTCCGATACATGAGCATGAAATGATTTTTGATTTTTTCATACCATCTATGATTACTTTGAGCAATGTTTCATAATTCTCATTGTAGAGATCTTTCATCTTCCTGGTTAGGTGTATTTCTAGATATTTTAATCTTTTCGTGGCTATTAGGAATGGTATTGTATTCTTGATTTGGCTCTCAGTTTTGACATTATTGGTGTATGGGAATGGTACTGAGTTTTATACATTGATTTTGTGTTCTGAAACATTGCTGAAGTTGGTTATCAGATCTAGGAGCTCTTGAACAAAGACTATGGGTTTTTCTAGATAGAAAATCATATTAACTGCAAAGAGAGAGAGAGAGTTTGATTTCCTCTCTTCCTATCTGGAGGCCTTTGATTTCTTTTTCTTGTCTGATTGCTCTGGCTACAACTTCCAGTACTATGTTGAATAGGGTTGGTGAGAGTGGGACATCCTTGTCTTGTTCCACTTCTCAAGAAGGAATAGTTCTAGCTTTGCCTGTTAAGTATGACATTGGCTGTGGGTTTGTCATAGATGGCACTTATTATTTTGAAGTATGTTCCTTCAATGCCTAGTTTTTTGAGGGGTTTTAACATAATGACATGTTGAATTTTATTGAAAGCCTTTTCTGCATCTATTGAAAAACGTTTTTTTTTGTTGTTGTTTTTTTTTGTTTTTGTTTTTTTTTTTTTTTTTTTTGAGACAGAGTGTTGCTCTGTTGCCAAGCTGGGGTGCAGTGGTGCAATCTTGGCTCACTGTGATCTCCACCTCCCGGGTTCAAGTGATTCTCCTTCCTCAGCCTTCCAAGTAGTTGGGACTACAGGCACACTCCACAATGCCCAGGGCTTTTTTTTTCGTATTTTTAGTAGAGACAGGGTTTCACCACATTGGCCAGGATGGTCTCGGTCTCTTGACCTCATGATCCACCCGCCTTGGCCTCCCAAAGTGCTGGGATTACAGGCATGAGCCACCACTCCTGGCCAATGTTTTTAGTTCTCTTTATTTGGTGAATCATATTCATTGGTCTGTGTATGTTGAACTAACCTTGTATTGCAAGAATAAGGCCTACTTGATCTTGGTGGATTAGGTTCTTGATGTGCTGCTGGATTCAGTTTGATAATATATTGTTGAGGAGTTTTGCACCTATATTCATTAGAGATATTGCCCTGAAGTTTTCTTTTTTTTGTTTTATGTCTGCCAGATTTTAGTTTCAGAATGATGATGGCCTCATAGAATGAGTTAGGGAGAAGTCTTTTCTCCTCAATGTTTTTTGGAATAATTTCAGTAGGATTGGTACCAGCTCTTCTTTATATGTTTCTTAGAATTTGTCTGTGAATCCATCTGGTCCAGGGTTTTTTTCTTGTTGATAGGCTTTTTATTACTGATTCAGTTTCAGAACTCATTATTGGTCAGTTCAGGGTTTCAGTTTCTTCCTGGTTCAATCTTGGAAGGTTGTAAGTTTCAAGAATTTATCTATTTTTTCCATATTTTCTAGTTTGTGTGCATAGAGGTGTTTGTAATAATGTCTAAGGGTTTTACAACCCCATTATAAAGTGGGGCAAAGGACATGAACAGACACTTCTTTTTTTATTGTACTTTAAGTTCTAGGGTACATGTATACAACATGTAGATTTGTTGAATAGATATACATGTGCCATTTTGGTTTGCTGCACCCATCAACTCGTCATTTACATCAGGTATTTCTCCTAATGCTGTCCCTCTCCGAGTCCTCTACCCCCTGAAGGCCCCAGTGTGTGATGTTCCCCTTCCTGTGTCCATGTGTTCTCATTGTTCAATTCCCACCTATAAGTGAAAACATGTGGTGTTTGATTTTCTGTTCTTGTGATAGTTTGCTGAGAATGATGATTTCCAGATTCATCCATGACCCTGCAAAATACATGAACTCATCCTTTTTTATGGCTGCATAGTATTCCATGGTGTATATGTGCCACATTTTCTCAATCCAGTCTATCATTGATGGACATTTGGGTTGGTTCCAAGTCTTTGCTATTGTGAATAGTGCCACAATAAACATATGTGTGCATGGAACACACACTTCTTAAAACAAGACATTTATGCTGCCAACAAACATATGAAAAAAAGCTCAACATCACTGATCATTAAATGGAAATCAGAGCCACAATGAGATACCATTTCATGCCAGTCAGAATGGCAATTATTAAAAAGTCAAGAAATAACAGATGCTGGCACAGCTGTGAAGAAATAGGAACGCTTTTACAGTGTTGGTGGGAATGTTAATTAGTTTAACCATTGTGGGAGACAGTGTGGCAATTCTTCAAATACCTAGAGGCAGAAATACCATTTGACCCAGCAATCCCATTACTGCATATATACCCAAAGGAATAAAAATCATTGTATTATAAAGAGACATGCATGCTTATGTTCACTGCAGCACTATTCACAATAGCAAAGACATGGAATCAACCCAAATGCCCACCAATGATAGACAAGATAAAGAAAATGTGGTACACATATACCATGGAATACTATGCAGCCATAAAAAAGAATGAGATCATGTTCTTTGCAGGGACATGGATGGATCCTGAAGCCATTATCCTCAGCAAACTAACACAGGGACAGAAAACCAAACACCACATATTTTCACTTCTACGTTGAAGCTGAACAATGAGTACATATGGACACAGGGAGGGGAACAACACACATTGGGGTCTCTGGGGGTGAGGTTGGGGGTTAGAGAGTATCAGGATAAATAGCTAATGCATGCATGGCTTAATACCTGGGTTTGCTGCAATTGATTGGTGTAGCAAATCACCATGGCACATGTTTACCTATGTAATAAACCTGCACATCCTGCACATGTATCCTGGAACTTAAAATTAAATTAAATTTTAAAAAGACAAAAAAATCTCTAAGCGTTTTTATACTTCTATGGGGTTGGTGGTAATGTCCATTTGTCATTTCTGATTGTGTTTATTTGGATTCTCTCTCTCTCTTTTCTTGATTTGTTTAGCAGTTGCTCTATTAATCTTATTTGTTCTTTCACAGAAGCAACTTTTGATTTCATTTATGTTTTGTGTGGTTTTTCTTGTCTCAATTTCATTGAGTTTAGCTCTGATTTTGGTCAGTTTTTTTCTGTTAGGTTTGAATTACTTTTCCCTTGTTATTCTAGTTCCTCTATTTATGAGTTTAGGCTGTTAATTAGAGATCTTTCTAACTTTTTCATGTGGGCATTTAACAGTACAAAGTTTCCTCTTAATATTGCTTTTTCTGTGTCCCAGAGATTTTGTTATGTTGTATCTTCATTGTCATTAGTTTTAATGAATTTCTTGATTTCTGCTTTAATTTTATTGTTTATCCAGAAGTCATTCAGGAGCAGATTGTTTAATTTCAATGTCATTGTATAGTTTTGAGACACCTTCTTAGTATTGATTTGTTTTTATTGTGGTGTGGTCTAAGAGTATGGCTGGTATGATTTTAGTTTTTTTGAATTTTTTGAGAATTGTTTTATGGCTAAAAATGTGGTCAATTTTAGAGTATGTGCCATGTGCATATGAGAAAATATATATATTCTGTTGTTGGGCAGAGTGTTTGGTAGGTGTCTGTTAGGCTCATTTGGTCAAGTGTCAAGTTTAGGTTTTAAATATCTTTGTTAATTTTCTGCCTTGATGATCCATCTAGTAATGTCAGTGAGGTATATATATTTAGGTTAGTTAAGTCTTCTTGTTGAAATGAACACTTTATAATTATCTAATGCCCTTACTTGTCTTTTTTTGATTATTGTTAGTTTGAAGTCTGTTTTGTCTGAAATTAGAATAGCAATCCCCACTCTTTTTGTTTTCTATTTGCTTGGTAGACTATTTTTTTTTTTTGACACAAAGTCTCACTCTATCCCCCAGGCTGGAGTGCACTGGTATGAACTCGGCTCACTGCAACCTCCACCTCCTGAGTTCAAGAGATTCTGCTCAGCCTCCTGAGTAGCTGGGATTACAGGCACATGCCACCATGCCTGGCTAATTTTTGTATTTTTAGTAGAGATGAGGTTTCACCATTTTGGCCAGGCTGGTCTTGAACTCTTGACCTCAGGTGATCCACCCACCTCAGCCTCCCAAAGTGCTGGAATTATACAGGTGTTAGCCACTGCAGCTGGCCTTGGTAGACTTTTTTTCCATCTCTTTACTTTGAGCCTATGGGTATCATTGTATGAGAGATAGGTCTCTTGAAGACAACATACAGTTAAGTCTTGCTTCTTTATCCAGCTTGTCATCTGCTTTTAAGTGTGGGCATTTAGTCCATTTACATTCAAGGTGAATATTGGTATGTGCAGCTTTCATCCAGTCATCATGTTTTCAGCTGGTTGTTATGTAAACTTGATTGTGTAGTTGCTTTCTATTGTCAATGGTCTGTGTACACTAAGTGTGCTTCTTTGTTGGCTGGCAATCGTCTTTCATTTTCAGGTTTAGCACTCCTTAAGGACCTCTTGTAAGGCAGATCTCATGGTAAAGAGCTTCCTTAGCATTTGCTTGTCAGAAAAGGATCTTATTTCTCCTTCACTTATAAGGCTTAGTTCAGCTGGATATGAAATTTTTGGTTGGAATTTCTTTTCTTTAAGAATGGTAAATGTAGGCTCCCAATGTCTTCTGGCTTGTAGGGTTTCTGCTGAAAGCTCTGCTGTTAGCCTGATGTGATTCTCATTGTAAGTGACCTGCCCCTTCTCTCTAGCTGCCCTTAATATTCTTTATTTCATGTTGACCTTCGAGAGTCTGATGACTATGTGTCTTGGGGATAGTCATCTTGTAGGGTATCTCACAGGGGATCTTTGTATTTCCTGAATTTGAATGTTGACCTCTGTAGTGAAGTTGGGGAAATTTTTGGGGACTATATCCTCAAATATATTTTCTAAGTTACTTGTTCTTTCTCCTTCTTGTTCATGGATGCCAATGAGTCACAGATTTATTTTTTTTCATATAATCCTGTATTTCTCGGAAGTTCTGTTCATTCTTTTCTTTACAAAAAAATATTTTTTCTTTATTTTTTGTATAACTGAGTTGATTGAAGGAACCAGTCTTTGAGCTTGAGATTATTTCCTCAGCTAGGTCCATTCCTCTATTAATACTTCTGATCATATTATAAAATTCTTATAGTAGGTTTTTATTAGCTCTATCAGTTCAGTCTTGTTCTTTCTTAAAATGACTATTTTATCTTTAAGCTTGTGAATCATTTTATGGGGCTCCTTAGATTCCTTGGATTTGGTTTTGACTTTCCCTTGAATCTTGAAAGTCTTCATTCTTATCCAGATTCTGAATTCTATGTATATTATTTTAGCCATTTCAGCCTGGTTAACCATCATTGCTTTGGAACTAGTGTGGTCATTTGGAAGTAAAGAGACACTCTGGCTTTTTGCATGCCAGAGTTCTTGTGCTGGTTCTTTCTCATCTGTGTTGGCTGATAGTCCTTTAATCTGAAATTAATGTCCTTTGGATGGTTTTTTTGCTTTTATATTCTTTGATGCCCTTGAGGGTTTGATTGTTGTATTAGGTGAGTTAAATAGACTTGCTTAATTTCTGGAAGATTTCAGGGGGCCAAGGCTCATCTCAGCACTCCTTGGCTGAATGCGCTAACACTGGGGTGCTGGTTCCAAGCCCACAGCTTTGTTCCCTGGCTCCTTGAGGTTAAGAAACTGCTGCACAGGAGGGCCTGAGGTGTTTCTGGTCCAGTGGTAACAACACTTTGATGGGGGAGTTCCAGTTAGTGAACTTAATCAGGGCATTGGCCGCAGAGTTCACATTCACATGTACGTGCCAAAAGCAGTGGTGGTATGGCATGGCGCATGTATGTTGGTGGCAGTGGGCCGCCTGGGGAGGTGAGGCAGTCACACTTATGTGCACATATGTGTGCCAGCAGGAGCAGTGGTGATGCAGAGTGTACATGCATGCTGGAGGTTGCAGTGCAGTGGTATCTGTGCACTTGGCCATGCCAGCCATGGCTGTAGTAGTGTAGCAGGGGACATGTGCATCAGCAGGGAAGTGGTGTCTGTGGGCTTGAGGTAGATGTCTCTGCATATGCACATTAATGCTGGTGTGTTGAGGCTTTTTATGATGAATGGATATTAGATTTTATCGAAAGCTTTTCTGCATCTATTGAGATGATTATATAGTTTTTGTTTTTAATTCTGTTTATGTAGTGAATCATATTTATTGATATGTTAAACCAACCTTGCATTCAAGGAATAAAGCCTACTTGATTGGGATGAATTAGCATATTGATGTGCTGCTGGATTCAGTTTGCTCATATTTTGTTGAGGATTTTTACATCTCTCTTTTCAGGAATGTTTTGGATCCATGCTCAGCCCCACAGGGGTAGACAAAGATGGGCAGGGCTGGACTGGGAAGGCCCTCCTATAGGTGTCCCAGTGGCAGGCACAACTACCAGCACCAAGGGAGGGTCCAGTGGGTAGCCACCATGCACCCAAATGTATGCCAAGGTGTGGATCTGGGAAATCTCCTTAGTCCCAATTTCTCTTTCTGGCAAGGGGAGGGTGGCCTAAACTCCTAATCCAGGAGAATGGGTGTTCCAGATGTCTGGAGATATGACTGGGCATGGAGCATAGAGTGCTCTGCTACATCACACTCTTCACAGGAATGGTTGGGTGGTTCAGGCTGCTGATCCAGGTGAGTGGGTGCTCTGAATGCCTGGAGACCTGCCTGGGCATGGAACAGAAGGGCCCCACTTCAACACAGACTCTGCATATGAAGGGTGAGACAGCTCAAGATCATGATTTTGGTGAATGAGTACTCCAAATGTCTGGAGATATGGTGGACATAAAGCAGAGAGGGCCTCCCTGCACCTGGACCTCTGCACATGAAATTTTGGGCAGCTCAGGCTGCCAATTCAAGTGAGCAGATGCTTTGCATGCCTGTATATCTGCCTGGGCATGGAGCAGAGAGGGTCCTATTGTACCAGGATTTCTGCACTGAGAGGGTGGGGCAGGTCTGGCTGCTATTCTATGTGAGTGGGTGCTCTGAATTCCTGGAGATCTGCCTGGGCATGGAGCAGAGAGGTCTCCACTGTACCATGATCTATGCACAGGAAGGGTGGGCTGGCTCAGGCTGCTAGTCCAAGAGAACAGGTACTGTGAGAGCCTGAAGATCTTTCAGGGCATGAAGTAGAAATGAACCTCTTGCACTCAAATATTTGCACAGGAAAGATGGGGTGACTCAGGCTGCTAGTCTATGTAAGCAGTTGTTCTGAAGTCCTGGATTTCTGCCTGGTTATGGAGTTGAGAGTGCCCCATTGCACAATAATCACAGGAGAGCAGCCCGGGGTACCCAGAGATGACACAAACAGACCATTTCTGGGTTGCCAGGCTGGCTCTGGCTGAAAGACTCATTACCCAGGAGAAAACATGGCTGTAGCAGCTCTCCTCTCTCCCCAGGCCTGTAGTAGGGGATAGCATAACTCCAGTGCCGACTGCTGAAGCACTTTCTACAGCTTTGTCTGTGGAGACCCCTACCCTGCTCCAGAGAAAGTGCTCCAATTTCTGGCCTAAAATTAAACGGCCTGCATGGCCATGCTGCTGAGTCAACAATGATCGATTGACTTACTATGTACCCAGATTAAAAATGGCATCCTGCTCTTGATCCCAGGTCTGGGAAAATGCCTGACATTTTTCCTGGTGTCTTTCCCTGTCAGCATCTCCAAGCCTCTCCCCAAATTAGCTCCAGGGCTTGGGAGAAACAAAGTGTTCTCCCTTGGCCTTGGTTTCTCATATCTGCAGTGGAAAAGTGAGTCACAGAAGGGAACCTCTCTGTCCCTCTCACATACTGGGGTTTCACTCACTTTTATCAACTGGACACCATCATAGGGGCTTTCCTCTACATTCTCCTCCTGGCATGTGGTGTGTTCTTCATGATTTTGGTAGATTCCCATTTTCCTTCTTGAATTAAAGCTCACAGAATTGATCATTATGCACTATTTTTCTATTTCCAAGTGGCTGAGCCATTCTAAAAGACTCTAATATGCCATTCTTGGAAAAAAACAGGATGTACTTTATGATAGAAGCAAGAACAGAAAATATGGTCCATGAAATGAGAGTTCTAATCGAAAGATTCATGAAAATCTCTCTGGAAGTCCTGCAAGTCTTTTGCTAAAGCCTAGTCCTGCCTTGTTAGTAGGGAATGACAAATTAATCCTTTATCAAAAAACCAAGAGCTTAATGTTATTTAAATCAGACTTTTTGACTCACTTGAAATATTTCTGGGGGACTTCTTTATGCTCAATTTTGTGTTACTTCAAGTGAAAGCTAGCTTAGAAACCTTAGTAGAACCAAGAACTTCCTGAATCTTCAACTATTATTGCTTAGTGGGTCCTATGCCTCTTTTGAGCCCAGCAAAGAACTGGAAATTATAGGAGACAGAAAAAGGTGTAAGGCTTTGTATTTGCCCTGGGAAGGCTTAAGGAAGAGCCACGTGGTTATCTCGATATTGCTTTCCTGCAAAGTACCACTCATCTTTCTCTGCCCCATTCCTTATTTTCTCATTCCATTCTCATTTTCTTCTTGGAGGAGAAATTCAGGCTCTCATCACCTTCTGTTTAGATTTCTGCAATAACTTCCCAAAAAGCTTCTCTGCTTCTAGGCTGCTCTCCTAAAATCTATGCTTTACATTGTAGCCAGAGGTTTTGTCCTAAAGCACAGATGTGATCATTTCACACCCTAGTTTACAAATCCTCAGTGGTTATCCATTGCTTATGGATTAATTTCTAACACTGGGAATAGCATTCAGTGCCTTTCACAGTGTGAACCTAAACTACTTTAGGTTGAACTCCCACCATATAAATGATCCTCTAGCCTCATCCAACTACTCCTTATTTTTTCAATACAGCACATTCTTACATACTGGTATATTACTTTATATATTTTACTCTTTACCTGGAATGTCCTTCTCTATCATTTGCTACCTGGAAAAATCCTACTTGTCCTTTCTGAAGTTTTTTTCAATGTTCCTAGGTGAAGTGAAGAGCTTATATTCATAGTCAGCTTTGTTCATAAACAGCCAAAATAGCCTTTGTGGTGTAACCTGAAGCCTGTTTGGAAGGTCTCCATCATTGGCAATTCATAAAATTTAAGTCTGAAAGAAACCTTAAAGTAAGCTGATTGAAACCCTTTCATAGCAATGAATGGTCTCCAAAATAGAAAGGAAAATAACTTCTTCACATTTGCACTGTTTGTGTTAAGTCCTTCTGGGTAAATCAGTGACAGACTTTCATTCTGTTTTCCACTTTGATCACATTGTCTTTTGTGATGGACCAAAGTTGCTTTCCAGAATTGTCAATGTAGTTACATTCTCTAGTTTTGTGTTTGTCATTGCCTTCTTCCAGCATCTTTTAAAATGCAATAATCCATGAAGGAATATCATCCTAAGTCTTTTGTGCTTCAATCTAAATATAGTTATATTTTATATATATACATATATTTTATATATATACATATATTTTATATATATGTATGATATATTTATCAGATCAATTTCTTCTGCAACAGGAGGCATTAGCAGCAGCATGTGAGTATATAGGATAAAATGGGAATGAAAGACAACTTGGACCAACATCATGATTTTGATCCTGAATAATATCCCACTGAGAAACCAAGGAATGAATAGGCACAGGAAGATTAGAATTTAAGAGGTGAAATGTGGCATTTTCATCAGTTTCTGAATTCTGTTGTCACAAAAATACTCTATAGATTCTAGTACTGTGCCGGTACTAGAAGTATTCAGGGAAGGCCTTCATTTTTTATTTTATTTTATTTAAATTTTTATTTTTTTAATTTTTGGGTAAATATTAAGTGTATATATTTATGCATTACTGAGATAAATTGATACAAGCATGCAATGCATGACAATAACATCAGGGTAAATAGAGTATCCATCACCTCAAGTATTTATCTTTTGTGTCTCAAAAATTCCAATTATACTTTTTTAGTTACTTAAAAATGTACAATTAAGTTTTTTTTTTTTTTTTTGGGACAGAGTCTTGCTCTTTCACCCAGGCTAGAGTGCAGTGGCATAAACTCAGCTCACTACACCCTCTGCCTACCAAGTTCAAGCAATTCTCATGCCTCAGCCACCCAAGTAGCAGGGATTATAGGTGTGAGCCACCATGCCTGTCTAATTTTGGTATTTTTAGTAGAGATGGGGTTTTGCCCTGTTGGCCAGGCTGGTCTTGAACTCCTGGACTCAAGCAATCCACCAGCCTCAGCCTCCCAAAATTAAGTTATTTTTATTATAGTCACCCTGCTGTGCTGGCAAGTACTACTTCTTATTTATTTTTTCTATTTTCTGTACCCATTAACCATCTGCCCATCCCCAATACTTTGCTACCCAACTACCCTTCCCAGCTGCTGGTAACAGTCCATCTACTCTCTACCCCCAAGAGTTCAACTGTTTTAATTTTTGGCTCTCACAGATAAATAAGAACATGCTATGTCTGTCTTTCTGTACATGGTTTATTTCACTTAACATAATGATCTCCAGCTTTATCCATGTTGTTGCAAATGACAGGATCTCATTCTTTTTTATGGCTGAATACTACTCCATGGTATATAAGTACCACATTTTCTTTATCCATATGTGTGTTGATGGACACTTAGGTTGCCTCCAAATCTTGGCTATTGTGAATAGTGCTGCAATAAACAAGTGAGTGTAGATATCTCTTTGATATACTGATTTTCTTTCTTTTAGGTTGATACTTGGAAGTGGGATTGCTAGATGGTATGGTAGCTCTACTTTTAGTTTTTTGAGGAATCTCCAAACTGTTCCCCATAGTGGTTGTAGTGATTTACCTTTCCACCAACAGTGTAGAAGGGTTTCCTTTCCTCCACGTCCTCACCAGAATTTGGTATTGCCTGTTTTTTGGATAAAGGCCATTTTAACTGGGATGAGGTGATATCTTATTGTAGTTCTGATTTGCATTTATCTGTTGATCAATGATGCTGAACACCTTTTCATATACCTGTTGGCAAGTTGTATGTTATCTATTGAGAAATGTATATTCAGATCTTTTGCCAAATTTTTGATGGAATTATTAGATGTTTTCCTATAGAGTTGTTTGAGCTCCTTATATATTCTGATTATAAATCCCTGGTCAGATGAGTAGTTTCCAAATACTTTCTCTCATTCTGTGTGTTGTCTCTTCACACTGCTGATTGTTTCCTTTAATGTGCAGAAGTTTTTGACTTGATGTGATCCCATTTGTCCATTTTTACTTTGGTTACCCGTGTCTGTGGAGTATTACTCAGAAAATCATTGCTCACTGCAATGTCTCAGAGAGTTTTCCCAGTGTTTTCTTGTGGTAGTTTCATAGTTTGAGGTCTCAGATTTAAGTCTTTAATCTTTTTTTATTTGACTTTTGCATATGGTAAGATATAAAGGTGTAGTTTCATTCTTCCACACATAGATATCCAGTTTTCCCAGCACCATTTATTGAAGAGACTGTTCTTTCCACAATATATGTTCTTAGAATATTTGTTGAAAATGAGTTCACTGTATATGTATGGATTTATTTCTGGGTTCTCTATTCTGCTCCATTCGACTATGTGTCTGTTTTTATGCTAGTACTATGCTGTTTTGCTTGCTATAGCTCTAGTAAAATTTGAAATCAGGTAATGTGATTCCTCCAGTTTTGTTCTTTTTGCTTAGAATAGCTTTAGCTATTCTGAGTCTATTGTGGTTCCATATAAATTTGAGGATATTTTTCTCCATTTCTGTGAAGAATGTCATTGGTATTTTGATAGGAATTGCATTGAATCAATAGATTGCTTTGTGTAGTATGGACATTTAAAAATATTAATTCTTCCAATTCATAAACATGGAATATCTTTTAGTTTTTTGTGTAGTCTTCAATCCTTTTGAACAATGTTTATAGTTTTTATTATAGAGATCATTCACATCTTTGGTTAAGTTAATTTCTATGTATTTAATCTTATTGGTGACTATTGTAAATAGAAATACTTTTTAACATTTTCTCAGTTTGTTCACTGTTGGAATATAGAAATGGTACTGATTGTTGTATGTTTATATTGTAACCTGCCATTTTACTGAATTTGTTTATCAGTTCTAATACTTTTTTAGTGGAGTCTTTAGGTTTTCCAAATAAAATATCATATTATCTGCAAACAGAAGTAATTCAAATTTTTTCTTTTACTTCTTTTTTTAAACTTTTGTTTCAGTTTTTGGGGTACAGATGAATTTTTTTATTATTCTTTAAGTTTTAGGGTACATGTGCACAACGTGCAGGTTAGTTACATGTGCCATGTTGGTGTGCTGCACCCCTTAACTCATCATTTAACATTAGGTGTATCTCCTAATGCTAAATGCTAGCCCTCCCCTCCACCCCTCCCCACAACAGGCCCCAGTGTGTGATGTTCCCCTTCCTGTGTCCATGTGTTCTCATTGTTCCATTCCCACCTATGAGTGAGAACATGTGGTGTTTGGTTTTTTGTCCTTACGATGGTTTGCTGAGAATGATGGTTTCCACCTTCATCCAACTCTATACAAAGGGCATGAACTCATCATTTTTTATGGCTGCATAGTATTCCATGGTGTATAAGTGCCACATTTTTTATTTATTATACTTTAAGTTTTAGGGTACATGTGCAAAATGTGCATATTTCTTACATATGTATACATGTGCCATGTTGGTGTGCTGCACCCATTAACTCGTCATTTAGCATTAGGTATATCTCCTAATGCTATCCCTCCCCCTCCTCCCACCCCACAACAGGCCCCAGTGTGTGAAGTTCCCCTTCCTGTGTCCATGTGTTCTCATTGTTCAATTCCCACCTATGAGTGAGAACATGCGGTGTTTGGTTTTTTGTCCTTGAGATAGTTTGCTGAGAATGATGGTTTCCAGCTTCATCCATGTCCCTCCAAAGGAAATGAACTCATCCTTTTTTATGGCTGCATAGTATTCCATGGTGTATATGTGCCACATTTTCTTAATCCAGTCTATCAGTGTTGGACATTTGGCTTGATTCCAAGTCTTTGCTATTGTGAATAGCGCCACAATAAACATACATGTGCATGTGTCTTTATAGCAGCATGATTTATAATCCTTTGCGTATATACCCAGTAATGGGATGGCTGGGTCAAATGGAATTTCTAGTTCTACATCCCTGAAGAATCGCCACACTGTCTTCCACAAAGGGCGAACTAGTTTACAGTCTCACCAACAGTGTAAAAGTGTTCCTATTTCTCCACATCCTCTCCAGCACCTGTTGTTTCCTGAGTTTTTAATGATCGCCATTCTAACTGGTGTGAGATGGTATCTCATTGTGGTTTTGATTTGCATTTCTCTGATGGCCAGTGATGATGAGCATTTTTTCATGTGTCTTTTGGCTGCATAAATGTCTTCTTTTGAGAAGTGTCTGTTCATGTCCTTTGCCCACTTGTTGATGGTGTTGTTTTTTTCTTGTAAATTTGTTTGAGTTCATTGTAGATTCTGGATGTTAGCCCTTAGTCAGATGAGTAGATTGCAAAAATGTTCTCCCATTCTGTAGGTTGCCTGTTCACTCTGATGGTAGTTTCTTTTGCTGTGCAGAAGCTCTTTAGTTTAATTAGATCCCATTTGTCAATTTTGGCTTTTGTTGTCATTGTTTTTCGTGTTTTAGACATGAAGTCCCTGCCCATGCCTATGTCCTGAATGGTATTGCCTATGTTTTCTTCTAGGGTTTTTATGGTTTTAGGTCTAACATTTAAGTCTTTAATCCATCTTGAATTAACTTTTGTATAAGGTGTAAAGAAGGGATCCAGTTTCAGCTTTCTACATATGGCTAGCCAGTTTTCCCAGCACCATTTATTAAATAGGGAATCCTTTCCCCATTGCTTGTTTTTCTCAGGTTTGTCAAAGATCAGATAGTTGTAGATGTGTGGCATTATTTCTGAGGATTCTGTTCTGTTCCATTGGTCTATATCTCTGTTTTGGTACCAGTACCATGCTGTTTTGGTTACTGTAGCCTTGTAGTACAGTTTGAAGTCAGGTACTGTGATGCCTCCAGCTTTGTTCTTTGGCTTAGGATTGACTTGACGATGCGGGCTCTTTTTTGGTTCCATATGAACTTTAAAGTAGTTTTTTCCAATTCTGTGAAGAAAGTCATTGGTAGCTTGATGGGGATGGCATTTAATCTATAAATTACCTTAAGCAGTATGGTCATTTTCACGATATTGATTCTTCCTACCCATGAGCATGGAATGTTCTTCCATTTCTTTGTGTCCTCTTTGATTTCATTGAGCAGTGGTTTGTAGTTCTCCTTGAAGAGGTCCCTCACGTCCCTTGTATGTTGGATTCCTAGGTATTTTACTCTCTTTGAAGCAATTGTGAATGGGAGTTCACTCGTGATTTGGCTCTCTGTTTGTCTGTTATTGGTGTATAAGAATGCTTGTGATTTTTGTACATTGATTTTGTATCCTGAGACTTTGCTGAAGTTGCTTATCAGCTTAAGAAGATTTTGGGCTGAGACGATGGGGTTTTCTAGATATACAATCATGTCATCTGCAAACAGGGACAGTTTGACTTCCTCTTTTCTTAACTGAATACCCTTTGTTTCTTTCTCCTGCCTGATTGTCCTGGCCAGAACTTCCAAAACTATGTTGAATAGGAGTGGTGAGAAAGGGCATCCCTTTCTTGTGCCAGTTTTCAAAGGGGATGCTTCCAGTTTTTGCCCATTCAGTATGATATTGGCTGTGGGTTTGTCACAAATAGCTCTTATTATTCTGTCTCATTGATCTGTCTAATATTGACAGTGGGGTGTTAAAGTCTCCCATTATTATTGTTTGGGAGTCTAAGTCTCTTTCTACGTCTCTAGGGACTTGCTTTATGAATCTGGGTGCTCCTGTATTGGGTGCATATATATTTAGGATAGTTAGCTCTTCCTGTTGAATTGATCCCTTTACCATTATGTAATGTCCTTCTTTGTCTCTTTTGATCTTTTTTGGTTTAAAACCTGTTCTGCATTTAGGGCCTAAAGGTAGAAGACAAGTTACCTCCTTGAGCCAACTGCCTGCATTTCTGGACTTCATCAAGTAGGGTTGCTTTATGTGAACTATGACTTTGGAAAAAACTTGATCATTCCATGTAGATTTTAGTGTGAGGACAAGAAATAAAACTCTTAATAAAACAATTAGGAATTTAAAAAAAAACCTGTTTTATCAGAGACTAGGATTGCAACCTCTGCCTTTTTCTGTTTTCCATTTGCTTGGTAGATCTTCCTCTGTCCCTTTATTTTGAGCCTATGTGTGTCTCTGCACGTGAGATGGGTTTCCTGAATACAGCACACTGATGGGTCTTGACTCTTTATCCAATTTACCATTGTGTGTCTTTTAATTGGAGCATTTAGCCCATTTACATTTAAGGTTAGTATTGTTATGTGTGAATTTGATCCTGTCATTATGATGTTAGCTGGTTATTTTGCTTGTTAGTTGATGCAGTTTCTTCCTAGCCTCGATGATCTTTGCAATTTGGCATGTTTTTGCAGAAGCCGGTACCAGTCATTCCTTTCCATGTTTAGTGCTTCATTCAGGAGCTCTTTTAGGGCAGGCCTGGTGGTGACAAAATCTGTTAGCATTTGCTTGTCTGTAAAGTATTTTATTTCTCCTTCACTTATGAAGCTTAGTTTGGCTGGATATGAAATTCTGGGTTGAAAATTCTTTTCTTTAAGAATGTTGAATATTTGCCCCACTCTCTTCTGGCTTGTAGAATTTCTGCCGAGAGATCCGCTGTTAGTCTTTTTTTTTTTTTTTTTTTTTTTTTGAGACGGAGTCTCTCTCTGTCGCCCAGGCTGGAGTGCAGTGGCGCGATCTCGGCTCACTGCAAGCTCCGCCTCCCGGGTTCACGCCACTCACCTGCCTCAGCCTCCCAAGTAGCTGGGACTACAGGCGCCCGCCACCACGCCCGGCTAATTTTTTGTATTTTTAGTAGAGACGGGGTTTCACCATGTTAGCCAGGATTGTCTCGATCTCCTGACCTCATGATCCACCCGCCTCGGCCTCCCAAAGTGCTGGGATTACAGGTGTGAGCCATCACGCCCGGCCCGCTGTTAGTCTTATGGGCTTCCCTTTGTGGGTAACCCGACCTTTCTCTCTGGCTGCCCTTAACATTTTTTCCTTCATTTCAACTTTGGTGAATCTGAAAATTATGTGTCTTGGAGTTGCTCTTCTCGAAGAGTATCTTTGTGGTATTCTCTGTATTTCCTGAATCTGAATGTTGGCCTGCCTTGCTAGATTGGGGAAATTCTCCTGAATAATCTGTGGCATAGTGTTTTCCAACTTCGTTCCATTCTCCCCGTCACTTTCAGGTACACCAATCAGACGTAGATTTGGTCTTTTCACATAGTCCCATATTTCTTGAAGGCTTTGTTCATTTCTTTCTATTCTTTTTTCTCTAAATTTCTCTTCTCACTTCATTTCTTTCGTTTGATCTTCCATCACTGATACCCTTTCTTCCAGTTGATCGAATCAGCTACTGAGGCTTGTGCATTCGTCACGTAGTTCTCGTGCCTTGGTTTTCATCTCCATCAGGTCCTTTAAGGACTTCTCTGCATTGGTTATTCTAGTTAGCCGTTCATCTAATCTTTTTTCAAGGTTTTTAACTTCTTTGCCATAGGTTGGAGCTTCCACCTTTAGCATGGAGTAGTTTGATTGTCTGAAGCCTTCTTCTCTCAACTCGTCAAAGTCATTCTCCATCCAGCTGTGTTCCATTGCTGGTGAGGAGCTGTGTTCCTTTGGAGGAGGAGACACACTCTGATTTTTAGACTTTTCAGTTTTTCTGCTCTGTTTTTTCCCCATCTTTATGGTTTTATCTACCTTTGGTCTTTGATCATGGTGACATACAGATGGGGTTTTGGTGTGGATCTCCTTTCTGCTTGTTAGTTTTCTTTCTAACAGTCAGGACCCTCAGCTGCAGGCCTGTTGGAGTTCGCTGGAGGTCCATTCCAGAGCCTGTTTGCCTGGGTATCAGCAGCGGAGCCTGCAGAACAGCAGATGTTGGTGAACAGCAAATGTTGCTTCCTGATCGGTCCTCTGGAAGTTTGATCTCAGAGGAGTACCCTGCCATGTGAGGTGTCTGTCTGCCCCTATTGGGGGGTGCCTCCCTTTTAGGCTACTTGGGGGTCAGGGACCCACTTGAGGAGGCAGTCTGTCCATTCTCAGATTTCCGGCTGTGTGCTGGGGGAACCGCTACTATCTTCAAAGCTGTCAGACAGGGACATTTACGTCTGCAGAGGTTTCTACTGCCTTTTGTTTGGCTATGCCCTGCCTGCAGAGTTGGAGTCTATGGAGGCAGGCAGGCCTCCTTGAGCTGCAGTGGGCTACACCCAGTTCAAGCTTCCCAGCCACTTTGTTTACCTCCTCAAGCCTCAGCAATTGCCTGCGCTCCTCCCCCAACCTCACTGCTGCCTTGCAGTTTGATCTTGGACTGCTTTCTAGCAATGAGTGAGGCTCCGTGGGCGTAGGACCCTCTTAGCCAGGCCCAGGATATAATCTAGTGTGCCGTTTTCTAAGACCATCAGAAAAGCGCAGTATTAGGGTGGGAGTGACCTGATTTTCCAGGTGCCATCTGTCCTTGGCTAGGAAAGGGAATTCCCTGACCCCTTGTGCTTCCCAGGTGAGGTGATGCCTTGTCCTGCTTTGGCTCAGGCTTGGTACACTGCACTCACTGTCCTGCGCCCACTGTCCAACAATTCCCAGTGAGATGAGCCCAGTACCTCAGTTGGAAATGCAAAAATCATTTGTCTTCTGTGTCGCTCATGCTGGGAGCTGTAGACTGGAGCTGTTCCTATTCAGCCATCTTGGCTCCACCCCCCGAATGTTTGTTATACTGGTAAAATCGTGTCATGGACGTTTGTTATAAGTATAATTTCATCACCCAGGTATTAAGCCTAGTACCCAATGGTTATTTTTTCTTGTCCTCTCCCTCCTTCTACCCTCCACCCACAAGTAAACCCAGGTGTCCATTGTTTCTTTCTTTGTATTAGTGAGTTTTCATCATTTAGCTCCCACTTATAAGAACATGCAGTATTTATTTTTCTGTTCCTGTTTTAGTTTGCTAAGAATAACAGCCTCCAGCTCCATTCATGTTCCCCTAAAAGACATGATCTCATTTTTTTTAATGGCTGAAGAGTATTCCGTGGTGTATATGTACCACATTTTCTTTATCCAGTCTGTCATTGATGGACACTTAGGTTGATTTTATGTCTTTACTATTGTGAATAGTGCTGCAATAAACATTCATGTTCATGTGTCTTTATGGTAGAATGATTTATATTCCTCTGAATATATAAACCCAATAATGGAATTGCTGAATTGAATGGTGGTTCTGCATTTAGCTCTTTGAGGAATCACTATACTACTTTCCACGATGATTGAACTAATTTATGCTCCACTACCTGTATATAAGTGTTACTTTTCTCCACAACCTCACCAACAGCTGTTTTTTTTTAACTTTTTAATAATAGCCATTGTGACAGGTGTGAGATGCTATCTTATTGTGGTTTTGATTTGCATTTCTCTAATGATCCGTGATATTGAGCTTTTTAAAATATAGTTATTGGCCACATATATGACTTCTTTTGAAAAGTGTCAGTTCATGTTGTTTGCCTACTTTTTAATGGGGTTGTTTAGTTTTCTCCAGTAAATTTGTTTAAGTTCCTTATAGATGCTGGATATTAGACCTTTGTCAGATGCATAGTTTACAGATATTTTTCCCATTCTGTATGTTTTCTGTTTACTCTGTGGAGAGTTTATTTTGCTGTGCAGAATCTCTTAAGTTTAATTAGATTCCATTTGTCCATTTTTGCTTTTGTTTAGATTGCTTTTGGTGTTTTTGTCATGAAATCATTGCCTGTTCTTATGTCCAGGATGGTATCGCCTAGGTTATCTTCCAGGATTTTTATAGCTTTGGATTTTACATTTAAGTATTGAATACATCTGCAGTTGATTATTGTATATGGCGTAAGAAAGGGGTCCAGCTTCAATTTTCTGCATATGGCTAGCCAGTTATCCCAGCATGATTTATTGAATACGGAGTCTATCCTCCATTGCTTGTTTTTGTCAGCTTTGTCGAAGATCAGATGGTCATAGGTGTGTGGCCTTATTTCTGGGCTCTCTATTCTGTTCCATTGGTCTGTGTGCCTGCTTTTGTACAAGTACAATGCTGTTGAAGTTACTGTAGCCTTGTTGTATAGTTTGAAGTCAAGTAGTGTGATGCCTCCAGCTTTGTGCTTTTTGCTTAGGATTGCCTTGGCAATTCAGTCTCTTTTTGGGTTGCATGTAAATTTTAAAATATTTTTTTCTAGTTCTGTGAAGAATGTCAGTGGTAGTTTGATAGGAATAGCATTGAATACGTCAACTGCTTTGGGCAGTATGGCCATTTTAATATTGATTCTTCGTATCTGTGAGCCTGGGATGCTTTTCCATTTGTTTGTGCCTTCTATGTTTTCTATGTTTTTGTTTTTGTTTTGTTTTGTTTTTTTAGCTGTGTTTTAAATTCCCATTGTAGAGGTCTTTCACCTCCTGGTTAGCTGTATTTCTATATATTTTATTATTTTTTTGGCAGCTGTGAATTGAATAGCCTTCCTGATTTGGTTCTCATCTTGGCTGTCATTGGTGCATAGGAATCCTAGTAATTTTTGTACATTGACTTTGTATCCTGAAATTTTGCTGAAGTTGTTTATCAGCTGAAGTAGCTTTTGAGCCAAGACTATGGGGTTTTCTTGATATAGAATTATGTCATCTAGAAACACGGATATTTTGATTTCCTCTTTTTCTATTTGGATATCCTTTATTTCTTTCTCTTGCCTTACTGCTCTGGCTAGGACTTCCAATATTATCTTGAATAGGAGTGGTGAGAGAGCATCTTTGTATTGTGCCAGTTTTCAAGGGGAACACTGCCATCTTTTGCCCATTCAGTATGATGTTGGCAATGACTTTGACATAGATAGCTCTTATTATTTTGAGGATGTTCCTTCAATACCTAATTTATTGAGAGTTTTTAATGTTAACGGATGTTGAATTCTATAGAAAGCCTTTCTGCATCTATTGAGATAATCAGGTAGTTCTGTTTATGTAATGAAACACATTTATTGATTTGCATATGTTGAACCAAACTTGCATCCTGGGGATGAAGCCTACTTGATCATGGTGGATTAGATTTTGATGTGCTGAAGAATTCAGTTTGCCAGTATTTGGTTGAGGATGTTTACATTGCTGTTCCTCAAGCATATTTGATGGGCTTTCTTTTGTGTGTGAGTGTCTCTGCCAGGTTTTGGTATCAGGAAGATTCTGGACTCATATAACGAGTTGGGGAGGACTCCTCAATTTTGGGGGGATAGTTTCAGTAGGAATGGTACCAGCTCTTTGTACATCTAGTAGAATTTGGCTGTGAATCCATCAGGTCCTGGGATTTTTTTGTTTTTTTTTGGTTGGGAGAGTATTTATTACTGATTTAATTTTGGAGCTCATTATAGATCTGTTCCGGAAATGAATTTCTTCCTGCTTCAATCTTGGAAGCATGTAGGTGTCCAGGAATTTATTTATCTTTTCTAGGTTTCCCAGTTTGTGTGCATTGCATTGTTCATGGTACTTGCAGATGGTTATTTTTATTTCTGTGGAATCAGTGGCAACATCCTTTTTGTGGTTTCTCTTTGTGTTAATCTCATCTTGAATTGTCATCCTCACATGTTAAGAGAAGGACCTGGTGGGAGGGGATTGGATCATAATGGCAGTTTCTCCCATGCTGTTCTCATAATAGAGAGTGAGTTCTCATGAGATCTGATGCCTTTAAAGTGCTTGGCAGTTTCCTACCCTATCTTCTGCCACTATGTTAAGAAGATCGTTGCTTCTCCTTCACCTTTTGCCATAATTGCAAGTTTCCTAAATTCCTCCAGATAAATGGAACTGTCACTCAATTAAATAATTTTTCTTCATAAATTACAAAGTCTCAGGCAGTTCTTTTTTTATTATTATACCTTAAGATCTAGGGTATATGTTCACAATGCGCAGGTTGGTTACATGTGTATACATGTGTCATGTTGGTTTGCTGCACTAATCAACTTGTCATTTACATTAGGTATTTCCCCTAATGCTATCCGTCCCTCAGCCCCTGACCCCCCAACAGGCCCCAGTGTGTGATGTTCCCTGCCCTGTGTCCAAGTGTTCTCATTGTTCAGTTCCCGCCTATGAGTGAGAACATGTGGTGTTTGGTTGTCTGTCCTTGTGATAGTTTGCTGAGAATGATGGTTTCCAGCTTTATCCATGTCCCTGCAAAGTAGATGAACTCATCCTTTTTTATGGCTACATACTATTCCATGGTGTATATGTGCCACATTGTCTTTATCCAGTGTATCATTGATGGGCATTTGGGTTGGATCCAAGTCTTTGCTATTGTGAACAGTGCTGCAAAAAACATATGTGTGCATGTGTCTTTATAGTAGCATGATTTATAATCCTTTGGGTATATACCCAGTAATGAGATTGCTGGGTCAAATGGTATTTCTAGTTCTACATCCTTGAGGAAACACCACACTGTCTTCCACAATGGTTGAACTAATTTACACTCCCACCAACAGTTTAAAAGTATTCCTATTTCTCCACATCCTCTCCAGCATCTGTTATTTTGTGATTTTTTTTTTTTACCAGTAAGTTGATTTTATTGAGGTTTTCAGATTTTCTCTTCCTCTTTAGTTTTCTGCAGTTTCTTTATTTTTTAAACTTTTAATTGTTATACTTTAAGTTCTAGGGTACATGTGCACAACGTACGGGTTTGTTACATAGGTATACATGGGCCATGTTGGTTCACTGCACCCATCAACTCGTCATTTACATCAGGTATTTCTCCTGATGCAATGCCTCCCCCAACCCCCACCCCTGACAGGCCCCTGTGTGTGATGTTCCCCGCCTTGTGTTCAAGTGTTTTCATTGTTCAATTCCCACCCACCTAAGAGTGAGAATATGCAGTGTTTGGTTTTCTGTTTTTGTGATAGTTTGCTGAGAATGATGGTTTCCAGCTTTATCCATGTCCCTGCAAAGGACATGGACTCATCATTTTTTATGGCTGCATAGTATTCCATGGTGTATATGTGCCAGATTTTCTTAATCCAGTCTATCATTGATGGGCATTTGGGTTGGTTCCAAGTCTTTGCTATTGTGAATAGTGTCACAATAACCATGCGTGTGCAGGTGTTGCATGATTTATCATCCTTTGGGTATATGCCCAGTAATGAGATTGCTGGGTCAAATGGTATTTCTAGTTCTAGATCCTTGAGGAATCACCACACTGTCTTCCACAGTAGTTGAACTAGTTTACTGTCCCACCAACAATGTAAAAGTGTTCCTATTTCTCCACATCCTCTCCAGCATCTGTTTTTTCCCAACTTTTTAATGATCGTCATTCTAACTGGCATGAGATGGTATCTCATTGTGGTTTTGATTTGCATTTCTCTGATGACCAGTGATGATGAGCATTTTTTCATGTGTCTGTTGACTGCACAATTATCTTCTTTTGAGAAGTGTCTGTTCATATCTTTTGCCCATTTTTGAAGGGTTTTTTTTGTTTTTTTGTAAATTTGTTATGTTCTTTGTAGATTCTGGATATTAGTCCTTTGTCAGATGGGTAGATTGCAAAAATTTTCTCCCATTTTGTAGGTTGCCTGTTCACTCTAATGGTAGTTTCTTTTGCCATGTAAAAGCTCTTTAGTTTAATTACATCCCATTTGTCAATTTTGGCTTTTGTTGCCATTGTATTTGGTGTTTTAGTCATGAAGTTTTTTCCATGACCATGTACTGAATGGTATTGCCTAGATTTTCTGCTGGGGTTTTTACGAGTTTAGGCCTTACATTTAAATTTTTAATGCATTTTGAGTTAATTTTTTTATAAGGTGTAAGGAAGGGATCCAGTTTCAGTTTTCTATGTATGGCTAGCCAGTTTTCCCAGCACCATTTATCAAATAGGGAATCCTTTCCCCATTGCTTGTTTTTGTCAGGTTTGTCAATGATCAGATGGTTGTAGATGTGTGGTGTTATTTCTGAGGGCTCTTTTCTGTTCCATTGGTCTATATATCTGTTTTGGTACCATAACCATGCTGTTTTGCTTACTGTAGCCTTGTAGTGTAGTTCAAAGTCAGGTAGCGTGATGCCTCCAGCTTTGTTCTTCTGGCTTAGGATTGACTTGGCTATGCAGGCTCTTTTTGGTTCCATATGAACTTTAAAGTAGTTCTTTCCAATTCTGTGAAGAAAGTCATCATTAGCTTGATGAGGATAGCATTGAATCTATAAATTACTTTGGGCAGTATGGCCATTTTCACGATATTGATTCTTCCTATCCATGAGGATGGAATGTTCTTCCATTTTTTTTTTGTCCTCTTTTATTTTGTTGAGCAATGCTTTGTAGTTCTCCTTGAAGAGGTCCTTCACATCCATTGTAAGTTGGATTCCTAGGTATTTTATTCTCTTTGTAGCAATTGTGAATGGGAGTTCACTCATGATTAGGCTCTCTGTCTGTCTATTATTGGTGTATAGGAATACTTGTGAGTTTTGCACATAGATTTTGTATGCTGAGACTGCTGAAGTTGCTTACCAGCTTAAGGAGATTTTAGGCTGAGATGATGGGGTTTTCTAAATATACAATCATGTCATCTGCAAACAGGGACAATTTGATTCCTCTTTTCCCATTTGAATACCCTTTATTTCTTTCTCTTTCCTCATTAACCTGCCCAGAAATTCCAGCACTGTGTTGCATAGGAGTGGTGAGAGAGGGCGTCCTTGTCTTGTGCTGGTTTTCAAAGGGAATGCTTCCAGTTTTTGCCCATTCAGTATGATATTGGTTGTGGGTTTGTCATAAATAGCTCTTATTATTTGAGATGTGTTCCATCAATACCTAGTTTATTGAGAGTTTTTAGCATGAAGCGATGTTGAATTTTGTTGAAGGCCTTTTCTGCATCTATTGAGATAATCATGTGTTTTTTTGTTGTTGTTGGTTCGGTTTGTGATGGATTATGTTTATTGATTTGTGTAGGTTGAACCAGCCTTGCGTCCAAGGATTGAAGCACACTTGATCATGGTGGATAAGCTTTTTGTTGTGCTGCTGAATTCAGTTTTCCAGTTATTTTATTGAGGATTTTCACATCAATGTTCATTAGGGATATTGGTCTAAAATTCTCTTTTTTTGTTGTGTCTCTGCCAGGCTTTGGTATCAGGATGATGCTGGCCTCATAAAATGAGTTAGGCAGGATTCTCTCTTTTTATGTTGTTTGGAATAGTTTCAGAAGGAATGGTACCAGCTCCTCTTTTTACCTCTGGTAGCATTCAACTGTGAATATGTCTGGTCCTGGACTTTTTTTGTTTGGTAGGCTATTAAGTATTACCTCAATTTCACAGCTTATTATTGGTCTATTCAGAGATTCAACTTCTTGCTGGTTTAGTCTTGGGAGGATGTGTGTGTCCAGGAAGTTACCCATGTCTTCTAGATTTTCTAGTTTATTTGTGTAGAGATGTTTATAGTATTCTCTGATGGTAGTTTGTGCTTCTGTGGGATCAGTGGTGATGTCCCCATTATCATTTTTCATTGTGCCTATTTGACTCTTATCTCTTTTCTGCTTTATCAGTCTTGCTGGTGGTCTATCAATTTCGTTGATCTATTCAAAGAAAAGCAGCTCAAGTATTCATTGATTTTTTGAGTTTTTTTGTGTCTCTATCTCCTTCAGTTCTGCTGTGATCTTAGTTTTTTCTTCCCTTCTGCTAGCTTTTGAATGTGTGTGCTCTTGCTTCTCTAGTTCTTTTGTGATGTTAGAGTGTCAAGTTTAGATCTTTCTTGCTTTCTCTTGTGAGCATTTAGTGCTATAAATTTCTCTCTAAACACTGCTTTAAATGTGTCCCAGAGATTCTGGTACACTGTGTCTTTTTTCTCATTGGTTTCAAAGAACATCTTTATTTTTGCCTTAATTTCATTATGTACCCAGTAGCCACTCAGGAGCAGGTTGTTCAGTTTCATGTAGTTGTGTGGTTTTGAATTAGTTTCTTAATCCTTAGTTCTAATTTGATTGCACTGTGTTCTGAGAGGCAGTTTGTTATTATTTCTGTTCTTTTACATTTCCTGAGGAGTGCTTTATTTCCAAAAATGTGGTCAATTTTAGAATACGTGTGATGTGGTGCTGAGAACAATGTATATTCCTTTGATTTGGGGTGGAGAGTTCTGTAGATGTCTATCAGGTCAGCGTGGTGCAGAGCTGAGTTCAAGTCCTGGATATCCTTGTTAAACTTCTGTCTCATTGATCTGTCTAATATTGACAGTGGGGTGTTAAATTCTCCCATTGTTATTGTGTGGGAGTCTAAGTCTCTTTCTAGGTTTCTAAGGACCTGCTTAATGAATCTGGGTGCTCCTGTATTGGATGAATATATATATTTAGGATAGTTAGCTCTTCTTGTTAAACTGATCCCTTACCATTATATAGTGGCCTTCTTTGTCTCTTTTGATCTTTGTTGCTTTAAAGTCTCTTTTATTAGAGAGTAGGATTGCAACCCCTGCTTTTTTTTGTTTTCCATTTGCTTGGTAGATCTTCCTCCATCCCTTTATTTTGAGGCTACACGTGTCTCTGCATGTGAGAGGGGTTTCCTGAATACAGCATACTGATGGGTCTCGACTTTTTATGCAATTTGCCAGTCTGTGTCTTTTTTTTTTTTTATTATACTTTAAGTTTTAGGGTACATGTGCACAATGTGCAGTGCAGGTTTCTTACCTATGTATACATGTGCCATGTTGGTGTGCTGCACCCATTAAGTCGTCATTTAGCATTAGGTATATCTCCTAATGCTATCCCTACTCCTCCCCCAACCCGAAAACAGGACCCGGAGTGTGATGTTCCCCTTCCTGTGCCCATGTGTTCTCATTGTTCAATTCCCATCGATGAGTGGGAACATGCGGTGTTTGGTTTTTATCCTTGCGATAGTTTGCAGAGAATGATGGTTTCCAGTTTCATCCATGTCCCTACAAAGGACATGAACTCATCATTTTCTATGACTGCATAGTATTCCATGGTGTATATGTGCCACATTTTCTTAATCCAGTCTATCGTTGTTGGACATTTGGGTTGGTTCCAAGTCTTTGCCATTGTGAATAGTGCCGCAATAAACATACGTGTGCATGTATTTTTATGGCAGCATGATTTATAATCCTTTGGGTATATACTCAGTAATGGGATGGTTGGGTCAAATGGAATTTCTGGTTCTAGATCCCTGAGGAATCGCCACACTGACTTCCACAATGGTTGAACTAGTTTGCAGTCCCACCAACAGTGTAAAAGTGTTCCTATTTCTCCACATCCTCTCCAGCACCTGTTGTTTCCTGAGTTTTTAACGATCGCCATTCTAACTGATGTGACATGGTATCTCATTGTGGTTTTGATTTGCATTTCTCTGATGGCCAGTGACGATGAGCATTTTTTCATGTGTTTTTTTGGCTGCATAAATGTCTTCTTTTGAGAAGTGTCTGTTCGTATCCTTTGCCCACTTTTTGATGGGGTTGTTTGTTTTTTTCTTGTAAGTTTGTTTGAGTTCTTTGTAGTTTCTGGATATTAGCCCTTTGCCAGATGAGTAGGTTGCGAAAATTTTCTCCCATTTTGTAGGTTGCCTGTTCACTCTGATGGTAGTTTCTTTTGCTGTGCAGAAGCTCTTTAGTTGAATTAGATCCCATTTGTCAATTTTGGCTTTTGTTGCCATCGCTTTTGGTGTTTTAGATATGAAGTCCTTGCACATGCCTATGTCCTGAATGGTATTACCTAGGTTTTCTTCTAGGGTTTTTATGGTTTTAGGTCTAACATGTAAGTCTTTAATCCATCTTGAATTAATTTTTGTATAAGGTGTAAGGAAGGGATCCAGTTTCAGCTTTCTACATCTGGCTAGCCAGTTTTCCCAGCACCATTTATTAAATAGGGAATCCTTTCCCCATTTCTTGTTTTTGTCAGGTTTGTCAAAGATCAGATAGTTGTAGATATGTGGCATTATTTCTGAGGGCTCTGTTCTGTTCCTTTGATCTGTATCTCTGTTTTGGTAGCAGTACCATGCTGTTTTGGTTACTGTAACCTTGTAGCATAGTTTGAAGTCAGCTAGTGTGATGCCTCTGGATTTGTTCTTGTGGCTTAGGATAGACTCGGTGTTGAGGGCTCTTTTTTGGTTCCATATGAACTTTAAAGTAGTTTTTCCAATTCTGTGAAGAAAGTCATTGGTAGCTTGATGGGGATGGCATTGAATCTATAAATTACCTTGGGCTGTACGGCCATTTTCACCATATTGATTCTTCCTAACCATGAGCATGGAATGTTCTTCCATTTGCTTGTATCCTCTTTTATTTCATTGAGCAGTGGTTTGTAGTTCTCCTTGAAGAGGTCCTTCATGTCCCTTGTAAGTTGGATTCCTAGGTATTTTATTCTCTTTGAAGCAATTGTGAATGGGAGTTCACTCATGATTTGGCTCTCTGATTGTCTCTTATTGGTGTATAAGAATGCTTGTGATTTTTGTACATTGGTTTTGTATCCTGAGACTTTGCTGAAGTTGCTTATCAGCTTAAGGAGATTTTGGGCTGAGACAATGGGGTTTTCTAGATATACAATCATGTCGTCTGCAAACAGGGACAATTTGACTTCCTCTTTTCCTAATTGAATACCCTTTATTTCCTTCTCCTGCCTAATTGCCCTCGCCAGAACTTCCAACACTATGTTGAATAGGAGTGGTGAGAGAGGGCATCCCTGTTTTGTGCCAGTTTTCAAAGGGAATGCTTCCAGTTTTTGCCCATTCAGTGTGATATTGGCTGTGGGTTTGTCATAGATAGCTGTTATTATTTTGAGATACGTCCCATCAATACCTAATTTATTGAGAGTTTTTAGCATGAAGGGTTTTTGAATTTTGTCAAAGGTCTTTTCTGCATCTATTGAGATACTCACGTGGTTTTTGTCTTTGGTTCTGTTTATATGATGGATTACATTTATTGATTTGCATATGGTGAACCAGCCTTGCATACCAGGAATGAAGCCCACTTGACCATGGTGGATAAGCTTTTTGATGTGCTGCTAGATTCGGTTTGCCAGTATTTTATTGAGTATTTTTGCATTAATGTTCATCAAGGATAGTGGTCTAAAATTCTCTTTTTTGGTTTTTCTCTGCCAGGCTTTGGTATCAGGATGATGCTGGCCTCATAAAATGAGTTAGGGAGGATTCTCTCTTTTTCTATTGATTGGAATAGTTTCAGAAAGAATGGTACCAATTCCTCCTTGTACCTCTTGTAGAATTTGGCTGTGAATCCATGTGGTCCTGGACTCTTTTTGGTTGTTAAGCTATTGATTATTGCCACAATTTCAGAGCCTGTTATTGGTCTATTCAGAGATTCAATTTCTTCCTGGTTTAGTCTTGGGAGGGGGTATGTGTCGAGGAATTTATCCATTTCTTCTAGATTTTCTACTTTATTTGCATAGAGGTGTTTATAGTATTCTCTGATGGTAGTTTGTATTTCTGTGCGATTGGTGGTGATATCCCCTTTATCATTTTTTATTGTGTCTATTTGATTCTTCTCTCTTTTCTTCTTTATTAGTCTTGCTAGTGGTATGTCAATTTTGTTGAACCTTTCGAAAAACCAGCTCCTGGATTCATTAATTTTTTGAAGGGTTTTTTGTGTCTCTATTTCCTTCAGTTCTGCTCTGATTTTAGTTATTTCTTGCCTTCTGCTAGCTTTTGAATGTGTTTGCTCTTGCTTTTCTAGTTCTTTTAATTGTGATGTTAGGGTGTCAATTTTGGATCTTTCTTCCTTTCTCTTATGGGCATTTAGTGCTATAAATTTCCCTCTACACACTGCTTTGAATGTGTCCCAGAGATTCTGTTATGTTGTGTCTTTGTTCTCGTTGGTTTCAAAGAACATCTTTATTTCTGCCTTCATTTCGTTATGTACCCAGTAGTCATTCAGAAGCAAGTTCTTCAGTTTCTATGTAGTTGAGCAGTTTTAAGTGAGTTTCTTAATCCTGTGTTCTAGTTTGATTGCACTGTGTTCTGAGAGACAGTTTGCTATAATTTCTGTTCTTTTACATTTGCTGAGGAGTGCTTTACTTCCAACGGTGTGGTCAAGTTTGGAATAGGTGTGGTGTGGTGCTGAAAAAAATGTATTTTCTGTTGATTTGAGGTGGAGAGTTCTGTAGATGTCTATTAGGTCTGCTTGGTGCGGAGCTGAGTTCAATTCCTGGGTATCCTTGTTAACTTTCTGTCTCGTTGATCTGTCTAATGTTGACAGTGGGGTGTTAAAGTCTCCCATTATTATTTTGTGGGTGTCTAAGTCTCTTTGTATGTCACTGGGGACTTGCTTTATGAATCTGGATGCTCCCATATTGGGTGCATATATATTTAGGATATTTAGCTCTTCTTGTTGAATTGATCCCTTTACCATTATGTAATGGCCTTCTTTGTCTCTTTTGAACTTTGTTGGTTTAAAGTCTCTTTTATCAGAGACTAGGATTGCAACCCCTGCCTTTTTTGTTTTCCGTTTGGTTGGTAGATCTTCCTCCATCCCTTTGTTTTCAGCCTATGTGTGTCTCTGCACGTGAGATGGGTTTCCTGAATACAGCACACTGATGCATCTTGACTCTTTATCCAATTTGCCAGTCTGTGTCTTTTAGTTGGAGCAGTTAGCCCTTTTACATTTAAAGTTAATATTGTTATGTGTGAATTTGGTCCTCTCATTATGATATTAGGTGGTTATTTTGCTCTTTAGTTGGTGCAGTTTCTTCCTAGCCTTGATGGTGTTCACATTTTGGCATGTTTTCCCATTGGCTGGTACCAGTTGTTCTTTTCCATGTTTAGTGCTTCCTTCAAGAGCTCTTTTAGGGCAGGCCTGGTGGTGACAAAATCTGTTAGCATTTGCTTGTCTGTAAAGTATTTTATTTCTCCTTCACTTATGAAGCTTAGTTTGGCTGGATATGAAATTCTGGGTTGAAAATTCTTTTCTTTAAGAATGTGGAATATTGGTCCCCACTCTCTTCTGGCTTGTAGAGTTTCTGCCAAGAGATCCGCGGTTACTCTGATGGGCTTCCCTTTGTGGGTTACCTGACCTTTCTCTCTGGCTGCCCTTAACATTTTTTCCTTCATTTCAACTTTGGTGAATCTGACAATTATGTGTCTTGGAGTTGCTCTTCTCGAAGAGTATCTTTGTGGTGTTCTCTGTATTTCCTGAATCTGAATGTTGGCTGCCTTGCTAGATTGGGGAAGCTCTCCTGGATAATATCTTGCAGAGTGTTTTCCAACTTGGATCCATTCTCCCTTTGACTTTCAGGTACACCAATCAGACGTAGATTTGGTCTTTTCACATAGTCCCATATTTCCTGGAGGCTTTGTTCATTTCCTTTTATTCTTTTTTCTCTGAACTTCCCTTCTCACTTCATTTTATTCATTTCATCTTCCATCACTGATACCCTTTCTTCCAGTTGATCACATCGGCTCCTGAGGCTTCTGCATTCTTCACGTAGTTCTCGAGCCTTGGCTTTCAGCTCCATCAGCTCCTTTAAGGACTTCTCTGCATTGGTCATTCTAGTTATCCATTTGTCTATTTTTTTTTCAAAGTTTTTAACTTCTTTGCCATTGGTTTGAATTTCCTCCTGTAGCTCAGAGTAGTTGGGTTGTCTGAAGCCTTCTCTCAACTCATCAAAGTGATTCTCTGTCCAGCTTTGTTCCATTGCTGGTGAGGAGCTGCATTCCTTTGGAGGAGGAGAGGCGCTCTGCTTTTTAGAGTTTCCAGTTTTTCTGCTCTGTTTTTTCCCCATCTTTGTGGTTTTATCTACTTTTGGTCTTTGATGGTGTGATGTACAGATGGGTTTTTGGTGTGGATGTCCTTTCTGTTTGTTAGTTTTCCTTCTAATAGACAGGACCCTCAGCTGCAGGTCTGTTGGAGTTTGCTAGAGGTCCACTCCACACCCTGTTTGCCTGGGTATCATCAGCGGTGGTTGTAGAACAGCGGATATTGTGACCCACAAATGCTGCTGCCTGATCGTTCCTCTGGAAGTTTTGTCTCAGAAGTGTACCCGGCCGTGTGAGGTGTCCATCTGCCCCTACTTGGGGATGCCTCCCAGTTAGGCTGCTCGGGGTTTGAGGACCCATTTGAGGAGGCAGTCTGCCATTTCTCAGATCTCCAGCTGTGTGCTGGGAGAACCACTACTCTCTTCAAAGCTGTCAGACAGGGACATTTAAGTCTGCAGAGGTTACTGCTGTCTTTTTGGTTGTCTGTGCCCTGCCCCCAGAGATGGAGCCTGCAGAGGCAGGCAGGCCTCCTTGAGCTGTGGTGGGCTCCACCCAGTTCGAGCTTCCTGGCTGCTTTGTTTACCTAATCAAGCCTGGGCAATCACAGGTGCCCCTCCCCCAGCCTCACTGCTGCCTTGCAGTTTGATCTCAGACTGTTGTGCTAGCAATCAGAAAGACTTCTTGGGCGTAGGACCCTCCAAGCTAGGTGCGGGATATAATCTCCTGGTGTACCGTTTTTTAAGCCTGTTGGAAAAGCACAGTATTAAGGTGGGAGTGACATGATTTTCCAGGTGCCATCTGTCACTCCTTTCTTTGACTAGGAAAGGGAACTCCCTGACCCCTTGCGCTTCCAGAGTGAGGCAGTGTCTTGCCCTGCTTTGGCTCATGCACAGTGCACTGCACCCACTGTCCTTCACCCACTGTCTGGCACTTCCTAGTGAGATGAACCCGGTACCTCAGATGGAAATGCAGAAATCACTGGTCTTCTGTGTCGCTCACACTGGGAGCTGTAGACCGGAGCTGTTCCTATTTGGCCATCTTGGCTCCACCCGAGTTTGTGTCTTTTAATTGGAGCATTTAGCCCATTTACATTTAAGGTTAATATTGTTATGTGTGAATTTGATCCTGTCATTATGATGTTAGCTGGTTATTTTTCTCGTTAGTTGATGCAGTTTCTTCACAGCATCGATGGTCATTACAATTTGGCATGTTTTTGCTGTGGCTGGTACCAGTTGTTTTTTTTACCATGTTTAGTGCTTCCTTCAGGAGCTCTTGTAGGGCAGGCCTGGAGGTGACAAAATCTCTCAGCATTTGCTTGTCTTTAAAGGATTTTATTTCTCCTTCAGTTATGAAGCTTAGTTTGTCTGGATATGAAATTCTGTGTTGAAAATTCTTTTATTTAAGAATGTTGAATATTGGCTCCCACTCTCTTCTGGCTTGTAGAGTTTCTGCCGAGAGATCCGCTGTTAGTCTCATGGGCTTCCCTTTGTGGGTAACCCAACATTTCTCTCTGGCTGCCCTTAAAATTTTTTCCTTAATTTCAACTTTGGTGAATCTGACAATTATGTGTCTTGGAGTTGCTCTTCTCGAGGAGTATCTTTGTGGTATTCTCTGTATTTCCTGAATTGGAATGTTAGCCTGCCTTTCTAGGTTGGGGGTGTTCTCCTGGATAATATTCTGCAGAATGTTTTCCAAGTTTGTTGCATTCTCCCCATCACTTTCAGGTTCACCAATCAAACTTAGATTTGGTCTTTTCACATAGTTCCCTATTTCTTGGAGTCTTTGTTCATTTCTTTTTACTCTTTTTTCTCTAAACTTCTCTTCTTGTTTCATTTCATTCATTTGATCTTCAATCACTAATACCCTTTCTTCCACTTGATTGAATTGGCTGCTGAATCTTGTGCATGTGTTACGTAGCTCTCATGCCATGGTTTTCAGCTCCATCGGGTCATTTAAGGTCTTCTCTGTGCTGGTTATTCTAGTTAGCCATTAGTCTAATCTTTTTTCAAGATTTTTAGCTTCCTTGTGATGGGTTTGGACATCCCCCTTTAGCTCGGAGAAGTTTGTTATTACCGATCTTCTGAAGCCTACTTCGGTCAACTCGTCAAAATCATTCTCCATCCAGCTTTGTTCCATTGCTGGTGAGGAGCTGTGCTCCTTTGGAAGAGAAGATGTGCTCTGGTTTTTAGAATTTTCAGCTTTTCAGCTCTGGTTTCTCCCCACCTTTGTGGTTTTATCTACCTTTGGTCTTTAATGTTTGTGACCTACAGATTGGGTTTTGGTGTGGATGTCTTTTTTGTTGATGTTGGTGCTATTCCTTTCTGTTTCTTAGTTTTTCTTCTAACAGTCAGGTCCCTCAGCTGCAGGTCTGTTAAAATTTGCTGGAGGTCCACTTCAGACTCTGTTTGCCTGGGAACCACCAGCAGAGTCTGCAGAACAGCAAATATTACAGAACAGCAGATATTGCTGCCTGATCCTTCCTCTGGAAGATTTGTCTCAGAGGTGCACCCACCTGTGTGAAGTGTCTGTTTGCCCCTACTGGGAGATGTCTCCCAGTTAGGCTATACTGGGGTCAGGGACCCACTTGAGAAGGCAGTCTGTTTTCTCTCAGAGCTCAAAGCCCATGCTGGGAGAACTGCTGATCTCTTCAGAGCTGTCACACAGGGATGTTTAAGTCTACAGAAGTTTCTGCTGCCTTTTGTTCAGCTATGCCCTGCCCCCAGAGGTGTAGTTTGTAGAAGCAGTAGGCTTTGATGAACTGTGGTGGGCTTCACCTTGTTTGAGCTCCCTGGCTGCTTTGTTTACCTACTCAAGCCTCAGCAATTGCGGACGCCCTTTCCCCCTGCCAGGCTTCTGCCTTGCAGGTCAATCTGAGACTGCTGCACTAGCAGTGTGCAAGGCTCCATGGACGTGGTACCCACCGAACCAGGCATGCGGGAGAACCTCCTTGTCTGCTGGTTGCCTAGACCATGGGAATAACACAGTATTTGGGCAGGAGTGTCCAGTTTTTTCAGGTGTAGTCTGTCACGGCTTTCTTTGGCTAGGAAAGGGAAATTCCCCAATCCCTTGAGCTTCCCAGGTGAGGCGATGCTTTGCCCTGCTTTGGCTCACCCTCCATGGTCTGCATCCACTGTCCAACCAGTCCCAATAGGATAAACCAGTTGCCTCAGTTGGAAATGCAGAAATCACCCTTCTTCTATGTTGATCACGCTGGGAAATGCAGACTGCATCTCTACCTATTTGGCCATCTTGGCTCCAGTTTCTCAGGCAGTTCTTTATTGCAGTTTGAAAATGGACTAATACAGAAAATTGGTACTAGGAGTGGGGTATTACTATAAAAATACCCCAAAATGTAAAAGTAACTTTGGAACTTAGAAATGGGTGGAGGTTGGAACATTTTGGATGACTCAAAAGACTGGAAGATGTGGGAAATATCAGTACTTCCTAGAGACTTGTTGAATGGTTTTGATCAAAATGCTAATAGTAATATGGACAATAAAGTTCAGGCTGAGGCCATCTCAGATTGAGATGAGAAACTTATTGGGAATTGGAGCAAAGGTAACTCTTCTATACTTTAGCAAAGACTGGCAGCATTTTGCCATAGAGATTTGTGGAACTTTGAACTTGGGAGAGATAATTTAGGGTATCTGGTGGAATAAATTTCTAATCTGCAAAGCATTCAAGAGGTGACCTGGCTAATTCTGAAAGCATACAGTGCTGTGCATTCACAAAAGATTATCTGAAATTGGAACTTTTATTTAAAAAGGAAACAGGGCATAAAGTTTTGGTAGTTCCCAGGCTACCACATGGAAAGCCTGACCATGTGGTAGACAAGAAAACCCATTTTTCTGGGGAGAAATTTAAGCCAGCTGCAAAAATTTTCATAAGTAACAAGGAGCTGAATGTTAATCACCAAGACAATGGGGAAAATGTCTCCAGATCATTTCAGAGATCATGGCAGCCCCTCCAATACAGGCTCAGAGACCTGGGATAAAGAAATGGTTTAGTGCCCCAGGCCCAGGGTGCCACTGCTCTGTACAGCCTCAGGACAGGGTGCTCTACATGCCAGCCACTCCAGCTCCAGTCATTGGTAAAAGGGGCCAACGTACAGCTCAGGTTGTTTCTTCAGAGAGTTCAAGCCCCAAGCCTTGTTGGTTTACATGTGGTGTTGGGCTTGTGAGTGTGCAGAAGATAAGAATTGAGCCTTGGGATCCTCTGCCTAGATTTTAAAGGATGTATGGAAATGCCTGAATGTTCAGGCAGAATTCCGTTGCAGGATCAGAGCCCTCATGAGGAAACTTTGCTAGGGCAATGCAGAGGGGATATGGGGGTTGGAGCTCCCACAAAGAATCCCCACTTCCACTGGGGCACTGCCTAATCGAGCAGTGAGAAGAGGACCACCATCCTCCAGACCGCAGAATGGTAGAGTCACTGACAGCTTGCACCATGCCCCTGGAAAATATGCAGGACTCAACACTTCCCATGAAAGCAGCCACAGGGGCTGTACCTTGCAAATCCACAGGGCTGGAGCTGCCCAATGCCTTGGGTGTACACCCCTTGCATCAGCATGCCCTGAATCTGAGAAATTGAATCAAAGGAGATTATTATAAAGTGCTAAGATATAATGTCTGCCCTTCTGGGTTTTGGACTTGCATGGGCCTTGTTGCCCCTTTGCTTTGGTAAATTTCTCCCTTTTGGAATGGGAGCATTTACTCAATGTTTGTGCTCCCATTATGTCTTGCAAGTAACTAACTCGTTTTTTATTTTACAGGCTTATGGGTGGAAAGGACTTGCCTTGTCTCAGATGAAGATTTTGCACTTGGATGTTTGAGTTAATACTGGAATGAGTTAGGCCTTTGAGGACTGTTGGAAAGGCATGATTGGTTTTAAAATGTAAAAATAACATTAGATTTTGGAGGAGCCAGAGGCCAAATGATATGCTTTAGCTCTGTGTCCCCACCCAAATTTTATCTCAAATTGTAATCCCCACATGTTGAGGGAGAAACCTGATGGGATGTTTCCCCCATGCTGTGTTCATAAAAGTGAGTATGTTCTCACAAGATTTGATGCTTTAAATGTGTTTGGCAGTCCCTTTCAATCCTGCCACCATGTGAAAAGTCCTTGTTTCCCTTTCGCCTTCTACCATGATTATGTTTCTTGAGGCCTCCCCAGCACGTGGAACTGAGTCAACTAAACCTTTTTTGCTTCATAAATTACCCAGTCTCAGGCAGCTCTTTATAGCAGCGTGAAAACAGACTAATAGAGAAAATGATCTTCTGTTTTATCTTCTTTCTTAGTCTAGCTACTAGCCCATCTATATTATGAGTTTTTCAAAAAAACAACTCCCGTATTCATTGATTTTTTGAATGTTTTTTCATTCTCCATCTCCTTCAGTTTAGCTCTAATTTTGGTGATTTCTTGTCTTCTTCTAGCTTTGGGGTTGATTTGTTCTTGCTTCTCTAATGCTTTCAGTTGTGATGGTAGGTCATTTAAGTTGAGATCTTTCTAAGTTTTTGATGTGGATATTTAGTGCTATTAATTTTTCTCGTAACACTGCCTTAGCTGTGTCCTAGAGATTCTGGTATGTTTTGTCTTTATACTCATTACTTTCAAAGAACTTTTTGATTTCTGCCTTAATTTTATTATTTACCCAAAAATCATTCAGAAGCATGTCGTTTCATTTCCATGTAATTTCATGGTTTTGAGTTACTTTCTTAGTCTCAACTTCTTTTTTTATTGAGCTGTGCTCTGAGTGTGCATTTATTATGATTTTGGTTCTTTTGTATTTGCTGAGGATTTTTTTTATTCCCAATTATGTGGTTGATTTTAGAGCATATGCCATGTGGCTATGAGAAGAATGTATTTTTTATTTTTTTGGTTTGAGAGTTCTGTAAATGTCTATTAGATCCACTTGATCCAATGTTAAGTTCAGGTCCTGAATATATTTGTTAATTATCTGCTTCACTAATTTGTCTAATACTGTCAGTGGAGTGTTGAAGTCTCCCACTATTTTTGTGTGGGACTCTATGTCTTTTTGTAAATCTCTAAGAACTTGCTTTATGTAGCTGAGTACTCCTGTGTTAAGTACATATGTATTTAGAATAGTTAGATCTTCTTGCTGAATTGAACTCTTTACCATTATGTAAGCCTCTTTTTGTCTTTTTTGATCTTTGTTGGTTTAAAATCTGTTTTATCTGAAATTAGGATTGCAACTCTTGCTTTTTTCTGTTTTCTATTTGCTTGGTAGATTTTCCTTCATCCCTTTATTTTGAGCCTAGGATTTCATTACATGTGAGTTGAGTCTCTTGAAGAGAGCATACCAGTGGTCTTGGTTCTTTATGCAACTTGTTACCCTGTGCCTTTTACTTGGGGGCATTTGGCCCATTTATATACAAGGTTAGTATTGATATGTGTGGATTTGATATTGTCATCGTGTTGTTAGCTGGTAATTATCTGGCTTACTTGTGTGGTTGCTTTTATTTAAGTGTGTTTTTGTATGATCTGGTAGTGGTCTCTTCTTTCTATATTTAGTGCTTTGTTCAATATCTCTTGTAAGCCAGGTATGGTGGTAATGAACTTCCTCGATATTTGCTTATCTAAGAAGCATCTTATTTCTCCTTTGCTTAGCAAGCTTAGTTTGGCTGCATATGAAATTCTTGGTTGAAAACTTTTGACTTTAAGAATGTTGAATATAGGACCCCAATCTTCTCTGGCATGTAGGGTTTCATTCAGTAGAGTGGTTCACTGTTAGCCTGGTGGGGTTCCCTTTGTAGGTGACCTGCTCTTTTTCTCTTGCTGACTTTAGCATATTTTCATTTTGACCTTGGAAAATCTGATGATTATGTGTCTGGGGATGATCTTTTGTAGAATCTTGCAGGAATTCTCTGCATTTTCTGAATTTGACTGTTGGCCTCTCTAGTAAGGTTAGGAAAGTTTTCATGGACAATATTCTAAAATGTGTTTTCCAAGCTATTTGCATTTTCCCCTCCCTTTCAGAGATGCCAGTAATTCATAGATATGACATATTTACATAATCTCATACTTCTCAGAGTTTTTGTTTGTTTCTTTCTTTTTCTTTTTGTCTGATTGTTTTATTTCAGAGAGCCAGTTTTCAAGTTCTGAGATTAGTTCCTCTAGTTGGTCTATTATGCTACTAATATTTATGGTAGCATTGTAAAGATTTTGTATTGTATTATTCAGCTCTGTCATGTCCATCAGGTTTTTTTTTTTTTTTTAATATACTGACTGTTTCATTCTTCAGCTCCTGTATCATTTTATTGGGATTCTTGGTTTCCTTAAATTAGGTTTTGCCATTCTACTGAATCTTGATGATCTTTCTTCCTATCCATATTCTGAATTTAATTTCTGTCATTTCAGTAAGCTTAGCTTGGTTAACAGCTCTTGTTGGAGAACTGGTGCAATCATTTGGAGGACACACAACACTCTGGCCATTTGAGTTACTGCAGTTCTTGCGTTGGTTGTTTCTCATCTCTGCATGTGAGTGTTCTTTCAACTGCAGTGTAGATTGAGTACAGTCAATAGACTGCTTTTTTTGGATGTTTTCACAGGTATGAGGCTTTGTGCAAGATGTTTATTTGAAGCTGACTTTTTGTCTTTGGTTTCAGAGGGGGTATATTAATGAGGTATTTTTGGTGTTGAAGCTTTGGGGTATGATCCAGTAGGTGGTACTAGGCATATTTGTCAGTTGGTAGACTTCTGCTCTGTTGTATAGTTTTTCTATGTTGCATAAGATCTGCAGCTGTTTTCGCTCTCAATGCTCTGAAATTGTGGGTTCTTCTCCCCATTTAGTGCTGGCTGTAGATTATGGCTCGGCATGCCTGGTCTGCCCAATGCAACTCTAAGGCAATCTCAGGGTTTATGTGTTTTTTCTCCCAACTTCAAGGCAGCAGAAGGGACCTTAGTAGTGATTGTGGCCATGGGTCTTTTGCTTGTCTCCCAGAGGCATTACCCCAGAAAGATGCAGGTCAGCAATTTCCCAGTACAATCAGCCCAGGATGGAAGATCTGTGCTGTGGGTCCCAAGCTGGGTGTTTCCTGTGTGGTGGCAAGCAGGTGGAGGAGAGGTGGGTGGACCTGTGGGAAATGTACTAGCCTCTTCTTGTGTCTACTGCAGGTTGTTGGTGGTGTGGATAAGGCACTTAGGGCCTTTGCTCCTTTGTTAGTCTGGGAATAACAAGGGAGTTTCACTGCAGAGGCAGTGGCAGAGAGGCTTTCACTTGCCCCTCGGACCTCTGTCTAGGTAGTTGCAGAGCTGCTACTGGCTTGATAGCTCTGGCACAGGGTGACTGGAGGCCTAGACTGGAGGACCTGTCCAGTGAGGAGACATGGGAACGGGCACCCACATAACAGTCTGGTTACTTTTCCATAGTACTGCTGTGGTATGGTGGCGGTCTGATCCTGTCCCTAGTTACCTCGGATTTTTCAGTGCCACCTCCCTAGGTGGGAAAGGTTCCCCTGGCTCCACATTGCTCTTGGGTGAGCCATCAGTTTTTCTTTCTTTTCTCCATTCTCCATGGGTCAGGCTGTTTTCTTGATTAGTTCCACTCTGTGGACCTAAATGTTTCAGTTAAAAGTGTCTATTAACTCACCCCTTCCATTCCTCTTCATGACAGCAGTGCACGCTAGCTGCTTCTAGTTGGCCATCTTGGCCAGCAGCTTCTTCCTTTTCAATTTGGATATCCTTTTTTTCTTTCTTTTTTCTGATTGCTCTAGTTAGGTCTTCCAGTATTATGTTGAATAACAGAAGCAAAAGTGGGCATCCTTGTCGTGTTCCAGATCTTAGAGGAAAGGATTTCAGTTTTTCCCCATTCAGTATGATACTAACTGCGACTGTCATACATGGCTTTTATTATGTTGAGGTATGTTCCTTCAATCACATTTTTTTTTTTTTTTTTTTTTTGAGACGGAGTCTCACTCTGTCGCCCAGGCCGGACTGCGGACTGCAGTGGCGCAATCTCGGCTCACTGCAAGCTCCGCTTCCTGGGTTCACGCCATTCTCCTGCCTCAGCCTCCCGAGTAGCTGGGACTACAGGCGCCCGCCACCGCGCCCGGCTAATTTTTTGTATTTTTAGTAGAGACGGGGTTTCACCTTGTTAGCCAGGATGGTCTCGATCTCCTGACCTCATGATCCACCCGCCTCGGCCTCCCAAAGTGTTGGGATTACAGGCGTGAGCCACCGCGCCCGGCCTCAATCACATTTTATGAGGGTTTTTTTCATGAAGGGATATGAAATTGCATCAAATGGTTTTTCAGCATCAATTTAAATAATCATATGGTTTTGTCCTTCATTCTGTTTCTATGATGTATCACACTGATAGATTTGTGTATATTGAACTATTCTTGCCTCCCTGGCATAAATCCTACTTGGTCATGATGAATGATCTTTTTAATGTGTTGTTGAATTTGTTTTGCTAGTATTTTGTTGAGGATTTTTGCACCAATATTGATCAGAGATACTAGCCTGTAGTTTTCTTTTTTTGATGTGTCTTTGTCTGATTTTTTAAAATCAGGTTAATACTGGCCTTGTAGAATGAGTTTGGAAGTATTCTCTCCTTTTTTATTTTTCAGAATAGTTTGAGTAGGATTGCTATTAGTTCTTCTTTCAATGTTTGGAAGAATTCAGAAGCAAAACTGTCAGTCTCTAGTCTTTGCCAGAAGACTTTTTATTATGGCTTTGATCTTGTTACTTGTTATGGATCATTTCAGGCTTTCGATTTCTTCCTCGTTCAATCTTGGTAGGTAGTATTTGTCTTGGAATTTATGCATTCCTTCTAGAGCTTTTAGTTTATTGACAAATAGTTGTTCATAGTAGCCACTAATGATCCTTTGAATTGCTGCAGTATTAGTTGTAATGTGTCCTTTTTCATCTTTAATTCTATTTATTTAGGTCAGCTGTCTTGTTTTATTTGCCTGGCTAATGATTTGTCAGTTTTATTTAAAGTTTCAAAAATCAACTTTTTGTTTCATTGTTTTTTTTGTTTTCTTCATTTCAATTTCATTTATTTTTGCTTTGATTTTTGTTTCATTTCTTCTACTAATTTTGGTTTGGTTTGCTCTTGCATTTCTAATTCTTTAAGATGCATTGTTAAGTTGCTTATTTATTTATTTTATTTTAAGTTCTGGGGTACATATGCAGAACATGCAGGTTTGTTACATAGGTATACATGTACCATGGTTGTTTGGTGCACCTATTATCTCGTCATCTAGGTTTTAAGCCCTCCATGCATTAGGTATTTGTCCTAATGTTCTTTGCCCTCCCATCTGCTGACAGGCCCTGGTGTGTGATGTTTCCCTCCCTGTGTCCATGCATTTTCATTGTTCAACTCCCACTTATGAGTGAGAACATGTGATGTTTGCATCTCTGTTCCTGTGATAGTGTGCTGAGAATGATGGCTTCCAAGTTCATACGTGTCCCTGCAAAGTACATGGACTCATTCTTTTTTATGGCTATATAGTATTCCATGGTATATATGTGCCACATTTCTTTATCCAGTCTACCATTGATGGGCATTTTGGTTGGTTCCAAGTCTTTGCTATTGTAAATAGTGCTGCAATAAACATACATGTACATGTGTCTTTATAATAGAATGATTTAAAATCCTTTGGGTATATACCCACTAATGGGATTGCGGGGTCAAATGGTATTTCTGGTTCTAGATCCTTGAGGAATCACAACACTGTCTTCCACAATGGTTGAACTAATTGACATTCCCAGCAACAGTGCAAAAGTGTTCCTCTTTTTACATAGCCTCTCCAGCATCTGTTGTTTCTTGACTTAATGGTCACAATTCTAACTGGCATGAGATGGTATCTCATTGTGGTTTTGATTTGCATTTCTCTAATAAGCAGTGATGATGAGATTTTTTTTCATATGCTTGTTGGCCACATAAATGTCTTCTTTTGAGAAGCATCTGTTCATATCCTTTCCCCACTCTTTGATGGGCTTGTTTGATTTTTTTTCTTGTAAATTTGTTTAAGTTCCTTGTAGATTCTGGATATTAGACCTTTTTCAGATGAGTATATAGCAAAAATTTTCTCCCATTCTGTAGGATGCCTGTTCACTCTAATGATAGTTTCTTTTGCTTTGCAGAAGCTCTTTAGTTTTATTAGATCCCATTTGTCAATTTTTGCTTTTGATGCAATTGCTTTTGGTGTTTTAGTAATGAAGTCTTTACCCATGCCTGTCTTAAATGGTATTGCCTAGGTTTTCTTCTAGGGTTTTTATAGTTTTGGGTCTTACATTTAAGTCTTTAATTCATCTTGAGTTAATTTTTCTATAAGGTGTAAGGAAGGGGTCCAGTTTCAGTTGTCTGCATTTGGCCAGCCAGTTTTCCGAGCACCTTTTATTAAATATGGAATCCTTTCCCCGTTGCTTCTTTTTGTTTGGTTTGTCCAAGATCAGATGGTGTTAGGTGTGTGGTGTTACTTCTGAGGTCTCTGTTCTGTTCCATTGGTTTGTATATCTGTTTTGGTACCAGTACCATGCTGTTTTGGTTACTGTAGCCTTGTAGTATAGTTTGAAGTCAGGTAGCGTGATGCTTCCAGCTTTGTTTGTTTGTTTGTTTTTGCTTAGAATTGTCTTGGCTATGCAGGCTCTTTTTTTGGTTCCCTATGAAACTTAAAGTAGTTTTTTCTAATTCTGTGTAGAAAATCAATTATAGCTTGAAGGGAATAGCATTGAATCTATAATTGACTTTGGGCAATATGGCCATTTTTATTGATTCTTCCTATCCATGAGCACGGAATGCTTTTCTACTTGTTTGTGTCCTCTTTTATTTCCTTGAGCAGTGGTTTGTAGTTCTCCTTGAAGAGATCCTTCACATCCTTTGTAAGTTGTATTCTAGATTTTTTATTCTCTTTGTAGCAATTGTGAATGGGAGTTCACTCATGACTTGGCTCTTTGCTTGTCTATTATTGGTGTACAGGAATGCTTGTGATTTTTGCACATTGATTTTGTATCCTGAGACTTTGCTGAAGTTGCTTATCACCTTAAGGAATTTTTGGGCTTAGGCGATGGGGTTTTCTAAGAATACAATCATGTATTTTGCAAACAGAGACAATATGACTTCCTCTCTTCCTGTTTAAATATGCTTTGTTTCTTTCTTTTGCCTGATTGCCCTGGCCAGAACTTCCAAAACTATGTTGAATAGGAGTGGTGAGAAAGGACATCTTTTTCTTGTGCTGGTTTTAAAGGAAATGCTTCCAGTTTTGCCCATTCAGTATGATATTGGCTATGGGTTTGTCATAAATCGCTCTCATTATTTTGGGATACATTCCATCAATACCTAGGTTTTTGAGAGTTTTAGTATGAAGGATGTTGAATTATATCAAAGGCCTTTTCTGCATCTATTGAGATAATCGTATGGTTTTTGTCTTTGGTTCTGTTTATGTTATGGATTACATTTATTGATGTGCATATGTTGAACCAGCCTTGCATCCCAGGGATGAAACCGACTTGATCGTGGTGAATAAGCTTTTTGTTGTGCTGCTGGATTTGGTTTGCCAGTATTTTATTGAGGATTTTTGCATCAATGTTCATTAGGGATATTGGCCTGAAATTTTTTTCTTTGTTGTGTCATTGCCAGGTTTTGGTATCAGGAAGATGCTGGCCTCATAAAATGAGTTAGGGAAGAGTCTCTCTTTTTCTGTTGTTTGGAATAGTTTGAAAAGGAATGGCATCATTTCGTCTTTATACCTCTGGTAGAATTCAGCTGTGAATTCGTTGGTCCTGGGCTTTTTTTGGTTGGTAGGCTAATAATTACTGTCTCAATTTCAGAACTTTTTTTTTTTTTTTTTTTTTTTTTTTTTTTTGAGACGGAGTCTCGCTCTGTCGCCCAGGCCAGACTGCGGACTGCAGTGGCGCAATCTCGGCTCACTGCAAGCTCCGCTTCCCGGGTTCACGCCATTCTCCTGCCTCAGCCTCCCGAGTAGCTGGGACTACAGGCGCCCGCCACCGTGCCCGGCTAATTTTTTGTATTTTTAGTAGAGACGGGGTTTCACCTTGTTAGCCAGGATGGTCTCAATCTCCTGACCTCATGATCCACCCGCCTCGGCCTCCCAAATTTTCAGAACTTTTTATTGGTCTATTCAGGAATTTGACTTCTTTCTGGTTATTTCTTACAAGGGTTATGTGTCCAGGAATTTATCCATTTATTTTAGATTTCCTAGTTTATTTTCATAGAGGTGTTTATGGTATTCTCTGATGGTAGTTTGTATTTCTGTGGGATCAATGGCAATATCCCTTTTATCATTTTTATTGTGTGTATTTATTCTTCTCTCTTTTCTTCTTTATTATTCTAGCAGTAATCTGTCTATTTTGTTATTATTTTTTTTTGTCAAAAAAGCAGCTCCTGGATTGATTGATTTTTTGAAGGGTCTTTGCTGTCTCTATCTCCTTCAGTTCTGCTCTGATCTTAGTTATTTCTTGTCTTCTGCTAGCTTTTGAATTTGTTTTTCTAATTCTTTAAGATGCATTGTTAGATTGTTTATTTAAATTTTTCACATAGGCACTTACGTCTACAAACTTCCCTCTTAGTACTACTTTAGCTGTGTCCCATAGGTTGTATGTTGTGTTTTCCTTATCATTTGTATCACAAAATGTTTCAATTTCTTTCTTAATTTCTTCCTTGACTCACTGGTTATTCAGAAGTATACTGTTTAATTTTTATCTATTTGTATAGTTTCCAAAATTCCTCTTGTTATTGCTTTCTAGCTTTATTCCACTGTGATCAGAGAAGATGCTTGATATTATTTTCATACCTTTTGAATGTTTTATAACTTGTTTTGTGACCTAACTATGATCTATTCTTGATAATAATTCATGTGCTGAGAAAGAGAATGTGTATTCTGTAGCTATTGGATAAAATGTTCTGTAAATATTTGTTAGATTCATTTGGTCTCTGGTGAAGATTAAATTCAATGTTTCTTCTTAAATTTCATGTCTAGAAGATCTATTTAGTGCTGAAATGGGGTGTTAAACTCTCCAGCTATTACTCTATTGGAGCCTATTTCTGTCTTTAGCTCTGATAATATTTGCTTTATATATCTTTGTGCTCCAATGTTGGGTGCATATATATTTATAATTGTTATATCCTCTTACTGAATTTATTCCTTTATCATAATACAGTGTGCTTCTTTGTCTCTTCCTGCATTTTTTGTCTTGAAATTTAGTTTGTATAGGTATAGCTTCTTTTGCTTTTTTGGTTTCCAGCGGCATGTAATTTTTTTTTCATCCCTTTATTTTCAGTCTATCTGTGTATTTGTATGTGGAGTGTGTTTCTTACAGTCAACAGATTATTGGGTGTTGTTATTTTATCTATTCAGCCTATCTATGTATTTTTTCTGAGGGCTTAGTCCATTTACAGTCAATGTTATTTTTGATACGTAAGGACTTAACTCCTACCATTCTTTTATTTGTTTTCTGGTTGTTTTGTGGTCTTCTTTCTTTCCTTTATTCCTGTCTTCTTTTAGTGAAGGTGATTTTCTCAGGTGAAATAATTTAATTACTTGCTTTCTTAAATCCATTCTGTGACTTATATTTGAGGTTACCATGAGGCTTGGAAATACCATTTTATAATGTTATTTTAAGCTGATAACATATGGAAGGCCTTTAAAGAGAAGTCATCAAATTGGAGAAATTTAAAAACAGTTATTGAATGATAACCAGAATCAGACAAATAGAATCTAGGACTTCTTGATGGATGAAGGCAGCTTGGGGCTCTAGGGATAGGGAGATTGACTTACTGCCTACTAAGGTCTGAGAGGAAGGAGGGGAATATGATAATATCCCACAAATACAAGAAATTGAGAAGAATTCTTTGGACTGGTAACAGGGAAGTAATTGAGACAAATAATATAAAATTAATAAGAGTTGGTAGAATATATAATGACAAGTTAGAACAGATCTTAGCAAACAGAAGTAATTAATGATGGTATTATCATTTCCTGGGAGAAGTTAGATAATCTGGGACTTGACGCAAGCCCAAGGACATAAAGCACAGCATAGAAGTATGTTGGGAATAAACCTGAGGAGTTCTAGCTCAGGTGACAGAATGGGTATTTTTAAAGTTAGAACTTCAGGACTCAGGAAGCCTTAGCATATCTGCTCCTCAGTCTTTTAGATTTTATGGAAATAGCACTGATGTGAGGCAAATGGTAACTATGAAGTGAAGGGTAAAATTATTGGTAGATGTTGTCTTTGGGTTGAATGTTTTCCAGATCTCGAGGTAGAGAAACCACCAATGGTGATTGTGTAAATATAGAAATAACTAAATCTTGATATATTTTCTTTATTTCCATTCAAGATATTTTCTTTGTCGTTAGATTTTCCAGAAGTTTAATTATAATGTTTGTTGACATGCATTACTTTGGGTTTTTCTATTTGGGATTTGCTCAGCTTTTAAAATCTGTGCATTTAGGTCTTTCAATAAATATGAGACATCTTAAACTCTACTCTTTCTCTTCTTCTTCTGGAACCTAATGATATAAATGTTTGATCTTTTACTATTGTCCCACGAGTCCCCAAGACTCTATTCATTTCCCCCCCCCAGTCTATTTCTTCTCTTTTGTTCATGTTGGTTAAATTCTATTGATATTTTCTCAAGTTTAGTGATTCTACCCTCTGACACCTATGCTTGATTACTGAGCCTATCCAGTGAGTTTTTAAAATATTTTCTGTTTTTCTATTTTCAGTTCTATGATTTTCATTTGGTTTTTATTATGATTTTTATTTATTTGCTTAGGTTTTATGTGTCTTCTTGTATCTCAAGAGAATTTATTGTGCTTGTTAAACTATTTTATGATATTAAATCCTTATTCCTTCAAAATCTTCATCAGATGATTCCAACATCTGATTCATTTTGGTGTTGATATCAGTTGATTGTCTTTTCTCATCCAAGTTGTAGTTTTCCTTTTTCTTGGTAAGACAGGTAGCTTTTTATTGCATGCTGGACATTTAATCTATTATGTTAGCAGATTCTGTGTCTTGTTTATATTTTTTTTATTTTAGCAGGTAGTTAGCTTGTTTAGGTTTAGCACACAAGACCTACTTGCTTACTTTTGTAAGCTGTGGTTTTAATGGAAGTCTAATTTCCTGAACATTTTCAGTCCTATTCTGATCTGCTTGGTTTACCTTATACTGCTGGATCTCCCACTGGTCTCAGCCAGTGCTGCTTGAAGTGGCAGAAGAGGCTTCCCCAGGCAGGTCTATCTGGTGCTTCTAAATAGGAGAATACAATTTCTGGACTGTGGGGATGGAGAGTGCTTCCTACTCAGGTTCTTGTGTTTGGATCCTTTTGTCAGTAGCACCCAGGCACTCAGTTCACTTGGTGATGTTGGGAATTTCAGACCCTTCAGAGAAAGCAACTTTCCCTGGCCACTTGCTATCAGTGGAGAGATTAATCCACTTTTCCTGTGGTGCTGTTGTTGCCCGGTGTTACAGGCAGGATTCTGTGTGATCTGGGAGAGAAATTAACCTATCTGCACCACCTTCTGGTGTTAAGTTAGGGGTAAGAAAATGCCATGCCGGATTACTTTCTCTTAGTGGTGTGATGTAAGGCACCTTACATTGTGTTATTCCTACAATCCTGTGGTTCCCTAACAAGTTCTACTTTTCTTAGTTTTCACTTGCTAGTCTCAATGTACCTAGTGGGGAAAGGGAGAAAGATGTGATTCTATGCTATCTTGTATGGATAGGAAGTCATATATATATATATATATATATATATATATATATATATATATTCCTCTTATACTTTTCTTATACTTTTACTTGTTCAAAGAATGGCAACATCAAAATGCCTAGAGTGTTGGACTGACTTTGGCTGAGGATCAGTGCAATATAAAGTAGATCTTGAGAATATGTGATAGTTTTAACTAAAAGGTTATGGAATTTACATGAGGAATAGAAATTGACTGGGTAGCTATATCTTGTTTCCAGGGTAGTAAGATTCCTTAGAGAGTATTGTTTCCATATAGTCATTTATGTAAGTCCTTAAAACTTTGGAGGACTAATTGGAAGTCAGCCTACATTGCTCTGAGTACCTGAGACAATTGCACACAATAAGGAAAGTTGTGGAAAGAGGCAGAGAGCAAGAAGTCCTTGGAGTTTGACCTGTAGTTGGCATACAAGCTAGTATTCAGATGAAGTTCATTGCAATGCTGTATAAGACCTCAGCCCTAATGAGAAAGGCTACCTAGTTATTGTAGCTAGTGTTGCTCAAGTGTGATGTTTGTGTGCTTTGCTTGGTTGTCAATTTGAAATTAACATGTTCTGGACAAGTATACTAAACACTGCAGAAAACAGAGTTTCCAAGTTCGCTCTGAAACAGAATATGGATCATCGGGTCTCCAAGGTGTCCTCTAGCTTTAGATTCCCAAGACACTTGGGGGAAGTGACCATTTTAGTCAGTTGTCATTTTGAGTCACCCTCTCAAAAGCTTTATGTTTTTGAAGGAGCCATGACATAGCTAGCAAGGTAGAACTTAATTGGCATTGCTGTTCTGGCATGGCTACTTTTTCTCTCTGGGGTCTCCTAACTGGACTTTGTACGCTACTGTGCATCTTTTTATTTTATTGTATTTTATTTTATTTTTTTGGTTTTCAGACAGCATAGTCTGGAATTCCACCTTGACTTATCTTTGTCCGTCATGAAGTTTAAAGTATGGTATCCAGAAATAAAAACAATGATCTCAAGTATAGTCTTAACAACTCAGATTAGAGTGGAACAATCATCTCCCTCATTCTGAATATTATGCTTCTGTTAATGTAACCTAATTTTCTTGACAGCCTGCTAACTCATTCTGAACTTAAAAAACTAACTGGGCCTTAGTCTGAAAAGTCTGTGCTATTGCAAAGTTGTATCTTTCCAGTTCTATCTTTGTACTATCTTTTTTTAAAGCTACATGCATTGTCTGAGCTATCTCTATCTCTATCTCTATCTCTCTCCATCTCTCTATCTCTCTCTATCTCCATCTCTATCTCTATCTCTAATGTTCCAAGCATTTGGGAACTGTGTGGAAATTTTTGACACAAATATTAAGCTCCAAGACATAAAGCAGTTCCTTGCACTGTCTCTCTGACAGGCAATTAGTGAAAATGTTTTTTAAAAAGTTAGTTATTGATCTGTTTTTCCTATTTTCCATACCTCATCCTTCACTTCTAGCCTTCAAATTTACTGTTTGTGCAATAAAGACAGTAGCTGGAATCCCCTACCTTCAGTTTCTATGCACCTGTTTACCATGAGCCTTCAGCTTTTTTCCCTGCTGAGCCTGCTCAAAACCATGAAAGAGTTTGCCGTAATTACCTTCTTGGCCAAGAACAACAGAGACAGTTATTCCAGATAAGGCAGAGACTAATGGGAACTTTGGCTCCAAGATGTAAGTAAATTACTTAAGGAGTCATCAGGGATAAGCATCCTGGAGCCAACCCTTAGCAAGCTCTTACTAGAGGCTCACCCCATCTAAGAGGTCATCAGAAGGATGAGTCGAGGGGAACTAATACAGTGTGATTAAGTGTTTCTGAACCCCAAACCTAAGCCCAGGCAGACAGACCATCTAAAGGAAATTGGGTTTTGTTGGTATCGAAGAAAGATGTGGGTTTGACCAGAGGACGAACTTCTTGGTTATGGAATGAGTAAGGGAGGACAAAACCTTCTTCTGTAAGCCTTTAGCAATAGGTTAGCATTTGTACATATGGCAGGTATTTTATTTTCTAGTGCTCTATGCTTAATTGGCAGGCAGAGGGAAGATATACACCTGAGAATTTTGTGACAGATGGATCAGTTTCTTTGTGATTTCTCTGGTGGAATATATCCAAGAAGTCAGATTCTTTTCTGCAAACCTGTCATTATATTATTTGGGTCAGGAGAGAAGTGTTAGATTGTATGTTGTCTTCCTTTTGTCACTCCCTTCTTGAAATAGATGTATACCCTCTGTTCATGCACTGTTCACTCTCTTCCATCCTCTCCCCAGTACTCACACTTTTTGCCCTCATTTATCCCATGTGATGTGAAACAGATCTGACCGATGTGTTCTTTTAAGATGATATCTTCCACAGAAACCTTACCACAGAATTCATTGGCCAGGTAGCCTCTCTGTCCCATTTGCTGGCAGAGTTATTGAGGTTTGCAGCATTACCATCCACTTGAGACTGAATTCTACCTTCAAGGTAGAATTGGGAAGCAACTTTTCTTAGCAGAAATACTGCTGACAGCCTAGGCATTAGGAAACACACATTGATGGGAAATTGAGGTGGGAAATCATCGTGGGAGAAATAGTATGTTCTTATGTTTTGAAATGATTGCAAAGACTCACTTTTCCCAAAAGGTAGATTCTTCTACTTCTTGGATTGTTAAATTGTGGAGATGGCAGTGACAGTGGGGGGTGAAGGTAGGATGAGTAACACTTTTGGAGCATAAAGCTCAAAAGCTCAGTAGAAATGTTACATTTTTTCCACTTTATATCTTGTTAAGACTGTATTTAAGATACCAAAAAATCAAAATTATCCCAAGAAACTTCCCCTAGAACATTTTATATTGTACTATCTTGTGAAGAAATCTAACAAAAATTCAAGTTTAGTCTCTCCATCTCTCCTTTATGAAAAAATTGTGGCTTTTGCTTTTTCTTCCTATGGTGGGATAAGTTTCTCTGAGTTTAAGGGAAATATAGAGTCCCCAAATAGACTCCAATTTTATTTCCTTACTTTTTGCTTACTGCCTTTCATTTTAGGTTAGTAGAGACATCCTGGGAATACTATTTAATAACCATAAATGATGTGGGAACAAGAGTAAAGTGATTAAGAGTCTAAATTCTCAAAATAAATTGAGTTCAAACCTTGGCTCAGCAACTCACTACCTTTTTAATTATGGATGTCAGTTAATCTCCCTACCCCTTATTTTCCTCATCTATAAAGTAGAGATAATAACATCTATCTGTTAGAATTATGGTGTGGATTAAATCTCTCTCTCTCTCTTTCTCTCTCTCTCTCTCTCTCTCTCTCTATATATATATATATATATATATAATCTTAGATCAGTGATACAATACTATATATCAGTGATACTATACTCTCTATATATATAATCTTAGATCAGTGATACTACACATGATTGCAGTCATCAAAGTTGGATGCAGCTCTGCTTGGAGGTAGGAAATGGATAGTGTGACTTCTGAAAACCCTTTCAAATGAAGAATTATAGGTCTCTTAGAAAAATTTACGCATTTATATCCAATAATGCTCCTAGAGATTTATTTAATAAGAATTATTCGGTAGTGATACCTCTGTGAATGCCTCAAATATTTCAACACTATCCACTTCAGGGCCTGCAGCATTGTAAGTTATATGCTTATTGCGATGATGAATAAGTGAATTACTGAATGTCATATACTATACATTCTATCAGCTATAAGAATTTACAAAAATCTCTTTTAAGTGCCAGGATATTCTGATATTTGTGAGGAAACATGATATGAGATATATACTATGTGGTCTAGAGAAATAGCACCCAACCAGGAAGAATAAACTCTAGGTTTCAGTTTCAGCTCTGCTGTCTTAGTTGAGTCACTGCATTTCTTAGGTCCTCATTACTCTAGTCTGTAAAATGAGGCTATTAGTACTTTAAATACACCTCTGTCAATAATGTCTTCTTATTCCTGTGGGTAGGTCAGGTCCTACTAATTCCTTTTTACAGGTGGGTAATTTTTTTAAGCCAGTCTGTGGGCAGAAAAGTGTGTGTAAATTCATGGTAGATGGCTTAGACCTGATGTATGAAGATCTGGAGGTTCAGTCAGTTATTATTAAGCATCAGAATAAGACTAAGTGTCTGAAATATAAAGGTCAGATTCATACAGGCCTGGTGGTAAAAAATTTAGGGATGTCTTGCAAACATAGAAAAATTACTAAACATTGCCCAAATTTGACAAATTCTGGAAACCTAGTGAATTTTTTAAATCTAGTTTAAGTACAAGTCCTTTGTCAGATATATAGTTTGCAAGTAATTTTTCCAGATATAAGGTTCTTGGCTGTGTTAGTCTGCCAGGGCTGCCATAAAAAAATACCACAGACTGAGTGGCTTAAACAATAGAAATATATTTTCTCATAGTTCTGGAAGCTGGAAGTCCATGATCAAGGTGACAGCAGGGTTGGTTTCTCCCAAGGCCTTTCTTTGGCTTGCAGATTGCCATTTTCTCATTGTGCCCACACATGGTCTTTTATCTGTATGTGCATACTCCTGGTGTTTCTTCTTCTTCTTATAAGGACAGCAGTAGTGTTGGGTTAGGGCCCCCCATGACCCATTTAACTTTAATTACTTCCTTAAAGACCCTATCACTAAGTACATTCACATTGGTGTTAGGACTTCAACATACAAATTTTAGGAGATACAGTTAATTCCATAACATTCTGCCTTCTGTGTCCCTCAAATTTATGTCCTTTTAACATGTAAAATATGTTTACCCTATCCCAACAGCCCCCAAAGTCTTAAGTTATTCCAGCATCAATTCTAAGTCCCAAATCTCATCTACATATCATCTAAATCAGGTATAGTTGAAATTCAAGGTATGATTTATCTTAAGGCAAAATGCCTCTCCAGCTGTGGACCTGTGAAACCAGACAAGTTATATGCTTCCAAAATACAATGGAGGACAAATACAAAATAGACATTCTAATTGCAAAAGGGAGAGATCAGAAAAAAGGAAAGAAATGTTGGTTCCAAGCAAGTCTAATACCTAGTAAGGCAAATTTTATTTAGGTCTCAAGAAAAATCCTCTTTGGCTTGATGCTTTGCCTTCTGGGCCCACTGGGGTGGCAGTGTTTTCTTTTCCTTAGGCAATTGCCCTGACCCCTTAGCTTTGTGTGCTGGGGCTGAGAATCTGGGTGGCAGCCTTGTCCTTGAAACCCTGGGTTGAGGCAGGTGATCCTCTGAAACTGAGGATGTGGCCCCACCCTCTGAAACAGGATGAGACACCCTTGACTCTTGGAATTGTGCTCTCCGGGCCTGTGGAGAAAATGGCAGCCCTACTGATTTCTGAATCACCTTTGGAGTCATTTTTCCTTTTCTTGAAGGATAATGAACACTTGCCCCTGAATAGCTGTATTCTTCCATTCTGTAGAATTCAAGAAATCTAGCAGCCTTTCTTCATTTTGTCCTGCCTCTGTTCCCTTTAGCAGTGTTTCTGGTAGTATGACCCCATAATCTCTTTATCCAGTGATAGTCCAGCCACCCTCTAGGTATTCTTTCCAGAACATAATCTCTCACTTCTTGCAATATAAACTGGCCAATAATTTTTCAAGTCTTTAGCTTCTGTCCCTTTTTGCTTAACAATTTCTTCTTCAATTCATTTCTCACCTCTTGCATTTTACTATAATTATTAAGGAGAAATCAGACCATAACTTCAACAGTTTGCTTATAAATCTCCTCAGTTAAATATTTAAGGTCATCCTTCATGAATTCTACCTTCCACAAAACACTAGAAGACAATGAAGCTAAGTTCTCTGCCACTTTATAGTAAAGAACACCTTTCCTTCAGTGTCCAACAGCATGTTTCTCATTTCCACATGTGACCTCACCAGAATAATTTTTAATATCCAGATTCCTACCAACAATTTCTCCATGACAATCTAGGCTTTTTCTAACACAAGCTTCAAAATTCTTCCATCTTCTTCTCATTACCCAGTTCCAAAGCCATTTCTACATTTTTAGTATTTGTTACAGCAGTACCCAATTCATTGTACCTTAATCTGCAATAGTCTGGGCTGCCATAACAAAATGTTTAAGGTAGTTTTTGCTATGGCAGCCAAAGCAGACTAATGAAGACATTTAGCTTCAGAATGTCTATTTGGTTCCTTTATATAATTTTAGTCTTTTTATTCATATTGTCATTTTGTTTATATATGGTTTATTTCTGTGCCTCAAACAACAGAAATGTATTGTTTTCACAGCTTCAAAGGCTGAAAGTCCAAGATCAATATGCCAGCAATGGTGCTTTCTCCTGAAGCCTTCTTTCTTGGATTACAAATGGCCATCTTATTGCTGTGTTCGCACATGGCCTTTTCTTTCTGCGTGCACATTGCTGGTATTTCTTCCTCTTATTATGAGGACATTAATCCTATTGGATTAGCTCCTTCATTATCAAATTTAAACATAATTACTTCCTTAAAGACCTTATATCTCTAAATAAAGTCACTTCAGCAGTTAGGGCTTCAACATATAAATTTGGGGAGAACACAATCCAGTCCATAATACTGCTTTAAATTCCCCCCCCAGCTTTTTAAATATATAATCCAACTGCTTTGAGGACTCCAGTTTCAGATGAGAAATAAGCTGTTAATCTTATTTTGTATCCCTTGTATGTGATGAATTACTTCTCTCCTGCTGCTTTCAAGATTCTTCTTTGGTTTTTGACAATTCGACTATAATATGTCTTGTGGATCTCCATTTGAATTTTTCCTTCTTGGTGTTTTTGAGTGTCTTGGATGTGTTGTTTCATATCTTTCACCAAATTTGGAAGTTTTTGTCTATGACTGCTATGATTTCTTCAAATAATCTTTCTGCATTGCTTTCTCTTCTCCTTTCACTATTGATATAATATGTATGTTGGTCTGCTTGATGGACTCCCACAAGTTCCTTAGGTTCTGTTAACTTTACTTCATTTTTTTTTCCTTTCTGTCCCTCAGACTGGATAATTTCAATTGTCTTATCTTCAAGCTTAATCATTTTTGTCTCCTTATTAAAATCTGCTGTGGGTCCTTTCTAGTAATTATTTAATTTCTGTCATGGTACATTTAGCTTCAGAATGTTAAGTTGGTTCCCTTTTATAATTTCAGTTTTTTAATTCATATTCACATTTTGTTCATATATGACATTTTTGGTTTACTTTAGTTCTTTGTCTCTGATTTCCTTTAGCCTTTGAGTATACTGAAGACAATTAATTTAAAGTCTTTTCCTAGTAAGTTCAATGCTTGGGCTTCCTCAGGAACAGTTTCTTTGAATTAATTTTTTTCCTTTGAATGGGCCATACTTTCCTGTTTCTTTGCATGCTTTGTGGTTTTGTGTTGAATATGGGGCATTCAAATGTCATAATCTGGTAACTCTTGATTTCAGATTTTTCTTATTCCCTAGGGTATGTTGTTTTCAGTTGTTGAAAGCTTAGCTTGTGTTCAACCTGTGTTGTGGCTGGGTTTTCCTTGAACTTCAGTAGCTTGGATGGGGGTGGGGGGGAAGGCCAGGCATGGTGGCTTATGCCTGTAATCCCAGCATTTTGGGAGGCTGAGGTGGGTGAATCATGAGGTCAGGAGTTCGAGACCAGCCTGGCCAACATGGTGAAACCCCATCTCTACTAAAAATACAAAAAATTAGCTGGGTGTGGTGGCGGGCACCTGTAATCCCAGCTACTAGGGAGGCTGAGGCAGGAGAATCACTTGAACCCAGGAGATGGAGGTTGCAGTGAGCCAAGATCATACCATTGCACTCCAGACTGGGTAACAATGTGAGACTCTGTCTAGAAAATCAAACAAACAAACAAACAAAAAACCCGCCTTTCCCAGTCTTTGCAGGTTGACTTTATTCCAGGCCCTTCTTTTATATTTAGCCAGGACATTTATAATTTTGCCTAAGCCTTCACTTCCTTACTTCCCTGAGCATATAGATAAGCCAGTGGTGAAAACTTAAGAGTCTTTTGAGGTCTTTTCTGAGCATGTTTCCTATCCTGGGTGAGTATGTGGGGTTTCTAAATTCCTTAGTATACCATGAGTGCTCTTTAACACCCTCATTTCCCAAAGAAACTTTCTCCATGGCTTTTACTCCCAGCTATGGGTGACATATTGTTTTCCTCATCTGTAATCTTTTGCTCTATGATTTTCTGAGTTTTTCAATTGCCTTACAACGTTTTTGAGCAGGCCTGCCCCTTTTCTGCTCCAAGTGCGTTCCCAGTTAGGTGACACAGAGTCAGTTGCCTTGTGCATTTCCCTAGGCAGTTTAGGATAGAGAAACAATTATTTTTGAGAAAAGCCTGCTTGGCTCCCTCTGGAAACAGGGACCAAGGTCCCACACTGGGAATATGGGCACTCAACTTTAAGACTGTGGCCAATCTTGGTAAGGCAGCAGAGAGCTGCTGAGAGGTGAGAGAAAAAGCAAGTAAAAATGACACAGTTTTTCTATTATTTTTAAGTTGCCTTTTTCTTGACTCAGCATTTGCTTAGTTGATATAAACTTTTGTTATCCAGAGTTCTAACAGTTAGTTTGTGAGTTTTTCCTCATTGTTTCTGTAGAGGGATGGGAGTTCAGAGCTGCCTACTTGCCATTTTGCTGACATCATTCTCATTCTGTTATTTAACTAATGCATTTAGACTATTTGCATTAAATAATTATTAAAATGCAAGAGCTTATATTTACCATTTTTTGTTTCTCCATTTTATTTTTCTGTCATACTGTGAGTTACATGAATATTTTTAGAAATCCATTTTTACTTTTCTTTGGTGTTATTGTATGTATGCCTTTGAATGACTTTTTTAGTGGTGGCTCTTAGTACATTATATATACCCAACTTAACACAGTTTACTGGTGTCTATATTTCACAAACACTAGTGAAACATAAAAAATTGTACCTCCTTTTATATACTTTTCTCTCCCTCATTTATAATTTAATTGTCTTAAATAGTTAATCTACATTTATTGAAAAGCATATCAATGTTATTGTAATATTTTGCTTCAGCTGTCAAACATAATGAAGAAGACTTACCATGAGATGTTTTCCACAGCCAGAACTGCACTAATCATGAATAATATCCTCTGCATTCTTTCCTTACCAACTATTTTTGCTTTTGTCATAAAAAATGTCTTCTACATTCAGGTTTTATCTAGCTATCTATGCTCTGCCCAAGAAAGAAAGCTTTCAACTCCGCTTCTACCACAGAGGTAATCTTATATAGGTTATAAAGGAAGTTTACTATTTTCATATTCTCATCATCTTTATTTATTGTAGTCTATATGGTTTGGCTGTGTCTCCACCCAAATCTCATCTTGAATTGTAGCTCCCATAATTCCCATGTGTTGTGGGAGGGAGCTGGTGGGAGATAATTGAACCATGGGGGTGGTTTTCCCATACTGTTCTCATGGTGGTGAATAAGTCTCATGAGATCTGATGGTTTTAGAAGGAGAAATCCCTTTTGCTTGGCTCTCATTCTCTCCTGTCTGCTGCCATGTAAGACTCGACTTTCACCTTCCACCATGACTGTGAGGCCTCCCCAGCCATGCAGAATTGTGAGTCAATTAAACCTCTTTCCTTTATAAACTACCCAGTTTCAGGTATGTCTTTATTAGCAGTGTGAGAATAGAGTAATGGAGTAAATTGGCACTAGGGGTGGGGCACTGCTGTAGAGATACCCAAAAATCTGGAAGTCACTTTGGAACTGGGTAACAGGTAGAGGTTGAAGCAGTTTGGAAGGCTCAGAAGAAGATAGAAAAGTGTGGGAAAGTTTGGAACTTCCTAAGACCTGGAGGGCTCAGAAGACAGGAAGGTGTGGGAAAGTTTGAAACTTCCTAGAGACTTGTTGAATGGCTTTGACCAAAATGCTAATAGTGATATGGACAATAAAATCCTGGCTGAAGTGGTCTCAGATGGAGAAGAGGAACTTGTTAGGAACAGGAGTAAAGGTCACTTTTGCTATGCAAAAAGACCGGCACCATTTTTCTTCTATCCTAGAGATCTGTAGAACTTTGAACTTGACAGAGATAATTTAGGGTATCTGGCAGAAGAAATCTCTAAGCAGCAAAGCGTTCAAGAGGAAGCAGAGCATAAAATTTTGGAAAATTTGCAGTCCAACAATGTGATAGAAAAGAAAACCCCATTTTCTGGGGAGAAATTCAAGCTGGCTGCAAAAATTTGCATAAGTAATGAGGAGCCAAATGTTAATCACCAAGACAATGGGGAAAATGTCTCCAGGGTATGTCAGAGACCTTCACAGCAGCCCTTTCTATCACAGGCCTGGAGGCCTAGGAGGGAAAAATGGTTTTGTGGGCTGGGCCCAGGGCCTTATTGCTCTATGCAACCTCAGGACGTGGTGCCCTGCATCCCAGCTGCTTCAGCTCCAGCACTGGCTAAAATGGGTCAATGTACAGCTTAGGCCATTACTTCAGAACGTGCAAGCCCCAAGACTTGGTGGCTTACATGTGGTGTTGGGCCTGCGGGTGCACAGAAGTCAAGAATTGAGGTTTGGGAACCTCCACCTAGATTTCAGAGGATGTATGTAAATGTCTGTATGTCTGGGCAGCAGTTTGCTGAAGTGGTGGGGCTCTTATGGAGAACCTCTGCTAGGGCAGTGCAGAAGGGAAATCAGGGTCAGTGTCCCCCTCCTACAGTCCCCAATGTGGCACTGCCTAGTGGAGCTGTGAAAAGAGGGCCACCATCCTCCAGACCCCAGAATGGTATATCAACCAACAGCTTGCACTGTGCACCTGGAAAAACTGCAGACACTCAATGCTACCCCTTGAAAGCAGCCAAGAGTTGGGCTACACCCTGCAAAGCCACAGGGGTAGAGCTGCCCAAGAAAATGGGAACCCACCTCTTGCATCAGCATGACCTGGATGTGAGACATGGAGTCAAAGGAGATCATTTTGGAGCTTTAAGATTTGACTGCCCCAGCGGATTTTGGACTTTCATGGGGCCTGTAGCCCCTTCATTTGGGTCATTTCTCCCATTTGGAATGGGCATATTTGTCCAATGCCTATACCTCCATTGTATCTAGGAAGTAACTAACTGGCTTTCGATTTTACAGGCTCACAGTCAGAAGGGACTTGCCTTGTCTTGGATAAGACTTTGGACTGTGAACTTTTGATTTAATGCGGAAATGAGTTAAGATTTTGAGGACTATTGGGAAGGCATTATTGGATTTAAAATGTGAGGACATGTGATTTTGGAGTGACCAGGGGTGAAATAACATGCTTTGGTTGTATCCTCATTCAAATCTCATCTTGAATTGTAGCTCCCATAATTCCCACATGTTGTGGGAGGGACCCAGTCAGAGATAATTGAATCATAGAGGTGGTTTCCCCCATACTGTTTTTGTGGTAGTGAATAAAACTCATGAGATCTCATGATTTTGGAAGGGGAAACCCCTTTTGCTTGGCTTTCATTGTCTTTTGTGTGCTGCCATGTAATATGTGCCTTTTGCCTTCCACTATGATTGTGAGGCCTTCCCAGCTATGTGGAATTGTGAGTCAATTAAACCTCTTTCCTTTATAAATTACCCAGTCTCGGATATACCTTTTTTTTTTTTTCGATGGATTCTCACTATGTCACCCAGGCTGGAGTGCAGTGGCAAGATCTCGGCTCACCACAACCTCCACCTCTCAGGCTCAAGTGATTCTCCTGCTGCAGCCTCCCAAGTAGCTGGGATTACAGGTGCCCACCACCGCCCCCAGCTAGATTTTTGTGTGTGTGTTTTTAGTAGAGACAAGTACACCATGTTGGCCAGGCTGGTTTTGAACTCCTGACTTCAGGTGATCTGCCCACCTCAGCCTCCCAAAGTGCTGGGATTACAGGCGTGAGCCACCACCCCTGGCCGGATATGTCTTTATTAGCAGCATGAGAACAGACTAATACAATAGTCAAGATAAAAATTTTCCGATTACATGTCTTCTACAGCTGTATTTATTTTGGTCACAAAAGAAGCCTTCAATATCAATGTCTTCCCAAGTTATAGCTGCCTCTAATTCATAATATAGCTGCCTCTAATTCATAAAAAAAAGACAGGGATAAAAATAATAATAATATTTAACTTATGGAGTTATTTTCAAGGTTAAATACATTAATGTATGTAAAATACCTAAAATGCACAGTAAATGCTAGAAGTGTCATCTAGTATTATTTTTGCATATTACATATTAATGCGAATCAATAAGAGAAAGAAAATATATAAAGAGCTCAAGCTATAAGTGCTTTTGTTCATGAATAGTTGTTCAACCTCCCATGACTACAATAACCATGGGTACATTTTTATTTTTATTTTTATTTATTTATCTACTTATTTATGTATTTTTGAGACAGGGTCTTGCTCTGTCACCCAGGCTGGAGTGCAAGGGCACTATCTCAGCTCACTGCAACCTCTGCCTCCCAGGTTCAAGCGATTCTCCTGCCTCAGCCTCCCAAATAGTTGGGATTACAGGCATGTGCTACCACGCCCAGGTAATTTTGTATTTTTAGTAGAGATGGAGTTTCACCGTGTTGGCCAGGTTGCTCGTGAACTCCTGACCTTAGATGATCCTCCTGACTCTGACTTCCAAAGTGCTGGGATTACAGGCATAAGCCACCACACCCAGTCCATGGATACATTTTTTAATGAAAAATCTTCCCTGTTGTTCCTTGAATTGGCCATGGCTATCTTGCTTAGGAAAAAAGTCTTTCACCTCTTTGTCAGCACCACTGGTGATGCTTTATTAACAAAAGATGTTTGCTTTCTAGTCCACAGTAGCTGTTTCTCCTGGTTCATAAAATAAATCTTTGATCTCCCAAATTGAGCTAACCATAGCTTCATAAAGTAAATCTTCCATCAACCTGTTTGCACTTCTTACATGGCTACTTTGTTCTAGAAAAAACTTTCCTCCTCACCTTGCTTCTCCAGCAACTGTGTCTACTTTGCTCATGAACAAGACTATCGTCTCTTTGTTGGCATTGCCCATGGCCAATTTGATCACAAAAGAAGTCTTCAAGTTTCAGTTTGGTTACTTTTCTTCATGAAATAAGCATCTGTGCTTCATTTTTCTGCATCTGTGTCAGTCATGGCTGCATTGATTATAAAATGTCTCCCATCTTTTTCTCTGTCCTGTTAATGGTTATGTTGTGTATAAAACAAATCATCTAACTCCATGGCTACCATGTTCATGGGAAGTATACTCTTTCATCTCCTTTACAGCATAGACCATGGCTACTTCATTTATGAAGAAAGTCGTCCACCATTATGGGATCCCCAGATCTCACACCTTGACTTCTGTGCCTAGTTTTTATCCTTTGTTTCTACTGCATATTTAAATCTTGCTGGTGAAAGTCCTGCATATCAACATCTTTCTGTCTATAGTCAAACACCTGTAGACTAATTACCAGATCATTTCTATTAAACCAGATACTAGAATATGACTGCTGCTATGACTCTTAGTGATAATCCAGCTGGGTTATCTATTTTGCTATTCTGATATTTCCATAAAAATAAATTTTATTATGTATATTGGAGGTTTACAACATGTTATGGGAAACATATAGATAGTAAAATGGTTGCTATAGTGAAACAACTTATCTGTTATCTCACATAGTTTTCTTTTTGTGACAGAAGGAGCTGAAATCTACTTATTTAACAAAATCTCAAGTTTTTCCCCCCAAGATGATGGATTAGAGGCTTTTAGCTTGCTACAGCCACTTGTACATGGGAAAGTAGTGCATAAAGATCAACTCTGTGAGTTTTAATTCAAGAAGGAAGATAGGAGTCCATGGAATCATGAAAGACTCCCCAGATCCTAAGGAGTAGAATGCCAGCAAACAGCCCCTGTGATGGTGTGAAGCTGATAAAAGTGAGTGAAAACCTAGTACAAGAGAGAGGCAGAGAGTCTCTCTCTAAGACTAATTTTTCCACTGGAGAGCCAAGCAACCCAGGCTGAGGGAAGACACCTTGTTTCTCCCAAGCCTTGGAATGGATGTGGAGAAAGGCTTGGAGATAGTATGAGAGAAAGACACTGGTAAAAGCTGTAGACATTTTCCCAGACCTAGGACCAAGAGAAGGATGCCATTTTAAAATCCAGGCACATACAAACTCAGCCATTTTTCTGGTGACCTGGCAGCATGGCCACAAAAGCATGTTAGTCTCAGGCCAGAGATTGGTAAGCCTGCTCTGGAGTTGGATAGAGACCTCCATAGCCAGAACTGGTGACAGTGCCTCATCAGTGGGTGCTGAAATTGTGCTCTCCCCCATCAAAATCTTAAGGTGGGAGGAGAGCTGCTACAGCTGCAGTTTTTCCTGGGTGGCAAGACTTGCAGTCAGGGCCAGCTTGGCAACCTGGAACGTGTCTGTATGTGCAATTGCTGGGTGCCCCAACCTGCTCCCCTGAGATTGTGGTGCAGGGTGACCCTCTATACTTCATGCTGAGGCAGATGTCCAGGCATTCAGAGCACCCATTTACCTTGTTCAGCAGCCTGAACCACCCCACTTTTCCTGGGCATACATGACGATACAGTGAGGCTTCCTACACTCCATACTCAGACAGATCTTCAAGCATTTGGAGCACTTCCTCATCTGATTCAACAGTCTGTCCCACCCCACCTTCCTGTGCAGAAATGTTGGTGCAGGGAGGCCCTGTCTGCTTCATGCACAGGCAGATCTCCAGGCATTCAGACCACCAGATTTCCTGGATCAGCTTGAGCTGTCTCATCTTTTCTGTGCAGAGATCCTGGTGCAGGGGGGCTCTCTCTGCTACATTCCCAGGCAGATCTACAGGCATTCAGAGCAACTGCTTGCCTGGTTCAGCAGCCTGAGTCACCCCCACCCCTCCTACACAGAGTTCTTGGTGCAGGGGGCCTTCTGAGATCCATGTACAGGAAGATCTCTAGGCATTCAGAGCAACCACTCATTTGGTTCAGCAACCTGAGCCACCAGACCCTTCCTGAGCATAGATTATGGTGCAGTGGGGCTCTCTACACTCCACATGCAGGCAGATCTCCAGGTGTTCAGAGTACTTGCTTGCCTGCTTCAGCACTAAATTGCCCTACTCCTATTGTGCAGAGATCTTGGTGCAGGGGAACTCTCTGCTCCACACCCACACAACTCTTTAGGCATCTAGAGCACCCACTCTCTTGGATGAGGAGTTTAGGCCACCCTCCAACCCCATGCAGAGAAGTTGGGGCTGAGGAGGTTTCCCAGCTCCACACCTAGGCACACCTCAGGGCACTAGGTTGTCTTCCACTGGATTCTTCCTCGGTGCTGGCAATTGTGCCCACCATCAGAGGATCTGTAAGCAGACCTACCTGGCCCAGGCCCACTCAGCATGGCTCTGCCCCATGAGTTGTGCAGAGAATTCAGAACGCTATGCATTCCATGCATCAGCCCATTTTCTGAGGCAACAGAGAGCTACTCCCAGCAAATTAGGATCAAGTAAATACCCAGTCGCACTGGCTGTAGCTGGCTCGTACCTATAAGCGCCATCTACTGGCTTGTAGGTCACTCTGCACAGCTCAATACAAAACCTGCCAAAAAAGTTCATAGGGCTATAGAAGCAAACCAAATGACCATACCCAGCATTCTGTATAGTCACACCACCTAGGGAGGAAGAGAAAGGAAAGGTAAGGAACAACCCAATAATATTATAGGGAAAGAAAGAAAAGAAAAAACCCTACCCTTATGAAAATAATTACAAAAATTAGAAGTGCCAGGGTCTCCAGATGAGAAGGAACCAGCACAAGAATTGTGACACCATAAAAAATCTGAATGCAGTGACACAACCAAAGGATTGCTTAGTTCTCTAGCTATGGCTCCTAATAAAAATGAAAACTCAGAAATGACAGACAAATAATTCAAAGCATGGATTGTGATATGGCTTGGATCTGTGTCCCCACCCAAATCTTATGTTCAATTGCATTCCTCACTGTTGAAACTTGGACCTGGAGGGAAGTGATTGGATCATGGGGGTGGTTTCTAATGGTTTAACACCACTCCCTGGGGGCTGTTCTCATGATAGTGAGTGATTTTTCACAAGATCTGGTTGTTTGAAAGTGTGTAACACCACCCCCCTCTCTCTGTTCCTCCTGCTCTGGCCATGTGAAGATGTGCCTGCTTCTCTTTCAACTTTTGCCATAATTGTAAGTTTCCTGAGGCCTCCCCAGTCATGCTTTCTATACAGCCTGCAGAATTATGAGCCAATTAACCTTCTTTTCTTTATAAATTCCCCAGTGTCCGGTATTTTTTATAGCAGAGTGAGAATGGACTAATACAGAAAATTGGTACTGAGAGTGGAGTTTGCTATAGTTACCTGAAAATGTGAAAGTAGCTTTGGAACTGGGTAATGGGCAGAGTTTGGAAGAGTGTGGAAGGCTCAGAAGAAGAAAGGAAGACAAAGGGAAATTTGGAACTTCCTAGAGAGAATGGGAAAAATTCCTTGAAGGCATTTCAGAGGGCTTTGAGGCAAACCCTTGCATCACAGGCCCAGAAACCTAGGAGGGAATAATGTTCTGCACCATTCCGCATTGCTCTGAACAACCTCAGGACATAGCTGTCTGCATCCTAGCCAATCCAGATCCAGCCATGGCTAAAATGGCCCTAGATAAAGCTTAGGCTACTGCTTCAGAGCATGCAAGCCATAAGCCTTGGCAGCTTTCACATGGTGTTAAGCTTCCAGGTACACACAGCACAAGAGTCGAGGCGTGGGAGCCTCTGCCTAGATTTCAGAGGTTGTATGAAAAAGCCTGGATGTCCAGGCAGAGGCCTGCTGCAGAGGTGGAACTCTCATGGAGAACCTCTACTAAAGCAATGTGAAGGAAAAATGAGGGGTTGGAGCCTGCACACAGAGTCCCCACTGGGGTAGTGCCTAGTGAAGCTGTGAGAAGGGGGGCCACTATTTTGGAAACCCCAGAATGGTAGATCCACTGACAGCTTGCATCATGTACCTGGAAAAGCTGTAGGCACTCAGTGCCAACCTGTGAAAGCAGCTGTTGTGCCTATACCTTGCAAAGCCTCAGGGGTGGAGATTACCAAGGCCTTGGGAGCCCACCTCTTGCATCAGTGTACCCTGGATGTGAAGCATAGAGTCAAAGGAGATTATTTTGGAGCTTTAAGACTTAATGACTGTCCTGCTGGATTTCAGACTTGCATGGGGCCTGTAGCCCCTGCCTTTTGGTCAATATCTTTCTTTTGGAATGGGAATACTCAACCAATGCCTATATCCTCAATGTACTTGTGAAGTGACTAACATGAGTTTGATTTTAAAGGTTCATAGGTGGAAGAGACTTTCTTTGCCCCAAATGAAACTTTGAACTGCGGACTTTTGAGTTAATCCTGGAATGAGTTAAGACTTTGGGGAAGGCATGATTGTATTTTTCTTTTTTTTTTTATTAATTTTTTTTTAATTTATTATTATTATACTTTAAGTTTTAGGGGATATGTGCACAATGTGCAGGTTAGTTACATATGTATACATGTGCCATGCTGGTGCGCTGCACCCACTAACTCGTCATCTAGCATTAGGTATATCTCCCAATGCTATCCCTTCACCCTTCCCCCACCCCACAACAGTCCCCAGAGAGTGATGTTCCCCATCCTGTGTCCATGTGTTCTCATTGTTCAATTCCCACCTATGAGTGAGAATATGCAGTCTTTGGCTTTTTGTTCTTGTGATAGTTTACTGAGAATGATGATTTCCAATTTCATCCATGTCCCTACAAAGGCCGTGAACTCATCATTTTTTATAGCTGCATAGTATTCCATGTTGTATATGTGCCACATTTTCTTAATCCAGTCTATCATTGTTGGACATTTGGGTTAGTTCCAAGTCTTTGCTATTGTGAATAATGCCACAATAAACATAAGTGTGCATGTGTCTTTATAGCAGCATGATTTATAGTCCTTTGGGTATATACCCAGTAATGGGATGGCTGGGTCAAATGGTATTTCTAGTTCCAGATCCCTGAGGAATCGCCACACTGACTTCTACAATGGTTGAACTAGTTTACAGTCCCACCAACAGTGTAAAAGTGTTCCTATTTCTCCACATCCTCTCCAGCACCTGTTGTTTCCTGACTTTTTAATGATTGCCATTCTAATTGGTGTGAGATGGTATCTCATTGTGGTTTTGATTTGCATTTCTCTGATGGCCAGTGATGGTGAGCATTTTTTCATGTGTTTTTTGGCTGCATAAATGTCTTCTTTTGAGAAGTATCTGTTCATGTCCTTCACCCACTTTTTGATGGGGTTGTTTGTTTTTTTCTTGTAAATTTGTTTGAGTTCATTGCAGATTCTGGATATTAGCCCTTTGTGAGATGATTAGGTTGCGAAAATTTTCTCCCATTTTGTAGGTTGCCTGTTCACTCTGATGGTAGTTTCTCTTGCTGTCCAGAAGCTCTTTAGTTTAATTAGATCTCATTTGTCAAGTTTGGCTTTTGTTGCCATTGCTTTTGGTGTTTTAGACATGAAGTCCTTGCCCGTGCCTATGACCTGAATGGTAATGCCTAGGTTTTCTTCAGAGTTTTTATGGTTCTAGGTCTAACATTTAAGTCTTTAATCCATCTTGAATTGATTTTTGCATAAGGTGTAAGAAAGGGATCCAGTTTCAGCTTTCTACATATGGCTAGACATTTTTCCCAGCACCATTTATTAAATAGGGAATTCCCCATTTCTTGTTTTTGTCAGGTTTGTCAAAGATCAGATAGTTGTAGATATGTGGCGTTATTTCTGAGGGCTCTGTTCTGTTCCATTGATCTATATCTCTGTTTTGGTACCAGTACCATGCTGTTTTGGTTACTGTAGCCTTGTTTTCTTCCTTTTTTTTTTCCTTTTTTTTATTATTATTATACTTGAAGTTTTAGGGTACATGTGCACAATGTGCAGGTTAGTTACATATGTATACATGTGCCATGCTGGTGCGCTGCACCCACTAACTCGTCATCTACCATTAGGTATATCTCCCAATGCTATCCCTCCCCCCTCTCCCCACCCCACAACAGTCCCCAGAGTGTGATGTTCCCCTTCCTGTGTCCATGTGTTCTCATTGTTCAATTCCCATCTATGAGTGAGAATATGTGGTGTTTGGTTTTTTGTTCTAGCAATAGTTTACTGAGAATGATGATTTCCAATTTCATCCATGTCCCTGCAAAGGAGATGAACTCATCCTTTTTTATGGCTGCATAACATTCCATGGTGTATATGTGCCACATTTTCTTAATCCAGTGTATCATTGTTGGACATTTGGGTTGGTTCCAAGTCTTTGCTATTGTGAATAATGCTGCAATAAACATACGTGTGCATGTGTCTTTAAAGCAGCTAGATTTATAGTCCTTTGGGTATATACCCAGTAATGGGATGGCTGGGTCAAATGGTATTTCTAGTTCCAGATCCCTGATGAATCACCACACTGACTCCCACAGTGGTTGAACTAGTTTAGAGTCCCACCAACAGTGTAAAAGTGTTCCTATTTCTCCACATCCTCTCCAGCACTTGTTGTTTCCTGACTTTTTAATGATTGCCATTCTAACTGGTGTGAGATGGTATCTCATTGTGGTTTTGATTTGCATTTCTCTGATGGCCAGTGATGGTGAGCATTTTTTCATGTGTTTTTTGGCTGCGTAAATGTCTTCTTTTGAGAAGTGTCTGTTCATGTCCTTCGCCCACTTTTTGATGGGGTTGTTTGTTTTTTCCTTGTAAATTTGTTTGAGTTCATTGTAGATTCTGGATATTAGCCCTTTGTCAGATGAGTAGGTTGTGAAAATTTTCTCCCATTTTGTAGGTTGCCTGTTCACTCTGATGGTAGTTTCTCTTGCTGTCCAGAAGCTCTTTAGTTTAATTAGATCCCATTTGTCAATTTTGGCTTTTGTTGTCATTGCTTTTGGTGTTTTAGACATGAAGTCCTTGCCCATGCCTATGTCCTGAATGGTAATTCCTAGGTTTTCTTCTAGGGTTTTTATGGTTTTAGGTCTAACGTTTAAGTCTTTAATCCATCTTGAATTGATTTTTGTATAAGGTGTAAGGAAGGGATCCAGTTTGAGCTTTCTACATCTGGCTAGCCAGTTTTCCCAGCACCATTTATTAAATAGGGAATCCTTTCCCCATTGCTTGTTTTTCTCAGGTTTGTCAAAGATCAGATAGTTGTAGATATGCGGCATTATTTCTGAGGGCTCTGTTCTGTTCCATTGATCTATATCTCTGTTTTGGTACCAGTACCATGCTGTTTTGGTTACTGTAGCCTTGTAATATAGTTTGAAGTCAGGTAGTGTGATGCCTCCGGCTTTGTTCTTTTGGCTTAAGATTGACATGGCGATGAGGGCTCTTTTTTGGTTCCATAAGAACTTTAAAGTAGTTTTTTCCAATTCTGTGAAGCAAGTCACTGGTAGCTTGATAGGGATGGCATTGAATCTATAAATTACCTTGGGCAGTATGGCCATTTTCACGATATTGATTCTTCCTACCCATGAGCATGGAATGTTCTTCCATTTGTCTGTATCCTCTTTTATTTCGCTGAGCAGTGGTTTGTAGTTATCCTTGAAGAGGTCCTTCACATCCCTTGTAAGTTGGATACCTAGGTATTTTATTCTCTTTGAAGCAATTGTGAATGGGAGTTCACTCATGATTTGGCTCACTGTTTGTCTGTTGTTGGTGTATAAGTATGCTTGTGATTTTTGCACACTGATTTTGTATCCTGAGACTTTGCTGAAATTGCTTATCAGCTTAAGGAGATTTTGGGCTGAGACAATGTGGTTTTCTAGATATACAAGCATGTCGTCTGCAAACAGGGATAATTTGACTTCCTCTTTTCCTAATTGAATACCCTTTATTTCCTTCTGCTGCCTAATTGGTCTGACCAGAACTTCCAACACTATGTTGAATAGGAGTGGTGAGAGAGGGCATCCCTGTCTTCTGCCAGTTTTCAAAGGGAATGCTTCCAGTTTTTGCCCATTCAGTATGATATTGGCTGTGGGTTTGTCATAGATAGTTCTTATTATTTTGAGATATGTCACATCAATACCTAATTTATTGAGAGTTTTTAGCATGAAGGGTTGTTGAATTTTGTGAAAGGCCTTTTCTGCATCTATTGAGATAATTATGTGGTTTTTGTCTTTGGTTCTGTTTATATGCTGGATTACATTTATTGATTTGCGTATACTGAGCCAGCCTTGCATCCCAGGGATGAAGCCCACTTGATCATGGTGGATAAGCTTTTTGATGTGCTGCTGGATTCGGTTTGCCAGTATTTTATTGAGGATTTTTGCATCAATGTTCATCAAGGATATTGGTGTAAAATTATATTTTTTTTGTTGTGTCTCTGTCCGGCTTTGGTATCATGATGTTGCTGGCCTCAAAAAATGAGTTAGGGAGGATTCCCTCTTTTTCTATTGATTGGAATAGTTTCAGAAGGAATGGTACCAGTTCCTCCTTGTACCTCTGGTAGAATTCGGCTGTGAATCCATCTGGTCCTGGACTCTTTTTGGTTGGTAAGCTATTGATTATTGCCACAATTTCAGATCCTGTTATTGGTCTATTCAGAGATTCAACTTCTTCCCGGTTTAGTCTTGGGAGAGTCTGTATGTCGAGGAATTTATACATTTCTTCTAGATTTTCTAGTTTATTTGCATAGAGGTATTTGTAGTATTCCCTGATGGTAGTTTGTATTTCTGTGGGATCGGTGGTGATATCCTCTTTATCATTTTTTATTGTGCCTATTTGATTCTTCCCTCTTTTTTTTTTTATTAGTCTTGCTAGCGGTCTATCAATTTTGTTGATCCTTTCAAAGATCCAGCTCCTGGATTCATTAATTTTTTGAAGGGTTTTTTGTGTCTCTATTTCCTTCAGTTCTGCTCTGATTTTAGTTATTTCTTGCCTTCTGCTAGCTTTTGAATGTGTTTGCTCTTGCTTTTCTAGTTCTTTTAATTGTGATGTTAGGGTGTCAATTTTGGATCTTTCCTGCTTTCTCCTGTGGGCATTTAGTGCTACAAATTTCCCTCTACACACTGCTTTGAATGTGTCCCAGAGATTCTGGTATGTTGTGTCTTTGTTCTCTTTGGTTTCAAGGAACATCTTTATTTCTGCCTTTCTTTCGTCGTGTACCTATCGCGGGGCCTGCCCTGATAATCACGTAGGTTCTTTTCTGTTTTCCTAAGCGTCGACTGGCTTGAGAAATAAAAGGACAGAGTACAAAAGAGAGAAATTTTAAAGCTGGGTGTCCGGGGGAGACATCACACTTTGGTAGGATCCGTGATGCCCCACAAACCACAAAACCAGTAAGTTTTTATTAGGGAGTTTCAAAAGGGGAGGGAGTATATGAATAGGTGTGGGTGACAGATATCAAGTATTTAACAGTGTAATAGAATATCACAAGGCAAGTGGAGACAGGGCGAGATCACAGGACCACAGGACCGAAGTTAAATTAAAATTGCTTATGAAGTTTTGTCACCATTGTCATTTATAACATCTTATCAGGAAACAGGGTTTTGAGAACAACTGGTCTGACCAAAGTTTATTAGGTGGGAATTTCCTCCCCCTAATAAGCCTGGGAGCGCTATGGGAGACTGGAGTTTATTTCATCTCTGCAATCTCGACCATAAGAGACAGGTACACCCCGGGGGGTCCAGTTCAGAGACCTACCCCTAGGTGCTCATTCTCTTTCTCAGGGACGTTCTATGCTGAGAAAGGGAATTCAGCGATATTTCTCCCATTTGCTTTTGAAAGAAGAGAAATATGGCTCTGTTCTGCCCAGCTCACCGGCGGTCAGAGTTTAAGGTTATCTCTCTTATTCCCTGAACAACTGGTGTTATCCTGTTCTTTTTTCAGGGTGCCCACATTTCATATTGCTCAAACACACATGCTGTACAATTTGTGTAGTAAACGCAATTATTACAGGGTCCTGAGACGATATACATCCTTCTCGGCTGACAGGATTAAGAGATTAAAATAAAGACAGGCATAGGAAATCACAAGGGTATTGATTTGGGAAGTGATAAGTGTATATGTAATCTTTACAATTTATGTTTAGAGATTGCAGTGAAGACAGGCATAAGAAATTACAAAAGTATTAATTTGGGGAACTAATAAATGTCGATAAAATCTTCACAATCTACGTTGTTCTGCCATGGCTTCAGCCGGTCCCTCCGTTTGGGGTCCCCGACTTCCCGCAACATGTACCCAGTAGTCATTCAGGAGCAGGTTGTTCAGTTTTCATGTAGTTAAGCGGTTTTGACTGAGATTCTTAATCCTGAGTTCTAGTTTGATTGCACTGTGGTCTGAGAGATAGTTTGTTATGATTTCTGTTTTTTTACATTTGCTGAGGAGAGCTTTACTTCCAACTATGTGGTCAATTTTGGAATAGGTGTGATGTGGTGCTGAAAAAAATGTATATTCTCTTGATTTGGGGTGGAGAGTTCTGTAGATGTCTATTAGGTCCTCTTGGTGCAAAGCTGAGTTCAATTCCTGGGTATCCTTGTTGACTTTCTGTCTCATTGATCTGTCTAATGTTGACATTGGGGTGTTAAAGTCTCCCATTATTAATGTGTGGGAGTCTAAGTCTCTTTGTAGGTCGCTCAGGACTTGCTTTATGAATCTGGGTGCTCCTGTATTGGGTGCATATATATTTAGGATAGTTAGCTCTTCTTATTGAATTGATCCCTTTACCATTATGTAATGGCCTTCTTTGTCTCTTTTGATCTTTGTTGGTTTAAAGTCTGTTTAATCAGAGACTAGGATTGCAACCCCTGCTTTTTTTTGTTTTCCATTTGCTTGGTAGATCTTCCTCTATCCTTTTATTTTGAGCCTATATGTGTCTCTGCACGTGAGATGGGTTTCCTGAATACAGCATACTGATGGGTCTTGACTCTTTATCTAATTTGCCAGTCTGTGTCTTTTAATTGGAGCATTTACTCCATTTACATTTAAAGTTAATATTGTTATGTGCGAATTTGATGCTGTCATTATGATGTTAGCTGGTTATTTTGCTAATTAGTTGATGCAGTTTATTCCTAGTCTCGATGGTCTTTACATTTTGGCATGATTTTGCAGCGGCTGGTATTGGTTGTTCCTTTCCACGGTTAGCACTTCCTTCAGGAGCTCTTTTAGGGCAGGCCTGGTGGTGACAAAATCTCTCAGCATTTGCTTGTCTGTAAAGTATTTTATTTCTCCTTCACTTATGAAGCTTAGTTTGGCTGGATATGAAATTCTGGGTTGAAAATTCTTTTCTTTAAGGATGTTGAATATTGGCCCCCACTCTCTTCTGGCTTTTAGAGTTTCTGCCGAGAGATCCACTGTTAGTCTCATGGGCTTCCCTTTGTGCGTAACCCAACCTTTCTCTCTGCCTGCCCTTAACATTTTTTCCTTCATTTCAACTTTGGTAAATCTGACAATTATGTGTCTTGGAGTTGCTCTTCTCAAGGAGTATCTTTGTGGTGTTCTCTGTATTTCCTGAATCTGAATGTTGGCCTGCCTTCCTAGATTGGGGAAGTTCTCCTGGATAATATCCTGCAGAGTGTTTTCCAACTTGGTTCCATTCTCCCCGTCACTTTCAGATACACCAATCAGACGTAGATTTGGTCTTTTCACATAGTCCCATATTTCTTGGAGGCTTTGCTCGTTTCTTTTTATTCTTTTTTCTCTAAACTTCCCTTCTCGCTTCATTTCATTCACTTCATCTTCCATCACTGATACCCTTTCTTCCAGTTGATTGCATTGGCTCCTGCGGCTTCTGCATTCTTCACGTAGTGCTAGAGCCTTGGTTTTCAGCTCCATCAGCTCCTTTAAGCACTCCTCTGTTTTGGTTATTCTAGTTATACATTCTTCTAAACTTTTTTCAAAGTTTTCAACTTCTTTGCCTTTGGTTTGAATTTCCTCCTGTAGCTCGGAGTAATTTGATCGTCTGAAGCCTTCTTCTCTCAGCTCGTCAAAGTTATTCTCCGTCCAGCTTTGTTCCGTTGCTGGTGAGGAACTGCGTTCCTTTGGAGGGGGAGAGGCGCTCTGTTTTTTAGACTTTCCCTATCTTTGTGGTTTTATCTACTTTTGGTTTTTGATGATGGTGATGCACTGATGGTTTTTTGGTGTGGATGTCCTTTCTGTTTGTTAGTTTTCCTTCTAACAGACAGGACCCTCAGTTGCAGGTCTGTTGGAGTACTGTGCCGTGTGAGTTGTCAGTCTGCCCCTTCTGGGGGGTGCCTCCCAGTTAGGCTGCTCAGGTGTCAGGGGTCAGGGACCCACTTGAGGAGGCTGTCTGCCCATTCTCAGATCTCCAGCTGCGTGCTGGGAGAACCACTGCTCTCTTCAAAGCTGTCAGACAGGGACATTTAAGTCTGCAGAGGTTACTGCTGTCTTTTTGTTTGTCTGTGCCCTGCCCCACAGCCGGAGCCTACAGAGGCAGGCAGGCCTCCTTGAGCTGTGGTGGGCTCCACCCTGTTCAAGCGTCTGTGCTGCTTTGTTTACCTAAGCAAGCCTGGGCAATGGCGGGCGCCCCTCCCCCAGCCTCGCTGCGGCCTTGCAGCCTGATCTCAGACTGCTGTGCTAGCAATCAGCGAGACTCCGTGGGCGCAGGACCCTCCAAGCCAGGTGGGGGACACAATCTCCTGGTGCGCTGTTCTTTAAGCTCGTCGGAAAAGCGCAGTATTCGGGTGGGAGTGATCCGATTTTCCAGGTGCCATCTGTCACCCCTTTCTTTGACTAGGAAAGGGAACTCCCTGACCCCTTGGGCTTCCCGAGTGAGGCAATGCCTCACCCTGCTTCGGCTCGAGCATGGTGTCTGCACCCACTGACCTGCGCCCACTGTCTGGCACTCCCCAGTGAGATGAACCGGGTACCTCAGATGGAAATGCAGAAATCATTCGTCCTCTGCGTCGCTCACGCTGGGAGCTGTATACCAGAGCTGATTCCACTCAGCCATCTTCTATTTAACTCATGATTGTATTTTTCAATGTGAGAAGAACATGAGATTTTGGAGGGGCCCAGGGTGGAATGATATGGTTTGGATGTGTGTCTCTACCTGAATCTCATTTTCAACTGTAATCCTCACTGTTGTTGGTGAGGCATGGTGGAAGGTGATTGGATCATAGAGGTAATTTCCCTCATGTTGTTCTCATGATAGTGAGTGAGTTCTCACAAGATCTGATGGTTTTATAAGAGTTGACAGTTCCATCTATTCACACATACTCTCTCTCACCTTTTGCCATGCAATACATACCTCTTCTCCTTCTGCCATGGTTGTAAGTTTCCTGAGGCCTTCCCAGCCATTCAGAACTGTGAAGCAATTAAACCTTTTCTAAAATAAATTACCCAGTGATATGGTTTGGCTGTGTCCCCCCGAAATCTCATTTTGAATTGTAGTTCCCATATTACCCACATGTCATGAGGTGGGGCTGGTGGGAAGTAATTTAATCATCATGGGTTGTTACCCTCATGTGGTTATCATGACAGTGAGTGAGTTTTCATGAAAGCTGATGGTTTTATAAGGGGCTTTCTCCCTTTGCTTGGCACTTGTTTTTGCTGCTGCCAAGTGAAGAAGGACGTGTTTGTTTTCCCTTCCTCCATGATTATAAGTTTCCTGAGGCCTCCCAAGCTATGCTGAACTTGAGTCCATTACACCTCTTTTCTTTATAAATTAACCATTCTCGGGTATGCGTTTTATTAGCAGAATCAGAATGGACTAATACAGTAAATTGTTACCACAGACAGTGGGGCGCTGCTATAAGGACACCCAAAATGTGGAAGTGACTTTGGAACTGGGTAACAGGCAAAGGTTGGAACTGTTTGAAGGGCTCACAAGAAGAGAGGAAAAGGTGGGAAAGTTTGGAACTTCCTGGAGAATTAGAGGGCTCAGAAGACAGGAAGATGTGGGAAAGTTTGGAACTTATTAGAGACTTGTTGAATAGCTTTAACCAAAATGCTGATAGTGATATGGACAATAAAGTCCAGGCTGAGGTAGTCGCAGATGGAGATGAGAAACTTGTTGGAAACTGGAGCAAAGGTGACTCTTGTTATCTTTTAGCAGAGAGACTGGCAGCATTTTTCCCCTGCCCTAGAGATCTGTGGAACTTTGAACTTGAGGAAGATGATTTAGGGTATCTGGTGGAAGAAATATCTAAGCAGCAAAGCATTCAAGTGGAAGCAGAGCATAAAAGTTTGAAAAATTTGCAACCTGATGATACAATAGACAAGAAAAAACCCACTTTTTTGAAATAAATTCAAGTCTGTTGCAGAAATATGCATAATTAACAAGAAGCTGAATGTTAATCACCAAGACAATGAGGAAAATATCTCTAGGGTATGTCAGAGACCTTCAGAGCAGCCTCTCCAATCACAGGCCTAGAGGTCTAGGAGGAAAAAAATCATTTTGTAGACTGGGCCCAGGGCGCCCCTTCTCTATGTAACCTCATGACCTGGTGCCCTGTGTACCAGTTGCTTCGGCTCCAGCCATGTCTATAACGGCCAATGTACAGCTCAGGCCTTTGCTTCAGAGGGTTCAAGCCCCAAGCCTTGGCAGCTTACATGTGATGTTGGTCCTGTGGTTGCACAGAAATCAAGAATTGATGTTTGGGGAACTCTGCATAGATTTCAGAGGATGCAAAGGAATGCCTGAATGTCTGTACAGAAGTTTGCTGCAGGAGTGGAGCCCTCATGAAGAACCTCTGCTAGGGCAATATGGAAGAAAAGTTTGGAGCCCCCACACAGAGTCTCCACTGGGGCACTGCCTAGTGGAGCTGTGAGAAGAGGGCCACTGTCCTCCATACCTCAGAATGGTAGATTCACTGACAGCTTTCACCATGCACGTGTAAAAGCCACAGATAATGACAGGCTGTTAAAGCAGCTGGGATGGGAGCTGTACCCTGCAAAGCCACAGGGGTGGAGCTCCTTAAGACTGTGGCACTTCACTTCTTGCATCGGCGTGCCCTAGGTGTGAGACATGGAGTCAAAGGAGATGATTTCAGAGCTTTAAGATTTAATGACTGCCTCACTGGATTTCCGACTTGCATGGGGACTGTAGCTCCTTTGTTCTGGCAAATTTCTTTCTTTTGAAATAGGAGCATTTATTCAATGCCTGTACCTCCATTGTGTCTTGGAAGTAACTAACTTGCTTTTGATTTTACAGGCTCCTAGATGAAAGGGTCTTGTCTTGTCTCAGATGAGACTTTGGATTTAGATTTTTGAGTTAATGCTGAAATGAGTTAAGACTTTGGGGGACTATTGGGAAGGCATGATTGGTTTTGAAATTGAAGACATGAGATTGAGAGGGGCAAGGAGCAGAATTATACGGTTAAGCTTTGTGTCCCCAACCCAGTTTCATCCTAAATTGTAGTCCTGATAATCCCCACATGTCATAAAGGGGACCCGGTGGGACATAATTTAATCATTGGGGTGGCCACCCTCATGCTGTTCTCATGATAGTGAGTGAGTTCTCACGAGATCTGATGGTTTTATAAAAGGCTTTTTCCCCTTTTGCTTAGCAATTCTTTTGCTGCCGCCATGTGAAAAAGGATGTGTTTGTTTCCCCTTTCCTTATGATTTTAAGTTTCCTGAGGGCTCTCCAGCCATGCTGAACTGTGAGTCAATTAGATCTCTTTTTTATATATATTACTGAGTTTCAGGTATGTCTTTATTAGCAGCATCAGAATGGACTAATACACCCAGTCTTTTGTATCTCTTTATAGCAATGTGAAAATGGACTAATACAATGGCGTTGGTTTCTAATGGTTTAACACTATCACCCTGAGTGCTGTTCTCCTAACAGTGAGTGAGTTCTCATAATATTTGGTTGTTTTAAATATGTGTAGTACCTTGCTCCCTTCTGTTTCTCCTGGCTGGCCATGTGAAGATGTGCCTGCTTTTCCCTTACCTTCTGCAATGATTTTATGTTTCTGAGGCCTCCCTAGCCATCCTTTATGTACAGCCTGCAGAATTATGGGCTAGTTAAACCTCTTTTCTTTATAAATTACCCAATCTCGGGTATTTCTTTATGGCAGTGCAAAAATGTGCTAATACAGATGGCAAGGAAACTCAAAGAGATTCTAGACATAGTTGAAAATCAACACACAAAAAAACTTCTAAAGCAATACAGGAAATAAAGCAGAGATCAATATCTTTAAAAGAAGTAAACCAGTGCTTCTGGAATTGAAGCACTCATTTAGGAAATTTCAAAAATACATTGGAAAGCTTTATCATTTGCCTGAATGAAGCAGAAGAAAGAATAATACAGTTTGAAGAACAGTCTTCTGGACTAAACAAGTCAGATGGAAATAAAGAAAAAAAGGCTTTCCTTTTATCATTTAAATTTAACTTTTATTTTAAGTTCAGGGGTACATGTTGTGTGGGTTTGTTATATAGGTAAATTTGTGTCATATGTGTTTGTTGTACAGATTATTTCATCATCCAGATATTAAGTTTAGTACTCATTAGATTTTTTCCTGATTCCACCCTTTGATAGGCCACAGTGTGTGTTGTTTTCCTCTATGTGTCCATGCATTCTCATCATGTAGCTTTCACTTATAAGTGAGAACATGTGGTATTTGGTTTCATGTTTCTGCATTTGTTTGTTAAGAATAATTACCCGGGCTCCATCCATGTTCCTGCAAAGGGCATAATCTCATTCTTGAAAAAAGAAATTTTAAAAATGAACAAAGCTTTTGAGAAACATGTGATTATGTAAAATGACCAAAGATACAAATTATTGGCTCTCCTGAGAGTGATAGAGAAAAAGTAAACAACCTGGAAAACATGTTTGAGGAAATAATTTAAGAAAAATTTCTTAATCTTGCTAGAGAGATAGATATCCAGATACAAAACGTCTGGTGGAGAACGCCTGCAAGATACTACACAAAATGAACATCACCAAGCTATATAGTCACCAGACTGTCCAAGATCAATGCTAAAGAAAAGAAAAATCTTAAAGGCAGCTAGAGAAAAAGGTCAGATCACATACAAAGGGAACATCATCAGGCTAACAGTGAACTTCTCAGCAGAAACCTTACAAGCCAGAAGACATTTGGGGGCCTACTTTTAGTATTATTAGAAAAAAATAAACCAGGAATTTTTATAACCTGCCAAACTAAGCTTCATAAGTGAAGGAGAAATAAAATATTTTCCAGACAAGCTACTGCTAAAATAATTTATTACACTAAACCAGCCATACAGGAGATTCTTAAGGGAGTTCTAAACATGGAAATAAAAGAGCAATACCTGCTATGACAAAACCATATTTAAGTACATAGCTCACAGATTCTATAAAGCAACTATACAATAGAAACTACAAAGGAACTAGCTAACCACTTTATGATAAAATCAAAGCATCACATATGAATATTAACCTTGAATGTAAACAGTCTAAATGTCCCATGTAAATGGCGCAGAGTGGCAAACTGCATTAAAAAGTGACCCAATTATCTGCTGTCTTCAGGAGACCCATCTCATTTACCAACAACCATAGGCTCAAAGTAAAAGGTTGGAGAAGGATTTACCAGCCAAACAGAAAACAAATAAGCACAGGAGTGTTATTCTTATATGAGATAAAACAGGCTTTAAACCAACAACAGTAAAAAAGAACAAAGAAGGGCATTAAATAATGGTAACAGGTTCAATTCTCTAAGAAGTTTTATCTATTTTAATATATCTCTACCCAACTTTGGAGCACACAGTTTTATAAACCAAGTACTTCCAGACCTACCAAAGACTTAGGTAGCCACACAATAATAGTGAGGGACTTTAACACCCCCATTAACAGCATTAGGGAGATCATTGAGGAAGAAAATTAACAAATAAATTCTTTAGTTAAATTCAACACTTGGCCACTTGGACCTAATAGATATCTGCAGAATAATCCACCCATCAACCACAAAATATATATTCATGTCATTCACACACTGAACATACTCCAAAATCAACCACATGCTCAGCAACAAAGTAGGTCTCAATTTAATTGAAAAAAAAAAAAAAAAAAACAAAATGAAACCAACCATACTCTAAGACCACAGTAGAATAAAAATAGAAATCAATATCAAGGGGATCTTGGAAACTACAGAATTACATGGAAATTTTAAAAACTTGCTCCTGAATGACTTTTGGGAAAACAACAAATTTAAGGTAGAAATTAGAACATTCTTTGAAATTAATGAAAACGGAGACACAACATTCCAAAATCTGTGGGATACAACAAAAGCAGTGTTAAGAGAAAAGTGTATAGCGATAAATGCCTACCTCAGAAAGGCTTCTCAAATTACCAATCTAACATAAAACTTAGAAGAACTACAAAAACAATAACAAATTAACCCCAAAGCAGGTAGAAACAAAGAAATAACTAAAATCAGAGCAGAACTGAACAAAATTGAGTCCCAAAAATCCATACAAAGGGTCAACAAAACCAAAAATTGGTTTTTTGAAAGAATAAACAAGATGAATAGACTACTAGCTAGATTGACAGAGAAAGAAAAGAGCCAAATAAGCACAATCAGAAATCACAAAGGTGATATTACCACTGATCCCAGAGAAATACTGAAAATTCTTAGAAACTATGATGGGCACCTCTATGTATCTAAACTAGAACATGTAAAGGAAATTGATAAATTCCTGGTAACAAAGTTTCCCAATATTGAATCAGGAAGAAATTGACATCCTGAACAGACTAATATCGAGTTCCAAAATTGAATCAGTAAAAATAAAAATAAAAAACATACCAACCAACCAAACAACAACAACAACAATGAAAAACTCCAGACCAGGTGATTTCAGAGTTGAATTCTGCCAGACATACAAAGGAGAGATGGGACCAAGTCTACCTAAGCTATACATAAAAATCAAGGAGGAGGGACTCCTTCTTGACTTATTCTATAAAGCCAGCATTACTCTAATACCAATACCTGGCAAAAACATAAAAGGGGGAAAAAAACTAGGCCACTATTCCTGATGAACATAGACACAAAAATCCTCAACAAAATATTAGCAAACCATATCCAGGAGCACATCAAAAAGTTAATTCACCATGTTCAAGTAGGCTTTATTGCAGTGATACAAGGAAATTGTTTCAAAATACACAAATCAATAAATGGGATTCATCATATAAACAGAATTAAAAACAAAGACTATATGATCATCTCAATAGGCTTGGAAAAAGCTTTTGATAAAATCCAACATCCATTCATGGGAAAAACCCTCAACAAACTAGGAATGAAAGGAACATACCTCAAAATAATAAGCATCACTTATGACAAACCCACAGCCAACATTGTACTGAATCGGCAAAAATTGGAAGCCTTACTTTGACAACTGGAACAAGACAAGGGTTCCCACTCTCAATACTCCTATTTAGCATAGTACCGGAAGTCCTACCAGAGCAGTCAGGCAAGAGAAAGAAATAAAATGTATCTGAATAGGAAAAGAAGAATAAAAATACTGTTTTTCATGAACAATGTAATTCCATACCTAGAAAAGCCCGTAGTCTCTGCCCAAAAGCACCTAGAACTTATAAATAACTTCATCAAAGTTTCAGGAAACAAAATCTAGGCATAAAAATCAGTAACATTTGCATACACCCATAATGTACATGCTGAGAACCAAATCCAGAATGCAATCCCATTTACAGTCCTACAAAAAAGTAAAATACATAAAAATACATGTTACCAAGGAAGTAAAACATCTCTACAAGGAGAACTAAGAAACACTGCTAAAAGAAATCATAGATTACACAAACAAATGGAAAAATATTCTATACTCATGGATTGGAAGAATCAATATCATTGAACTAGCCATACTGCCCAAAGCAATGTACGGAATTAATGTTATTCCTACAAAAATACCATTAAAATTCTTCACAGAACTAGAAAAAGTATTTTAAAATTCATATGGAACCAATAAATAGCCTGAATAGCCAAAGCAATCCTAAGCAAAAGGAACAAAGCTGGAGGCATCATATTACCTGACTTCAAACTCTACTATAAGGCTATAGTAACCAAACCAGTATGGTACTGGTACAAAAACAGTCATATAGACCAATGGAACAGAATACAGAACCTAGAAATAAAGCCAACCATTTCCACTCATGTGATCTTTGACAAAGTCGATCAATATAGGTAATCATGAAAGGACCCATTATTCAATAAATGGTGCTAGATAGCCACATGCAGAACAATGAAACCAGATCATTAACTTTAACCATATACAAAAACTAACTCAAGATGGTTTAAAGATTAAAATGTGTGACCTCAAACTATAAGAATCCTAGAAGAAAACTTAGGAAACACCATTCTGGACATCAGCCTTGGGAGAGAATTTATGACTAAATCCTCAAATGCAATTGCAACAAAAACAAAATTGACAAGTGAGACCTGATTAAGCTAAAGAGATTTTGTACAGCAAAAGAAACTATCAAAAGAATAAACAGACAACCTACAGAATGGAAAAAATATTCACAAACTATGCTTAAGGCAAAGGGGTAATATCCAGAATCCATAAGATGCTTAAACAATTGATGAACCAATAATAATAATAATAATAATAATAAATAATAATGACATACAATTGGCCAATAAACATATGACAAAATGCTCTGTATCATTAATCATCAGAGAAATGCAAATCAAAATCACAATTAGATATCATTTCACACCAGTCAGGATGATTATTATTTAAAAAATGAAGAAACAACAGATGTTGGTGAGACTGCAGAGAAAAGGTAATGCTTATACTCTTTTGGTGGAAATGTAAATCAGTTCATCCACTGTGGAAAGCAGTTTGGAGATTTATCAAGGAACTTAAAACTGAACTGCCATTTGACCCAACAATCCCATTACTTTGTGTATATCCAAAAGAAAACAAACCATTGTCCCAAAGAAAGACACATGCATTTGTATGTTCATTGCAGCACTAGTCACAACAGCAGAAACATGGAATCAACCTAGGTGCCCATCAATGGTGGATTGGAAAAAGAAATGTGAAATATGTGTATATATATATATATATATATATATATATATATATATATAGAGAGAGAGAGAGAGAGAGAGAGAGAGAGATCTATATCTATATATCTATATATATAGATATAGAGATCCATATATATAGATATAGAGATCTATATATATATATACACACACACATCTCACATATATATCTATATATGCACCATGTAGTGCTACTCAGTCCTAAAAGGAATAAAATCATGTCCTTTAGAGCAAGGTGCATGGAGTTGGTGGCTTTTTTTTTAAGTAAATAAACTCACGAAGAGAAAACCAAATACTGCATGATCTCTATTATAAGTGGTAGTAAATATTGGGTACTCATGAACATATTAATGGCAACAGTAGAAACTGGGACTACTAGAAGGGAGACTGAGAGGGAAAGCCAGGGTTGAAAAACTGTCTACTGGGCACTATGCTGAGTAACGGGGTGATGGGATCATCTGCACCCCAAACCTCAGCATTCTGCAATATACCCAGGTGACAAACCTGCAGAAGTAACCCCTGAATCTAAAATAAAATTTAAAAATTAAAGAAATAAAAATTCCAAATGCAATAAAATTCAAGTCATTTTTGAGGGCCTCCCATAAGTCATAGAATAATGTGAAAATTTCACTTCTAATATGAGGTTATAGAAAATAAATAAATAAATACTGAAAAAGTATATAAAAGCCTTATGTGGTGCTTAAATAATGGGGTTATCAATAAAATAAGCATTATCTATGTCTGCTTATTACACTTGAAATCTGGTGGCTCTGTGGTTTCTGTATTAACCTTGGGTGAGAAGTTTTTTTTTAATTGGAAAATGAAATATTCTGTAGTTATCCACTGGTTTTGGTTCTAACTCCTCTGAGGCAATACAGCACAAAGAATTTGACTCTGTTTTTGAAATGGAGTAGGACAAAATACATCGAGAAGGAAAACCCTGAAAATTAATGACTTAATACATTATACTGCTACACATGTGAAACTTAGAGCTGTTGAGTAGACATTTCAGTGATACCCATACGTTAATCTCCCCAGATCTCTGCAATGTCTCCTTTTATGGTTACTACTTTGTTCTAATCTACAAAGCTGAGCCCAAATCCACAGAGATGGGCCTTACTCAATGTGATGGTCATTTTTTATATGTCAAGTTGGCTGGGCTGCAGTTCCCCATTATTCAATCAAACACCAATTGCTGCTGTAAAGGTGTTTTGTATATGTGATTAAAGTCCACAGTCAGTTAACTTTAAGTAAAGGAGGCTATCCTAGGTAATCTGGAAGACTCTTATCTACTTAGTTAGAAGGCCCTAAGAAAAGAGTGGAAGATTCCCTGAAGAAAAATAAATTTTGCCTGTGGATAATAGCCTCACATTGTGCCCAACAGGTTTCGTCTATCCTTCCTGATTATCTGCGCTCTGGATGTTTTATTTGACTAGCCAGATCTCACAGTCATGTAAGCCAATTCCTTACAACAAACCTCTTAATATATATCTTACATGTATTATTATTTATAATACCTCTATGTCTCTACATTTATTATCTATAAAATAGTCTTTACCACTTAAAAAGTATTATATAATCCTGTTCCCATTCTTCCCAGGCATACCTGATGGATTCAGAGATAGATACACCTAATTCAAACAAGGGCCAATCAGATTCTGTCTCTTGTAAGGTTGTAATTTTGAACTCAGACATAGGGAGGCCAAAAGTAGGTAACTGAATCACTTTCATGGCAATGTATTAGAAGGAAGACTCAGCAACTCCTATTGCTAAGGTCCCAGAGCTTCTGTGGTACCTCCAATTCTGTACATTTATATTTTTTTTGCTTAAGTAAGATAAAGTTGATGTCTGATTTTTGTAACCTGACAATTATAAAGAAAGGTACATGGGAGTACCTGGAGTAGTATGACTCTTGGTAGTATTTTTTTTCTTACCACAGTATAAAGTATTAGCTCTCCCTGATGTTCTCCACTGTAATTCTGGCTTACATATAAATATAATTAAAACTAAATACCTAAGGCCAGAAGTGGTGGCTCATGCCTGTAATCCCAGCACTTTGGGATTGCCAAAGCAGGTGGATCACCTGACATCAGGAGTTCGAGACCAGTTTGACCAACATGGAGAAACCCCATCTCTACTAAAAATACAAAATTAGCTGGGCGTGGTGGCATGCGCCTATAATCCCAGCTACTCAGGAGGCTGAGGCAGGTGAATCACTTGAACCAGGGAGGGAGAGGTTGCAGTGAGCTGAGATTGTGCCATTGCACTCCATCCTGGGCAACAAGAGTGAAACTCTGTCTCAAAAAATATATACTAAATATCTAAAGAATAATATAAATAATCAGAGTAAAAATAAATAGAACTCCAGAAAACAATTACAGGATTTCCTAATGAATATTAGAAGATATCCAGAAGGAATATGTGACTATGGATTTTAAAGATTCTCTACCAAGAGAAGCAAAACATAATTTTGGATTGGGCTGACACTAGAGACATCTCATTCAATATGCTAGCCAGGCCTCAGGCTAAGGTTCTCATGGTTTTCTGAGTTGGCTGATGCAAAACAGGTTCAGAGATGGCTACTCTAGCTGCCACTGAAGGAATAAGAATGAGTTCATATATTACAGGACAAGAAAACATAGTGAAACAAGTAACACCAAGGGTCCATCCCTCAAAAGAAATGCAAAATAATTGAGCAAGAATCTGTCAAAGCCAACTTTTTAAGAGCTCAGGAAAATAATCAAAGTTTAACAACAACCAAGAAAAACTGGATCAAGAAAAAGACAACTTATAAATGGGATAAAAGCTTTACAGCATTTTTAATTGCCCTTACCCTAATGCCTCCCCAGATAAGCTATAGTCTTGGAGTGAGCAATATGCATTTCCAGTATAATTTCTTGTTCCTGGTTCCTGAGAAAACAGAATAGATCTTATTCTAAAATAATTCTGTTTTTCTGTCTTGACCCGCCTGGGGGCTAGCTGAAGGACTGATGCAAGGGACTCATCTCTGCATCATCTATGTAGTAACCTTCTCAATAAGGAAACGTGGCTATGCAGAGAACATTTCTAAAAAGCATTGCAAGCCAAATGAACAACCTGCTGCCACCTCTGGCAAAACATTAGTGGACATTGTTAAAGAAAAATAATTCATGATACCTGTTGAACACAGTAAAGCATATTTTATTCAAGAGGACCACAAAAATGGGGTATTGTAGTAGATGAGAGAGATTGAACTCAAATCCAAATACAACAAGTGGAGATTTATAGCCAAGAAGCAGGATGGAGATCAGTGGATGGAATATTATTAAGAAGAAACATTATGGGTAAGGAAGATTTTGGCCATATTGAGTTGACAAGATTATTACTGAAGCCACGTCAGAGTGATAAGTTATTGGGAATGAGGGATAATGAATTTGATAACATATCAAGGGTGAGGAATTTTTGCTAAACTGATCCAGCAGTATTTTTGCTGTGAACTAAGCAGGCAAAGACACTAGACTAAGTACAGAGCCTAAGGTTAGGGAATAGTCAGAAAGAGGACTCAGAGAAGCCCAACTCAAATTTTATCAAAGGATAGAGTTCTTACCTTTGTCAAAATAATCAATAGACATGTTGAAAGCTTGTAAGGAAAAGCTGGGGAGAGTTTCTGTGGGAAGTTAAGGCATTCTAAAGCATGCACATATATTTGGAAAGCTAGAAAGATACAAATATACCAAAGGCAGGACACAGCTCACAATACAGCTTAAGAAGACTCTAAGCTTTCCACCTTTGGCTGATCTCTAGGCTCAGCACAAACAGCAGGGTAAGGATAAGGTAGAGTTGCAAACAGCTTGGTTAAGTGTTGAAGGAGTGCCCCAACACAAAGCGAATCTGCAATACGTGAGAGATTTTTTTTCTTTCTTTTTCTTTAAATACATACACTCAAGGAAATCTCTGTTAAGAAAATAAAAAAAAGAAAAACACTAGCTGACCACAAGGTATAAGGAAAGAGACTTCAGAGACCACATGGACACTACAAAAATAGTTTAGAAAAGCCACTAAACAAACAACCACAGCCCACAGTGAGCAAGAAAAACAAACCCCGAAGCAGGGACATATCTAATTTTCAGAATTCCCATATTATAATCTTTAAAATGTTGAGATGCTATCAAAAATTATGAGTCATGAAAATAAGAAAGTATAACCTATGCACAGAACATTTTAACTAAAATGTCCCTGAGGAGGTCCAGACACACTGGATTTATTCCACAAAGATTAGTAACTCTCCTGTTTTATATACGCACAAAGAGCTAAAAGAAACCAGGAAAATGATGTCTCAATAAATGTAGAATATCAATAAAGAAATAGAAATTATAAAAAGGAACTGAAGTTCTGAAATTGAAAAGTACAATAAGTGAAAAGACAAAAAATCAGTAGACAAGCTCAGCAGCAGACCTGACCATGCAAAAGAAAGAAACAGCATATTTGAAGATAGGACTACTGAAAATTATCCAATTTGAGGAGCAGAAAGAAAAAAGAATGAAGAAAAATGAACAGAGTTTAAAAGACCAGTGGAACATCATCAAGTGTGCCAAAAAGCACACAATGGAAGTTTCAGGAGAGGAGAAAGAGAAAGGGAAAGCAAAAATGTTTTAAGAAATAATGACCAAAGCCTTCCCAAATTTAAAAAGTAGTGATGAATCTACTATTCCAAGAAGCTCAATGAATCCCAAGAAGGATACATTAAAAAATATTAGGTTGGTGCAAATGTAATTGCGGTTTTTGCATTGTTGGAATTTGCTGTTTGATATTTGAATACATTCTTAAATAAATGTGGTATGTTATACATCATTTTAATGGGCTTTTCTCATTTTATTTTTTGCCAATAATTTATTACTTGCTGTTTATTTTATGTTTATTTTAGACAATGTAAATGATGTTAGACAAAAACCAAATTTGAGTAATTTAATTATTTGGATTCAAAATGGGGTCGTAAAGCAGCAGAGACAACTTGAAAAATCATCAATGGATTTGGCCCAGGAACGTCTAACAACTGTACAGTACAGTGGTGGTTCAAGAAGTTTTACAAGGAGACAAGAAACCTGAAGTTGAGGAGCTCAGTGGCTGTCCATCAGAAGTTGACAATGACCAACTGAGAAAAATTATCGAAGCTGATCCTCTTACAACTGCATGACGAGTTGTTGAAGAACTCAACGTTGGTCATTCTACAGCGGTTTGGCATTTGATGAAAACAGGAATAGTGAAAAAGCTCAGTAAATAGGTGCCTTATGAGCTGAGCGAAAATCCAAAAAATGGTCCTTTTAAAGTGTCGTCTTGTCTTATTCTATGCAACAACAATGAACCATTTCTCAATCGGATTGTGATGTGTGACAAAAAGTGGATTTTATACAGCAACCAGTGATGACCAGCTCAGTGGTTGGACTGAGAAGAAGCTTCAAACCACTTCCCAAAGCCAAACTTGCACAAAAAAAGTCACGGTCACTCTTTGGTGGTATGCTGCCTGTCTGATTTACTATAGCTTCTTGAATTCTGGCAAAACTATTACGTGTGAGAAGTATGCTCAGCAATTCAATGAGATGCACCAAAAACTGCAACACCTGCAGCTGGCATTGGTCAACAGAAAGGGTCCAATATTTCTCCACAACAACACCTGACCACATGTCACACAACTAACTTTTCAAAAGTCGAACAAATTAGTCTACAAAATTCTGCCTCATCCACCATATTCACCTGACCTCTTGCCAACTGACTGCCACTTCTTCAAGCATCTCGACAGCTTTTGGCAGGGAAAAATGCTTCCATAACTTGTAGGATGCAGAAAATTCTTCCCAAGAGTTGATCAAATACTGAAGCATGGATTTTTACAGGAATAAACAAACTTATTTCTCATTGGCAAAAATATGTTGATTGTAATGGTTCCTATTTTCATTAGTAAAGATGCATTTGGGCCTGGTTGTAGTAATTTAAAGTTCATGACCTAAAACCACAATTACTTTTGCAGCAAACTAATATACATACACCAAGACACATTGAATTTTTTTTGAGACAGAGTATCACTCTCTTGCACAGGCTGGAGTGCAGTAGCTGCAATCATGGCAAACTGCAGCCTCCACCTTTCTGGGCTCAGATTATCCTCCTACTTCAGCCTCCCAAATAGCTGGGACTACAGGCATGCACAGCCATGCCCAGTTAATTTTTGTATTTTTTTTTTTGGTAGAGACAGGGTCGCCCTATGTTGCTCAGGCTGGTCTCAAATTCCTGGGCTCAAATGATTCATCTACTTCAGCCTCCCAAAGTGCTGGGATTACAGGCATGAGCTCCCATACCTGGCTGACACACTGAATCTTAAAAGCAGCAAGAGAGAAGTAACTTACCACATAAAAGGGATCCTCAATAAGATTAACAACCAATATCATGAAAAACCATGGAGGACAGAAGGAAATGTGATAGCATAATTACAGTGCTGAAGGAAAAACAAAAACATGTGAACCAAGAATTTCATTTATAGCAAAATTTCCTTCAAAAAATGAAGAAATTGAAACATCCCAGATAAACAAAAGCTGATGGAATCTGTCAGTAGTACACTCACCCTAAAAGAAATGCTGAAGAGAGTCCCTCTGGCTGAAATGAGAGGGTACTGGATAATAACTTTAAGACATACAAGAAATTGGGTAAAATTATTATAGCTACCTAGGTAAACATAAAAGTATTATTGTATTATATAGTATTATTTGCATTATTGGTTTGTAATGCTGCTTTTTCTCACATATGACATTTTTTTGAGACAGAACCTTACTCTGTCACCCATCAAGAGATGCTCCTACCTCAGCTTCACAAGTAGCTGGGGCTATGGACATAAATCATCATGCCCAGCTATTTTTAAAAAATTGTAGAGATGGGGTGTTACTATGTTACTCAGGCTTTTCTCAAACTCCTGAGCTCAAGTGATCCCCTGCTTCAGCCTCCCTAAGTGCTGGGATTTCAGGCACACAATGGTTTTAAAAAGAAATGCATAAAATAATAATTATCAATGTATGTTAACGGATAACCAATGTAAAAATGGTAAAAACTTTTTATGACAACATTGCAAAAAGAGGAATGGAGCTCTATAGGAGCAGAGTTTTTGTATGCAATTAAAGCAAAGGTGGTATTAATTCAAAATATATTGTTATAAATCTAATTGTATATTTATTTGTTATATATTACACATATATACTACAAAAATAATTGTAACCCCCAAGGCAATTGTTAAGAAAATAACTAAAATATGCACTAAAGTAAATGAGAAAGGAATTAAATGGGACTCTACAATGAAATACAAAGAGAGGCAGTAATGGAGGAAATGAAGGAACAAGAAAGATATAAGACATATAGAAAACCAATAAAAAATAGGCAGAATTCCTTCCTTATGAATAATTACTTTAAAAGTAAATGGATACCACATCACACCCATTAGGATGGCTACTACGATATTTAACCATATATGTCAACTTAACTGGGCAACAGGGAAACCAGATATTTGGTCAAACAGTATTCTGTGTTTCTGTGAAGGTGTTTTTAGATTAAGGTAGCATTTCAACCAGTAGACTGAGTAAAAAAGATTGCCCTCAATAATGTGAGGAAGCTCATACACTTAATTGAAGACCCAAATAGAACAAAAAGGCTGACTCTTCACTGAGCAAGAGAGAATTCTTTCTGCCTGATGGACTTCTAACTGAGACAATTACTTTATTCCTTCTTCAGAATTGAAGTAAAACACTGGATATTCCTGGGTCTAGAGTCTGCCAGCCTTTAGACTGGAACTAAACCATTGGCTCTTCTGGGTCTGCAGATTGCTAATGCAGCCTGTAGATCTTAGGACTGGCCATCCATAATTGCATGAGCCAATTCCTTATGATCTTATAATAAATCATATATAAATAAACAAATAAATCATATATATAATACATATGATTATATATATAATTTTATATATTATATAATTGTATGTTTATATAATTATATAAATTATATAAAATTTATAAAATTTTAATTATATATACATAAAAAATTCAGGGTTCTCCAGAGAAACAGAACCAATCATCTATGTATGTATGTATGTATATATATATCTATCTGAATAATACAGCCACTATCTTGAAAACAAGGCAGAAAACAAGTGGTGGTGAGGATGTGAGGAAATTGGAACCCTTGTGCACTGTAGACTGGAATGTAAAATGGTGTGACCAGTATGAGAAACAGTATGGTGATTTTTAAAAAATATTTAAAAATTTTGCCATATGATTCAGCAATTCCACTTTTGGATATACACTCAGAAAAATGGAAAGCAGAGTCTCAAAGAGACGTACAGGGTCTCAAAGAGGTGTACTATTTGATGTTTTAATATATGTATACATTGTGAAATGATTACCAATATCAAACTAATAAGCATATCCATCACCTCCTATAGTTACCATTTTTTATGGTGATAAATTAAGGGACTCATTTTAGATACAAAGGCACAAATACATTAAAAGTGAAAGGATCAAAATGATATTTCATATAAATAGTAACAAAGTGAGAGTTGGGATGGATTTATTAATATCTGAAAAAATAGACAGATCAAAAGCTGTTAAAAGAGATAAAGAAAACATATAGGTATATAGATGATAGATAGATAGATACATAGATAGATAGATAGATGGATAGATAGATAGATTGATCAATCCACCAAGAAGATACAATAATTATAAACATATGCACACAAAAAATCAAGGACTAAAATATATAAAGCAAACTGATTGAACTAGAGGGTGAAAAACACACTTCTAAAATATTTGGAGACTTTAATATTCCAATTTCAATAATGAACAGAATAACTACACAAAAGATAATTAAAAAAATAGTGGACTTGAACAACACTGTAAGCCAACTAGACCTAACAGACACATACAGGATATTCTCCTCAACAATACTGAAATACGTGTTTTCCTCAACTTCACATGTAACATTCTTCTGGATAGATCATATGTTAGGTCACAAAATAAATCTGAATGAATTTAAAAAATTGAAATAGCACCAACCACAATGGAGTGAAATTAGATATCAATAATGGAAGAACATTTCCGAAATTCACAAATATGTAGAAGTTAACACACCCACAAATAATCAATGGTTCTATGAAGAAATCATAAGGGAAATTACAAATACTTTGAGATAAATGACAATAAAACCTCAACATAACAAAACTTATGGGATACAGTGAAAGCAGTCCTTAGAGGAAAATTCATAGTTGTAGATGCTTACATTAAAAAAGAAATAAAAACTTTGTGCCAGCAAGATGGTAGAATAGGACTTACTGGCACTCATCCCCTATCAGAAACATCAATTTGCAAAATCATCCATGCACACACACAAAAAAAACCTTCCTTCACAAGAGCTAAGGAAACTAGGTGAAATATTATAGTATCTGGATATAGCACAGAAATAAGAAAAGATGGGTGGGGTGCAGTGGCTCATTCCTGTAATCCCAGCACTTTGGGAGGCCGAGGCAGGTGGATCACCTGAGGTCAGGAGTTCGAGACCTGCAGGGAGACCCCCTGAAACTATTTCTATGGAATAAAAGATGAAATGCTCCTGATTATTGTAAATACAAAATTGCATGCAGGATTGTGTAAAGACAATGCCAGGTTGGACTGCCAGAACGAGCCAACAGCGCGTGATGTGCTTCCCCCTGCAGAGAGCCTATGAATGGACGTGCAGCCAGGGAGGTTTCACATCACCAAGATTCCTATCCCAGAAAAGCAGATGTTCATAGCTCTGGGAATGGAATGCGACCCTTGTGGAAAGCCTATAAACGGATGTATGGGGGACGCCTGTCCATGTGGATAAGATAGGGCTATAAACACCCTCATCTTGCCACGGCTCTTCTAGGCCTCTTTAGGGTTAAAGCATACTCCCTTCTGAGAATTTCTGGTCTAACCAGTTGTCTAGCTTCAAGTCCTGTTTCCATGGATTATTTGTAACCAGATTTTGTTGCAGTTGTTACTGCTGATTAATATCTTGCTAATCATAGGTTATGGAAAGACTGTGTTTCTGTTCTAAGGCTGTGTTAGAAATTACTGATGCACACACTATATTGTAAATTCTTACCTCTGTATACTGTACTTCTACATACAAATGTACTGTACTTCTACATAGAAATGTTATGTTAAAGAATTACTTCATCCCCATGTGACCATCTCACCTCATAATCAAATGACCCTAAATCCCTCACTAGCCTACCGCCGCCCTCACTAAGCTTAATAATAAATGCTGGTATATCCAGTGCATTGTTGGCACCGTGGGACCAGAAGGCAGTGACCCCCCCTGGACCCAGCTTTCACTATCTTTTGTGTGTCTATTATTTCTCATCCTGCCGATCTGCCTAGGAGCAGAGAGAGAGCCCCGTTGCATTGTGGGCTGCTGGCCAGATCCCTCAATAGAGACAAGCCTGGCCAACATGGTAAAACCTCGTCTCTACTAAAAATAAAAAAAATTAGCTGGGTGTCGTTGTTGGTGCCTGTAATCCTAGCTACTTGGGAGGCTGGAGCAGGAGGATCGCTTGAACCCAAGAGGTGGAGATTGCAGTGAGACAAGATCGCATCATTGCACTCCAGCCTGGGCAAGAAGAATGAGACTCCATTTCAAAAAACAAAACAAAAAAAAAAATAGAAAAATAAATGATGCATTGAAAAGAATAGGAAGGACAGTTTGCATTACCTGCATCCCCCCCATCCCCAAGCAGAGCAAGACTCCTTTAAAAAAGAAAAATAAAAAGAAATGATGCATTGAAAAGAATAGGAAGGACAGTTTTACATTATCTGCATCAGCCCACCGCCAATTCCAGGTGGCACATTGTGGACAGAGATACCGTCTGTTTGGAGAAAGGAGAAGGAAGTGAGCACAGAACATTGCCTTGACCCCACTAAGAGGCACATCCCAGTAAAATTCAGCACCTAGCAGGATCCTACAGCCCTACACTCCAGGCCAGTGCTCTAGGACTTATTCTCTAGGCCTGCCATGGCACCGGTGGGATTCTGTAGCCCTAGGCTCCAGACCTGTGTGGTGAGCTAGGACTTTGTGCTGCCCCAGGGTCAAGGTAACCCCAGTACCCCTAGGCTCTGGACTGGCCAAGGCACTGGGCCAGCACCAGTAGCCCTAGGCTTTAAGCCTGACCTCTTGCCAGGCCAGGCTCCATAGACAGACTCCAGGTCTGCCTCAGGGCCAGGCTGGGCCAAGCATCCCTGGGTTCTGGACTACACTCATGTGCTGGGCTGACACTTATGGCAACAGGCTTTAGGCCCTTACCAGCACCAGGATGCAACCCAAATCTCTATGTATCAGCCAGAACACATGGAACTAGCTTTCAAGATGACCCCTGCAGACACAGGCTTTAGGCACACCCATTGCCAGGCCAGCTTGTGGTTCCAGGCTCCAGGACCAACTCAGGTTTCAGATCACTCTAGAGCCGGGTCTGCCCACAGAGGCCCAGGCTTCAGGTCATTGGGCTTCCAAAGAGAGTAGGGAAGGACAAAGGGATAAAAGCCTTATTTAAAGAAGTAATAGCAGAAAACTCTCCAATCTGGGGGAAAGACATAAATACCCAGGTAAGGAAGACGTCACCAATCAGATCCAACCCAAATAATACTACCCCAAGACATATTAAAATCAAACTGTCAAAAATCAAGGACAAAGAATTATCATATGACATATATATTATAAGAACTACTGTGTGAGTCAGTAATCCCACCACCAGGCAAGTATCCAAAAGAAAGGAAATCAGTGTATTGAAGAGATATGTGCATTCTTATGTTTATTGCATCACTATTCACAATATCCAAAATATGGAATCAACCTAAGTACCTATCAATGAATGGATAAAAAAGTGGTACATTTACACAATGGGAAAAATAAAATCATGTCATTTGCAGCAATATGGATGGTACTCTAGGTCATTTTGTTAAGTGAAATAGGTCAGGCACAAAAAGACAAATATCGCATGTTCTCACTCATATGTAGGAGCCGAAAAAGTTGATCTAATAAAGGCAGGGAGTGGAAAAATAGATACTAGAATCTGAGAAGTGTGTGTGGGTTAGAAGAATGAAGATAAGTTGGTTAATGGGTAGAAACATACAGTTAGATAGAAAGAATAATTTCAAATGTTCAATAGCAGAGTAGGGTGACTATAGTTAACAACAATGGATTGTATACTTTAAAATACGTAGAAGAGAGGACTTGAAATGTTCCCAAAACATAGAATGATAAAAATTCAAGGTGATGGATACCCTAAATACACTAAATTGATCATTAAATTGTATGCACATATAAAATATTACAAATATTTTATAAATGTGTATGCATATTATGTAACCATAAAAATTTAAAATAAAAAAATTGTAGTCAGCATGGGCTTTGACATTCCAGGGTTGGCAAGTGTGGGAGATGTTGATCACAAGAAACAAAATTTTAGTTAGATAGGAAGAATAAGTTCAAGATATTTATTGTACAACAAGGTGACTATAGTTAATAACAATATATTGTATTGCTGAAAATTGCTAAAATAATTTTAAGTGTTTACCCCACAAAAAATGACAAGTATATGAGGTAACATATATGTTAAGTAGCTCAATTTAGCCATTTTATGGTATATACATGTTTCAAAACATCATATTGTATGCAATAAACATATCATTTTATTTTTCAATTAAAAAATCACCTTAATCAACAAAACTCAAACTACTTTATGCCATAAAGTACTAGAAAAAAGAAAAAACCTCAAATACAATGAAAGGAAGGAAATAAAGATTACAGCAGAGATAAGTGAAATAACAAACAGAAAAACAATGGATAAAATTAATAAAATCAAAATTGGTTATTTGAAAAAATCTATAAATTGAAAAATCTTGAGCTATATTAACTAAAACTTAAGTAGACTCAAGTTAGTAAAACCAGAATTTAATGTGGGGACTTTACTACTAAAGTTACAGAAATAAAAATGATTATGAGAGTATACTATTATAAAAACAATTGTATCCCAACAAACTAGATAGCATAGATGAAATGAAAAAATTTAGATAAACACACAAACTATACAATTAATTCAAGAAGAAATAGGGAATTGGAACAGACTTATAACAAGTAAAGAGATAAAATCATTAATTAAAAGCCTCCTAACAACAACAACAAAAACCCAGGACCATATCACTTCACTTATGAATGCTACCAATCATTTAAAGAGGAATTATGATCCATCCTTCTAAATTTTTTCAACAATTAGAAGAGAAGAAAACACTCCTTAACTAATTCCATTTGGCCAGCATGACCCTGATATCAAAGCCAGACAAAAATATCACATGAAAACCACAGAGAAATATTTTATAAATGTAGTTGTAAACATCCTCAACAAAATTTTAACAAATTCAGCATCATATTAAAGGAATTATATACATCATGATCAAGGGGATTTATCCCAGAAATTCAAGGGTGGCTCATAATATAAAAAAAATCAATGTCATACAGTATGTAAGTAGAATTAATGGGAAAAGCCACGTATAATGAACTCCACTGATGGAGAAAAAACTCTTGGCAACATCCATTACTTATTTATGATAAAAACACATAGCAAATTAGAAATATAAGGGAACTTCCTCAACCAGATAAAGGGCCTTTATGAGAAATTCACAACTAACATCACAGTCAACGTGAAGGATTGAAAGCTTCCTCTCTAAAATTAGGAACAATACATGCATGTCTATTTTTACCATTTTAATTCAAGTACCTGGAAGACCTAGCCAGATCAATCACAAATGAAAAATACCATCATTCAAATTGGAAAGGAAAAAATAAATCTATTTTGTTTGCAGATGTTATGAACTTATACATAGAAAATCTTGAAGAATCTACAAAAAAGTTATTAGAGCTAATAAATTCAATAAAGTTGTAGGATTCAATAAACACACAAAAATTTGATGTATTTTATACACTTACAGTGAGAAATTCTAAAATAAAATTAAGGAAAAAATAATTTATAATAGCATTCAAAAGAATAAAATACCTAGGAATAAATTTCACCAAGCTGATAAAAGACTTGTAAACTAAAAACTGCAAAACAATGCTGAAAGGAATTTAACAAATTCTAAATAAATGGAGATATATCCAGTATTTATGTATTGGAAGACTTAACATTGTTAGGTTGGCAATACCACCGAAAGTGATCTAAAGATTCAAAGATATCCTTATTAAAATTCCAATATCCTTTTTGTTTTTCTGCAGAAATGGAAAAGCCAGTTCTCAAATTGATATGGAATTGCAGTGGCTGTAACAAGTCCAAACAATATTGAAAAAAAAAAAAGAATAAAGTTGGAGGACCCATACTTCTGATTTTCAGACTTACTAAAAAGCTACAATGATCAAAAGAGTATCATATTGGCATATGGATAGACACATAGACTAATGGAATAGAATTGAGAGTGCAGAAATATGCCCATATATCAATGGCCAAATGATTTTTGACAAAGATTCCAAGGTCATTCAATGGGGAATCTATAATGAACTCAAACAAATTTACAAGAAAAAAACAAACAACCCCATCAAAAAGTGGGTGAAGGACATGAACAGACACTTCTCAAAAGAAGACATTTATGCAGCCAAAAAACACATGAAAAAATGCTCACCATCACTGGCCATCAGAGAAATGCAAATCAAAACCACAATGAGATATCATCTCACACCAGTTAGAATGGCAATCATTAAAAAGTCAGGAAACAACAGGTGCTGGAGAGGATGTGCAGAAATAGGAAAACTTTTACACTGTTGGTGGGACCATAAACTAGTTCAACCATTGTGGAAGTCAGTGTGGCGATTCCTCAGGGATCTAGAACTAGAAATACCATTTGACCCAGCCATCCCATTACTGGGTATATACCCAAAGGGCTATAAATCATGCTGCTATAAAGACACATGCACACGTATGTTTATTGCAGCACTATTCACAATAGCAAAGACTTGGAACCAACCCAAATGTCCAACAATGATAGACTGGATTAAGAAAATGTGGCACATATACACCATGGAATACTATGCAGCCATAAAAAAGGATGAGTTCATGTCCTTTGTAGGGACATGGATGAAATTGGAAATCATCATTCTCAGTAAACTATCACAATGACAAAAACCAAACACCATATGTTCTCACTTGTAGGTGGGAATTGAACAATGAGAACACATGGACACAGGAAGGGGAACATCACACTCTGGAGACTGTTGTGGGGTGGGGGTAGGGATAGCATTAGGAGATATACCTAATGCTAAATGAGTTAATGGGTGCAGCACATCAGCATGACACATGTATACATATGTAACTAACCTGCACATTGTGCACATGTACCCTAAAACTTAAAGTATAATAATAATAAAATTTTAAAAAGAAAATTAAAAATGCTTAAAATGAAAAAAAAAAAAGAAATGTCTCTTCAACCAATGGTGCTGGGATAACTTGCTATCCACATAAAAAAAGAATGAAGCTGGAGCCTTAACTCACACTACATAACAAAATTAACTAAAAACAAATCAACAATCTAAATTTAAGAGCCAAACCTCTGTATATACCTTTGTATTAGTCAGGATTTACCAGAGACACAGAACCAATAGAATATGTGTACATATACAGAAAAAAATTATTTTAAAAAATTGGCTCATGTAATAATGGAGGCTAGCAAGTCCAAAATTTGAAGGGCGGACTGGCAAGCTGGATACTCAGGGAAGAGCTAATGTTTCAGTTCAACACCAAAGGCCATCAGACTGGAGACTAAAGAAAGAGCCGATGTTGCAGCTCAAGTCCAATGTATGTCTGTTGCAGAATTTCCTCCTACTCAGAAGAGGTTAGAGTTTTGTTCTACTCTCTTTTAACTCATAGCATGAGCCCACTCACATTATAGAGGGCAATCTTCTTTACTTAAAGCCCATCAATTTAAATGGTAACTTCATCCAAAAACACTCACAAAGAAACATCCAAAATAATGTTTTACCACACATCCTGGCACTGTGGCCCAGCCAGGTTGACACATAGAATTAACCATCACAATCTCTTAGAAGAAAATATAGAAGTAAATTTTTATGACCTTGTATTTGGCAATGAATTATTAGGTATGACACCAAAAGCAAAAAGAACAAAAAATAAATAAATCGCACTGCTTCAAAATTAAAACTTCTGTGCATCAAAGAATATTTTCAACACAATGAAAAGATAACCCATAGAAAGGGAGGAAAATTTTTCAAATCACATATCTGATAAGGATCTAGTATTTAGGATATATTAAGAATTCTTAGCATTCAACAACAGAAAGATAAACAACCCAATTAAAATTGGCAAAGGACTTGACCAAATATTTCTCCAAAGAAGATCTGTAAATGGCCACTAGAACATGAAAAGATGCTTCATATCACTATTTATCAGGGAAATGCAAATCAAAACCACAAAGAGATACTACATCACACCAACTAGGTTGGCTATAATTTGGAAAAAGGAAAATAGGTGCTGGTGAGGATGTGGAGAAATTGGAACTCATACGTTGCTGGTAACAATGTTATATGGTTCAATTACTGTGGAAAATAGCATGGCGGTTTCACAAAAATTTAAACATGATTACCATATGACTCAGCAATTTCACTCCTAGGTGTATGTCCACAAGAATTAAAAACAAGCACTCAAATACTTGTACACTAGTTCATAGCAGTTAAAAGTGAAAGAAGACCCAAACGTTTATTAATGGATAAATGAATAAATAAATGTGGTATATTCATATAATGAAATAATATTAGCTGTAAAATGAACTGAATTATTCATACTGGCTAAAACATGCATGAACCTTGAAAGCATTATGCTAAGTGAAAGAAGAGCAAAGTCACATCTTGTATTATTTTATTTATATAAAATATCCACAATAGGTAAATCTATAAAGACAGAAAGAAGATTGGTGGTCATCGGGGTGTGCAAGTAGTAAGAAATTGGATATACCTGCTTAAATGAGTGCAGGAGTATATTTTGGGGGTGACAAAATGTTTTCAAACTTGATATAAGTGGTGATTGCACAACGCTGTGAATTAACTAAATGCCACCACGTGGTAAACTTTAAAATGGTTAATTTTATATTATGTGAATTTTACCTTAATAAAATAAAAATATTGGAGGAGGATGAGATTGGCTCTATTATGGGTCCTGTTCACCTGTCTACCTTTATTTTGTACTTCCTAGGGCCTAGAAGATTCTACTTTGTACTTTTCTTTCTCTTATATTATATTTAGATTGATGAAGGAAAACCAACCAATGTCTTTGAAAGGTGCTCCCTCAGCCTTTCTTTCCAGGTCAAGGATGTTGGTGAAAGGGGCTGCAACTCCAATAGAATCACTTATCTCAGTGAGAATAAAGTTATTTTGAATGAATAGAGTTGATGAATTGAATGAGGGGGAGCATGAATTAGGTTTAGAAAGGAACTAAGTTTTATTTGGAGTAAATGGGCTTATGAAGCTGCCATTTAAGAAGATGGGAAAGACTGGAGAGAATAAAGTTCAGTGGCAAAACTTCTAGAGTCCTCTTTAGGCCATGTTAAATTGAGATGCCTACAAAACAGTACAGATATAGAGAATTGAGTGTGTGACATACCTACTGCCAGTTAGAGAAGATTTCTCAGAACTCTGTCTTCATAACCTTGATGTGCTCTTGGATCCTGAAATAATTTATTCATCAGTCAGTCAGTGAGTATGTGTCAGATGTTGTGTTAGTCTATGAATATGCAGAGATCAAAAAATCCCTGTCCTCAAGGAGCTGATGGAGTGGAGTAGGGAGAGGTAGACAAAAGGGCCAATTATTTAAAAAGCACAATACAACCTACAAGAGAATTAAGTATAAAATGCTGTTGGAGCATAGGGAAAGAAGTACTGAATCATGTCTCCAGGAGTCTGACAAGTATTCACAGAGGAGGTAACGTTAGTGCACAGTAAAGGTTTTTCTCGGGTCATGCTTTCTCCCCTTGGAACGTGTAGTAAAAAAACATGATTACTGAGAGAAGTTATTGGAACCCAGGCTCAATCTTTTGACTCAGAATTCCTAGGGCTGTGACCCCAGAAGCTTCTCCAGTTATTCTGATGCAGTCAGGTTTGGGAAACACTAGTTGTTATAGTGATAGATAGATGGGAAGGGCATTCCACATGGGATATAGCATGTGTAGAAGAAATAACTTGGAGAATGACATCCATGGTATAGGGGAAAGTTGAATTTGTATAAAACCCAGAGTATATCTGGTCAATTAACAGTAGATAAAGAGAGAATGATAGAATGGGACTCAGTTGCAAATAAGATATGTCAGGGAGGCTGTTTGGAGCTCAGGAGAAAGGTCTTAGTTAAAGATTTCAATTTGAGAGTCATCTGCAGAGAGATGGTGTTTAGTTTAAATCCATGGGTGTAGATTGGATTACTTAGATGGAGAGTATAGCCAGAGAGGAAAAGAGGGCCAAGGAAGGGGCCTGGGCTACTTGATATTTAGAAGTTGAGTGGAGAAGGAAGAAGTAGCAAATGAGTCAGAGAAAGAAAAGTTAGTGGTGTAGAAGGAAATCCATGAGAGTATGGTGTCACAGAAGCTAAGAGGAGAGTAATTTAATGAGAAGGTAGTGGAAAATTGTGTTAAATTACATTAGCAGGTTAAGCAAGAGGAGAATTTGAAAATTAAATTTGGTCATATGAAAGAAAGTGAGAACTTTACAAGAGCAATTTCACTGGAGTGTTGCGGTTGAAAGCCTAATTGGTGTCATTTTGAGATAGTGGGAGGAGATTATAGACAGTATGTAACAACAACCCATTCAAGAAACTTTGAATTGGAGAGTGAGATAGGGATTAGAAGGAGAAGGTAGGGGGAACAAGAAAGTGGATGTCGTTTTTTTCCTTTTTGAGGTAGAATCTCACTCTGTTGCCCAGGCTGGAGTGCAGTGGTGCAATCTTGGCTCAATGCAACCTCCACCTTTTGGATTCAAGCGATTCTCCTGCCTCAGCCTCCCGAGTAGGTGGGATTACATGCATGCATCACCACACCTGGCTAATTTTTGTATTTTTAGTGGTGATGGGGTTTCACCATGTTGGCCAGGCTGGTCTCTAACTCCTGACCTCAAGTGATCTGCCCACCTTGCCTTCCCAAATTGCTGGGATTGCAGGTGTGAACCACCACACCTGGCCTAGAAAGTAGATGTCTTCTAAAGATGTAAGATATTTATGATAATGAGAATGATATGGTAGAGATGAAGAAATTGATGATGCAACTGAAATGGAGGATAATTGTAGGAGTATAGCTTATGGGAAAGTTTGAGGCATTGATATCTACAGCACAAGTGGAGGGGTTGCCCTTAGAAATAGTGATTCTTTTCTTACTGTAACTACCCTTCCCAGCTTCTAGTAACCATCCTTTTATTTTCGATTTCAATTGTTTTGAACTTTAGTTATCACAAATAAGCAAGAACATGTGATATTTCTCTTTCTGTGCCTGGCTTATTTCACATAACATAATGACCTCCAGTTCCATCCATGTTGTGGCAAATGACAGGATCTCATTCTTTTTTATGACTGAATGGCAATTCATTGTGTATATGCACAAAACTTTCTTTTTCCATTCATCTGTTGATGGACACTTAGGTTGCTTCCAAATTTGGGCTATTGCAAACAGTGCTGCAACAAACATGGGGGCACAAATGTCTTTTCAATATATTGATTCCCTTTCTTTTGGATATATACCCAGCAGTGGGATGAATGCTGGATGGTATGATAGCTCCAGTTTTAGTTATTTCGAGGAACTTCCAAACTGTTCTTCATAGTGGTTGTACTAACTTACACTCTCACCAACAATATACGAGGGTTCCCTTTTCTCCACATCTTTGCCAGCATCTGTTATTGCATGTCTTTATAAGCCATTTTAACTGAGGTGAGATGATATCTCATTGTAGTTTTGATTTGCATTTCACTGATGATCATTGATATTGAACATCTATTCATATGCCTATTTGCGATGTGTTCTTTTGAGAAATATCTATTCAAATCTTTTGCTCATTTTTTATATTGGATTATTAGATTATTTTTCTGTAGAGTTGTTTGAGCTCCTTATATATTCTGATTATTAATCCCTGGTCAGATGGATAGTTTGCAAATATTTTCTCTCATTCTGTGGGTTGTTTCTTCACTTTGTTCATTGTTTACTTTGCTGTGCAGAAAATTTATAACTCAATGTGCTCCCATTTTTCCATTTTTGCTTTGGTTGCCTGTGCTTGTTGGATATTACTTAAGAAATTTTTGCCAAGACCAATGCCTTGAAGGTTTTCTCCAATGTTTTGTTGTAGTGGTTAAATAGTTTGAGGTATTAGATTTAAGGCTTTAATCCATTTTGGTTTGATTTTTGTATATGGCAAGAGATAGGTGTCTAGGTTTATTCTTCAGCATATGGATTCATAGCACCATTTATTGCAGAGACTTTTTCCCCAGTCTATGTTTCTGTCACCTTTGTCAGAAATGATTTCACTACAGGTGTGTGGATTTGTTCGTGGATTCTCTATTCTGTTCCATTGGTCTATGATGAGTCTGTTTTTATGCCAGTACAATGTTGTTTTGCTTACAGCTCTATAGTAAAATCTGAAATCAGGTAGCTCTATAGGTCTATAGTAGAATTCGAAATCAGGTAATGTGATTTCTCCAGTTTTGTTCTTTTTGCTTAGGATAACTTTGGCTATTAGGGGTCTTTTGTGGTTCCGTATAAATTTGGGGATTTTTTTTTTCTATTTTTGTGAAGGATGGCATTGGTATTTTGATAGGGGTTGCATTATACTCTAGATTTGTTTGGGTACTATATTTTAACAATATTGATTCTTCAAATTCCTAAACATGAAATATCTTTCCATTTTTTGTTGTCCTCTTCAATTTCTTTCACCAATGTTTTATAGTTTTATTATAGATATTTTTCACTTCTTTGGTCAATTCCTAGATATTTAATTTTATTTGTGGCTATTGTAAATGAGATTACTTTTTTGATTTCTTTTTTCAGATTGTTCAATATTAGCATATAGAAATGGCAAATATAAATGCCACGAATTTCTGTATGTTAATTTTGTATCCTGCAACTTTACTGAATTCATCAGTTTGAATAGGTTTTTGGTGGAGTCTTTAAGATGTGAGATGATATCAAATGCAAACAAGGATAATTTGACATCATCCTTTCCAATCTGGATGCCCTTTCTTTCTTTCTCTTTTCTGGTTGCTCGAGCTAGGACATTCAGTACTATGTTGAATAACAGTGGTGGAAATCATTGTCATGTTCCAGATCTTATAGAAAAGTCTTTTAGTTTTTCCCCATTCAATATGGCACTTGTTGTTGGTCTGTCATACATGGCTTTTATTATGTTGAGGTATGTTAATTGTATTACATTAGTTGATTTGTGCATATTGAATCATTCTTGTATTCTTGGGATAAATACCACTTGATCATGATAAAATGATCTTTTTAATATATTGCTGAGTTTGATTTACTATTATTTTGTTGAGGATTTTTGCATCAATAATGATTAGAGGTATTGATCTGTAGATTTCTATTTTTGATGTGTTTTTGTCTGGTTTTCGTATCAAGGTAAAACTGGCCTCACAGAATGAGTTTCGAAGTATGCTCTTCTGTATTTCTCGCAATATTTTGGATAGGATTGGTGTTAGTTTTCACTTAAATATTTGGTAAAAATTCAACAGTGAAGCCGTGGCACCCTGGGCTTTCTTTTACTGAGAGACTTTTTATGACAGCTTTGAGCTCATTACTTGCTATTGGTCTATTCAGATTTTGGATTTCTTCCTGGTTCAATCTTGGTAGGTTGCATGTGTCTAGGATTTTGTTTGTTTCTTCTAGACTTTCCAATTTATTGACATATAGTTGGTTATGGTAATCACTAATGATCCTTTAAATTTTCATAGTATCAGTTGTAATGTCTCCTTTTTCATCTCTGGTTGTATTTTTGGATCTTCTCTCTTTTTTATTAGTCTGGCTTAAGGTTTGTCAGTTTTGTTTATCCTTGCAAAAAGTCAATTTTTTGCTTTATTAATATTTTATTTTTTTGTTTCCATTTGATTTATTTCTGCTCCGATATTTAGCATTTAATTTCTTCTACTAATTTTGGGTTTGGTTTCCTTTTGCTTTTCTAGTTTTTTAAGATGATAGATTGTTTATTTAAAGCTTTTTTTCTCTTTCTTGATGTTGACACTTATAGCTATAAAATTCCCTTTTTGTTCTGCTTTCACTGTATCCCATAGGTTTTGTTATGTTGTGTTTCCATTATCATTTGTTTCATAACATTTTTCACTTTCCTTTTTAATTTCTTCATTGACCCACTAGTCATTCAGGAGCATATGTTTAATTTCCATGTATTCATATAGTTTCCAAAATTCCTGTTGTTATTGATTTCTGTTTTATTTCATTGTGGTCAGATAAAATGCTTCGTATTATTTTAAATTATTTTGCATGTTTAAAACTTGCTTTGTGATCTAAAATATAGTCTATCATTGAGAATAATCCATGTGCTGAGTAAAAGAATATGTATTCTGTAGCACTGGATGAACTGTTCTGTAAATACCCATTAGGTCCTTTTAGCCTACAATGCGGATTACGTGTTCTTTCCAGACTTTCTGTCCAAAAGATCTGTCCAATGCTGAAAGTGCGGTGTTGAGGTCTCCAGCCATTATTGCATTGGAGTCTCTCTCTTTCTTTAGCTGTCATAATATTTCTTACATATATTTGGGTGCTCCAATATTGGGTGCATATATATTTAAAATTGTCATATCCTCTTGTGGAATTGACCCCTTTATTATTACATCATGACTTTCTTTGTCTCTTCTTATAGTTTTTGTCTTGAAACCTATTTTATCTAAGTATAGTTACTCCTGCACTTCTTTTTGATTTCCAATGACATGGAATATCTTTCTCCATCCATTTATTTTCATTCTGTGTGTGTCTTTATATGTGAAGTGTGTTTCTTGCAGGCAACAGGTCATTAAGTCTTCTTATTTTATTCATTCAGCCACTCTGTGTCTTTTGTTAGAAAAGTTTAGTACATTTACATTCAATATTATTGCTGAGTAAGAACTCACTTTTCCTCTTTTGTTATTTGATTTCTGCTTGTTTGTGGTTTTCTCTTTCTTCTTTCTTGCCTTTCTCTCTTCCTTTTAATGAAGGTGATTTTGTCTGGCATATAATTTAGTTTCTTGCTTTCTGTTTTTTTGTGTATCTGTTGCATATTCTTGGCTTTGAAGTTATCATGAGACTTACACATACTATCTTTTAAATTATTTTTTAATTTTTGTGAGTACATAGTAGGTGTATATGTTTATGGGTTACATGAAATTTTTTGATACAGGCATGCAATGTGAAATAAGCACATCAGGAAGAGTGGGGTATCCATCACCTCAAGCGTTTATCCATTGAGTTTCAACAAATCCCATTATACTCTTCAAGTTATTCTAAAAAGTACCATTAATGTAATATTGACTTAAGACACCCTGTTGTGCTATCAAATAGTAGGTCTTCTTCCTTCTTTCTAACTATCTTTTCTACTCATTAACCATCTCCACCTCCCCGTCAATATCCCACTGCCCTTTCCAGTCTCTGGTAACCATCCTTCTACTCTGTATCTCCATGAGTTCAATTGTTTTGATTTGTAGGTCCCACAAATAAAAGAGAACATGTGATGTTTGTCTTTTTGAGCCTGGCTTGTTTCACTTAACAAAATGACTTCCAGTTTCATCTATGATGTTGCAAATGACTTGTCCTCATTCTTTTTTAATGGCTAAATAGTGCTCCATTGTGTAATTGTACCACATTTTCTTTATCCAATTGTCTGTTGATGGACAGTTAGGTTGCTTCTAAATCTTAGCTATTGTAGACAGTGCTGTAACAAACGCAGGAGTGCAGATATCTCTTTCATACACTGATTTCCTTTCTTTGTATATATACCCAGCAGTGAATTTGCTGGATCATATGGTAGCTCAATTTTAAGTTTTTTGAAAAACCTCCAAACTGTTATCCATAGTGATTGTACTAAATTACATTCCCACCAACAGTGTACAAGAATTCCCTTTTCTCCACATCTTTGCCAGCATTTGTTATTGCCTATCTGTTGAATGTAAGCCATTTAAACTGGGGTGAGATGATATCTCATTGTAGTTCTGATTTGCATTTCTCTGATGATCAATGATATTCAGCATCTTTTCATTATGCCTGTTTGCCATTTGTTTTTCTAATCTTTTGCTCAGATGTTGATCAGATTATTAGTTTTTTTTTAGAGTTGTTTGAGCTCCTTGTGCATTCTGGTTATTAATCACTTGCCAGGTCATTTGCAAATATTTTTTTCCCATTGTGTGGGTTGTTTCTTCACTTTGTTGTTTCTGTTCTTTCCTGTGCAGAAGCTATGAACTTGAAGTGATCCCATTTGTTCATGTTTGCTTTGGTTGCCTGTGCTTGTGGGGCATTGCTCAAGAAGTCCTTGCCCAGACCCATGTTCTGGAGATTTCCCCCAGTGTTTTCTTGTATAAGTTTCATGGTTTGAAATCTTAGATTTAAGTCTTTAATCTATTTTGATTTGAGAGATGCGGTCTAGTTTTATTTTTCTGCATATGGATATCCAGTTTTCCCAGCACCATTTATTGAAGAGCCTATGGCACCTTTGTCAAAAAATGAGTTCACTGTAGGTGTGTGGATTTGTTTCTGAGCTCTCTGTTTTGTTCCATTGGTCTATGTGTCTGTTTTCATGTCAGTACCATGTTGTTTTGGTTACTATAGCTCTGTAACATAATTTGAAGTCAGGTAATGTGATTCTTCCAGTTTTGTTCCTTTTGCTTAGAATGGTTTTGGCTATCTGGGGTCTTTTGTCATTCCATATAAATTTGAGAATTCTTTTTGTTTCTATTTTTGTGAAGAATGTCATTGGTATTTTGATAGAAATTACATTGAATCTGCAGATTGCTTTGGGTAGTATGGACATTTTAACAATATTGATTCTTCTAATCCATGAACATAAAATATTTTCCAATTTTTGGTGTCCTGTTCAATTTCTCTAATTACTGTTTTATAGTTTCCATTATAGAGCTCTTTCACTTCTTCAGTTAAGACAATTCCTAGGTATTCAATTTTATGTGTGTCTATTGTAAATGGGGATTACTTTTTAATTTCCTTTTCAGTTTGTTCACTGTTGGCATATAAAAGTGCTACGGATTTTTGTATGTTGGGTTTGTATCCTGAAACTTCACTGAATTAGTTTATCAGTTTGAATAGTTTTTTGATGGAGTCTTAAGTGTTTTTTGTTAGTTTTTGGTTGAGGATTTTTGCATCAACATTCATCAAAGTTATTGTGTGTAGTTTTTTTAATGTGTCTTTGTCTGGTTTTTGTATTACGGTAAGACTGGCCTCATAGAGTATGTTTGGAAGTGTTTCCCTCTCTTCCATTTTTCGGAATAGTTTGAGTATGTTCTTAAAGATAACCCTTTATCAAGTTGATGAACTTCCCTTTCATTCATAATTTTTTTTGCGTTTTCATCATGATTGGGTGTCAAATTTTCTTGTATGCTTTTTTATACCTGTTGAGATGACAATATGTGTTTTCTTTTTTATTCTATTAGTATCACAAATTATGTTAATTTATTTTTTAAAATGAAACTACATTTGCATTGCAATGCCCCTCTTGTTACTCTCTTGTGCAAGTGTAACTATGCTGGATGTGCACAGTAATTCCATCCTGAGAAGTGTACAATTTGTTCAGGAACTCACACCCTTCAGGAATAAAGGTTTAGGTCAGGCAATGAGGTGGATCACCAAGATGTGCACAAGTGATAGTTTAGAATGAGGGAACTTTACAATGGAGAGTAAAAGATGGACACGTGTATCAATTGTTGTCTGAAGACCAACTATAGCAATGAAGGTTATAATTCATCCCACTCACTTTCGCTTTTTAAACTTTCCCTTAGAAGTAGATTCCTATAGGAGCCATGGAAGAAACTGCTCTCAGGGACATGGATGGAAAATATTAGTGTGACACTAGGATGGACTTTGACAGTCATGAGAATGTTCCTCTCAGATCTTCTTTCAAATATAACCTGCTATGACAAGTGTAGTTAGCTGGAAACCAAAAGCTGCTACACTTTCTGGGTCCAATTCAGCATTTATGTAATGGCCTAAGTATCTCCAGTATATTCCCAATCTATGACTGAGCATGGTGGTGGTACCAGAGCTGGGACATTCATGCCTAACGTGGCATAAATTCCTTTTGTGGACAACCTTTGTTCCAGTGCTTCCATTAGCTTGGTCGATATTCTCTCAGACCATGGTACAGCCTGAGGCTCTTTCTATCCTCCTTCCTTTCCTTTCTCTTGTGCCAGATGTCAGACCTGATTATAGTCTGAAGCCCTCTCTGCCTACTCGTGCCCCTTCTCTTTAATCATTCAAGGGCATATTCCCCAATCGTTCTCTTACCTTCTAATTCCATCTTGGTATCTATTTTTTGGATGATTTTAACTAACAAAATATATCTGATAAAAAACTTGTATCCAGAATTTTAAAGAACTCCCAAAATTCAATAATAAATAGAATAGCCTCTTTCCCTGCTCAAAGTGGGCAAAACCCTTGAACAGACATTTCACAAAATAAGATACATAAGTGGCCAGTAGGCATATTGACCATCATTTTTATTAGATAAATGCAAATTTAAAGCATAATAATATACCAGTACCCATCTACTAGAATGGCTAAAATGACTGGCATCAGTGAAAATGTGGAATGATGAGAAATATTATACATTTCTGTAAGAGTGTAAAATGATACATAGTGAGACCAAAATCTCATCTCTAAAAAAGAAAAATGTTTCAGTCACTTTAAATAAAGTATTGGGAGTTTGTTATGAAGTTAAATATGGACCTTCCATATAATTCAGTTATTCTATTTTTAATGCATGTTCCCAAGAGAAGTGGAAACACATGTCCACACAAAGACTTTTGCATGAATATTTAGAGCAGCTTTATTCAAAAGAGTTAAACAGCAGAACAATCCTCAATATCTTTCAAGGGGATAATGGATAAAGAATGTGTAAAATATTTTTTAAAAAACTTTTAAATTCAGGAGCAGCTTGAGAAATAAGGAGAAAAAGGCAGGGGCATAAAACAGTGCCAAAGATACTGGTTCTGGGAGAAGAGAAACAAACATAGCCAGTAATGGGTTAGACTATTGGACATAGGTATAGAGCAGCAGTATAGAATGAGTTGGAAAGTTAGCAACTAGATAAGTCTACATGATAGCAGACACACTGCTCCACATCTTATGCTCTGGGCCTTAAAATTCTTTTAGATATAAAATGAAAAAGAAATAAAGAGAAGTAACTGATGACATTCCATTTACCACTGGTGATTTCCTAAGTGCCCAAACTAGGAATCCAAATGTGATAGGAGAATAAAGCTACTTTTTCAAACCTTCTTTCATTGCTTCTCACTTTAAAATTCTGAGATAAGGGCCAGGTTCTGTGGGGAACATCTGCCTACTAGTCATCTCTTCTAAGCAGCTATTGCAGTGTGGGGACAATGTGGATGAATCTATAAGCAGTTGGTGATATTCCAGAAGTGGAGTGAATGCAGGAGGGTGTCAGTCTGGAGTTGGCATGCTGCCTCTGGTCTCATGTTCCTGCCATATCAAACTATTTGTAGTTTCCCAAATGCAGTATGCTCTTTTATCGTTTTATACCTTTGCATATCCTATCCCTATCCCTGGAATGCTCTTTCCACCTGCTTGGCTGAAGTGGTCGAATATCACCTCTTCTGTGAAGCTTTTGACCTGCTCCCACTCAAACTCTGAGGAGTTACATTGAATTATTTATCTACATGTCTGTTTTCCCCCACCCTTGCTTATAAGCTCTAAATCCATTTGGAGGGCCTGATAAAAACTACAGATTCACACAGAAAAATGCATCATGATCACATAGCCCCTATTACTCAGATCTATGGACAGCGCCATGCCGGGATTCCATCTATTAATTCCAATTCAGAATCGATTTTACACTGTGACCTTCATGAGACTGAAAATCATGTCTTGTTTGTGTTTTTATGCCCAGTACGTAGTGTAGAGCCTGAGAAATCAATAAAAGAATAAATGAATTAGTGAATGTTGGGTATTATGAGGGAACATAGAAGAAGTGTGAGTAATTATTGCTGTCATCAAAAGGTTTATAGTTCGATTGGAGGACCATTTTACATATATAATATTACATTTAACAGTAAAATATAATGTGTGATGAGATGACTTGGACACATGTTGGGTACTCATAAAAGCCCTGTTGTGGTCTCCTTGCTTTTTCTCCACTATCTCCAGAATTAATTCTAGTTGTCTCCAAGTTTTCCACTGTTCTTTACTTTCACCATCCCTAGTCCTCTAACACCAGTTCAGATTTGAAATTTACTTGTCTCTGGTAAGTTATCTCAGACTCTCTTGTTGAATGCTCCATTTGTACATGTTCTCCTGGTTTGAGTGGAGCACACTCTATCAGAACATGTTTGTGATTTTTCTTCCTAGTGCATACTCTGAAAATATGGCTAACCTCCTTCCCAGAAGCCTATCTTGCCACTACACCTATTCCCTATTGTGCCTAGTAAGTCTAACTATCCAGGGCCTATCCTTTTGTGTTCTTGCCCCTAGTATAGTATCTTAGTTTATTTTCATGTTGCTATAAAGGAACAACTAAAAGTGGATAATTTATTTTTTAAAAAAGAGGTTCATTTGGTTCACAGTTCTGCAGGCTGTACAAGAAGCATGGCACCAGCATCTACTTCTGGTGAGAATTTCAGGCTGCTTCCAGTCATGGTGGAAGGCAGACAGGAGCTGGCATGTGCAGATCACATGGTGATAGAGAAAGCAAGAGAGAGGGAGTAGAGAGTGTCAGGCTCCTTTCAACAACCAGTTCTTGTGGGAACTAATAGAGTAAGTATTCATTCATTATAATTAGAATGGCACCAAGTCATTCCTGAAGGATCCACCCCACCTGATTCAAACACCTTCCATTAGGCCCCACCTCCAGCATTTGGAATTGAAACTCAACATGATATTTGGAGTAGTCAACTACTCTGTTAGGAAAGGGGGCCATGCATACTTTTATGATTAAGTGCATAGACTTTGAAATTATACCTCTATTTGAATCATGGCTCTGCTGCTTGCTAACTTTGTGGCTCCAGGGAAGTTACTAACCTTCCTACACTTCAGTTTCTCATTAAAATGGGAATAACAAAATGAACTCCTTTAGAAGGTGAAGTGAGATAATATGAGTAAAGATATCTTTAAATAAAGGACACTTCAGTATACTAATGAAACTATAAACTCATGGTAACTTTCCAATGTTGAAAATTTTGGAATTTTATTTTGGATAGTTTCAGCTTCAAGCCCCAGCTGAGGTCCGAGGGGAGTGGGTGGATGGGAGTCAGGGAGCTGGAAGAACACTTGAGAGACAGCAGGGAGATGAGACATGGGTTTATTCAGCAGCTCTTTCACAGTGTCAATGTTGCATTTATACACCTCACAAACAATAGTGGCTTGGAGCCAGATGATGAGCCTCCCATGTTATGGTTATGTAGCTGTGATTACATAACGCATGGAATTATGCAACTGAGCTCCAATCCCACTGAGTCATGAAGAATGTTTACCTCAGCCTATGCCTGCCTGGCTGCAGCAGAGCAATGTTCCTTACACTACATCCCCTAGGATGAAGGGGTCCTCTTAGTGGTGACCCGTGCCCATAGGGCAGCACCCTGAACCCATAGGCCATAGCAATAATACAGAGAGGAACAACGTACCACTGATATTCCCGCTATGCTACCTATGATTATGACAGCCCAACATAGGCCAAAGCTCAGGGATGCCCACCGTCTCTACAGGGGGTCATCAGTAAAGCATTCAATCACTTTAATTTACCATGACACCCCCTGTAAAGCTGCTGTTATGTTCTGGTGGTTGTTAGGGATAAATGTACAACATCGTGTCCCTACAAGGGCACAGTGCCACCTTGGGCAGTGGTGACTATGTCTAAGGACATCCGGTTTTGCAGCACCGCCTTCCTAATGTGATCAACCTCATCAGTAAACAAAAGGAGGATAACATGGGTGCAATTCAGGTTCTGAGCTCTGTGCTCTGAAAGGGCTGTAACCTGCATTTCTACAGTGATTACACCCGCTCCAAGCATAGTTATTGCTAAAGAGTAGAACCACCAGGGGCCCGGCCACACTCACAAAAACTGGGAATGCAATGCCTCCCAGTTGTGAGAGCGACTAGGCAATGTGGGAAGCACATAAGGCCACCCCCAGGTACAACATTCGGTCCAATTGGCTGGCAGATATGGCCATCCTATGTCCCCACAGACCCATAAACTCCCAGAGGGCACAACGTCCATTGGGGACCAGCCTTGGTAAGACTGCTTGTTCCACTACACCCTTGGTGTTGTGACACGTGTTATGTTTGCACAGGCCTCGGTGGGCAACCTTCTGACATTGACTTTACCCCAGTGTTGCTCTATACATTGTGGTGCCTGCAATGAGGGCACCATGTTTTCTCCCATTAGCCAGCATCATCCATCATGGACACTATGAGTCAGCAAGGGGAGAGGCTTGCCATGGGTTTTACAACACCCCCTATCCAAAGCACACCGTGTTGCATCCCATCCGTTGTCTGTGGGACCCCAAGTCTGTAGCCATGTCCAGTTCTGCACAGAAGCTGGATGTATGTGCCAGGGCAAGCCATCTGCAGCTGCTGCTGGAAAGGTGGTGCAGATCCAACAGTTGGAGACATTGGTCACCTCAGCATAGGTGTGGGCCTAGTCCACGATGCTGTTGTAGCATGTCAACCTGTGGCCAAAATGGCAAAGCAGGCACAGGTACTAAGAGGGGTAAATCACGTCCCTCAGGCAAAATACGAGCCCACTTTTTATTTCTGGATAACTATGCAGTCACCAATGGCTTCTTCCCTAGGCGATGGTACCACATCTTATCAGCTCTCCGTGGTTATTTTGTGTCTTGTGCTCATGCTAAAGTCACAGGGGAGCTGGGTCACACAGACAGTACCTATGTCCCCCAGGGGAGGGTCCCTTCCCTGGCCATTCCCCTATGAATTGTCAATTGTGGAGGCCACACAGTAAATACCCTAGGAGTAACATGTAAGTCACACTGCAGGTCCTCCCCACAAGGGGCTATGATAGCCAACCATCTGCAATAGTGTGCTTGGAGGGTCCATGGTCAACACCAGGTTTTCTGTTCTCCTGCCTTCTGGGGCATTGGGGCAGGCAACAACAGATGACCATTTGTCCCCATACCTGGTCAGAGGAGGTCATCCTTGGTCTGTATCTGTGCTGGATAGGGGCAGTGGCCCAGTGTAACAGTGCCTCCACTGGGGCTGGGCCACCTTTCCGTGGCCACTCATTCAAGATTTGGAGCACCAAGTCCAACCTGGAACTCCAGCCCCACAAAGATGGGTGAGTAACATGCAAATGTAACCCATTCTTCAGGATCCACTATGTTGCTCAATCATGCCAGTGATTTGTGGGTTATAAGAAACATGAAACCCCTATTGTATGTCTATCTGCTCTGCCCATTGTTGTACCTGCTGTCCAGTGAAATGTGTTCTCCTATCACTTTCAATGGCCAGGGAATGGCTGTATAAGGCACATACATGCTCCAAGGTTTAAATAGTGTGTTGCTGGTCGGCCACCCTGCAAGGGTAGGTGAACAACAAGCCGGTGGCCATGTCTACAGCCATCAGTGCATGTGTGTAGCCCTGAAATTTTGGCAGTGGCCCAATGTAATCTATTTGCCATGTGGTCAAGGGCATCTGCCTTACCATCACTTGTTGTGTCACACTGGGCAGTTGTCTATATCTCGGGTATGCCTGAGTGCATGCTGAGCACTTCTGGCAGGCCTCCAAAATGTCCTGTGAGGGCAAAGACAAACCTCAGCACCCACTGACCTGTTGCACCAGTTTACACCCCCACCCCCATGTCTCAGTTTTCTGTGTAGCCACAAAGCCACATCTCATGTAGGTGCCAACTCTAACCATTGAACTTTGGTCAATGCATTTGCCTCATCATTACTGGGGGTGGTCAAAGGCATATGGCCTGACACTTGATGACCCATTTCCCAGATGTCTTGCCACATGGTTTGGCCCCAAATGGGCCGATGGCCTACAAGCCAATTCTATAACTTCCAGGTAGTCAACTACCAGGTTAACCCTCAATAGACTGCCCAGCTATTGGTACAGATTACCATAGGTGACTCCTCCTTGGTAATCACCATCCACACCACTCTGAGTTCAGCCCATTGGCTGCTTTGTCCACATCCAGTATAAAACCATATGGTGTGAGTGGTCGGCTGGACTGCTACAGCAGTCCAGGCAGCAGTAGCAACTTGGCTGGACCCATCTATATACTATGTCCATCAAGAATGAGAGGGCACCCTTCCTTAAATGATGATGGCTCATGGTCTAGGGGTGCCTCAGGCCCCATGGCCTTACCCTGCCTTAGGACTACATGCCCCAAGACTTCTGGTAACTCTGCTGCTAAGGGACTTGTATTCAGCGTACTCTGCTGCTCTAAGTAGGCACCCCACTTTGCTAAAGTGGATGTCTGCACTCTCCCTGTCTGAGGGGTTATTACCCATGAACCTACCCACTCCGCTATTGGATAAGTCATCTGCATGACAACTGTAGGCCATCCTGTCAGGTTCTCACAGGCCTGAAGAGCAGCATATGCAGCAGCTAATTGCTTCTCTAACAATTATTACCATAGCTTAGCTCTCTTCCGTAGGTGGGACAAAAGCCTACTGGCATTCTAAAATGCTCAATGCACTGCCATAGGCCCCAGCCAAAACCATCTGTAGCCACATGTACATCAAATTCAAATGGGCGCCCCGATCAATCACTTGTAAGGCTCATGTCTAATGAATAGCCTGCTTGGTGGCCGGAAAGGCTATTTCAGCCTCATCAACCCAATTCCAGGTAGCCCCTTGTTTTGTTAACTGGTACAATGGTTTTATCATTTGAGCCAAATGGGACACTAATGCCTGTCAATACCCCAAGAAGCCCACAAAAGTCTGCAGCTGCCTCACCGTGGTGGGTCAGGGGTATGCCTGTATTTTATCAGTGATGGCCTCTGGTATGGCCTTTGTCTTATCCAACCAAATAACTCCCAACAATTTGGCAGACAATCCAGGTCCTTGGACCTTGGATTCATTGATGGTCCACCCACATGCTGCCAATTGTTGCTGCAAGAGGGGCCCTGCACCTTCTAGATCTGCAAGAGAATCATAATATCATCAATATAATGAAACAGGCTGACCCCTTTTGGACAATTCCAGGCGGCTAAGTCCATGGCAACAAAACCATGACAAATGGTGGGGCTATGCACATAGCCCTGAGGCAGCATGGTGAAAGTCCATTGTGATCCTTCCCATGTGAAGGTGAACTGTTCCTGGCTCTCCGGAGCAATGTGATTGGAGAAGAATGCATTAGCTAAGTCCACCACAAAGTGGTACTGTCCCAGTTCTGTTGTTAAGTGTTCCATAAAATCCATGATGGAAGGTACAGCTGCATGCAGAGGGGGTGTTGCTTCATTCAGTTCCCGATAATCCACTGTCATGCGCCAAGTCCCATCAGGCTTTCTGACTGGCCATACTGGGAAATGGTAGGGGCGATGAGTGCCACTCACTATTTGCAGCTCCTCTAACTTCTTAATAGTCTTAGTTATCTCTGTATGCCCCCCTGGCAAATGGTATTGATGAGTGGAGGTAACACGTTGGGGTTGTGGCAGAACTTGGGGCTGGTGGTGTGTATATCCATGCATTACTGGCTTTATTACATGAACTCAGAGTCTGAATTCTCTGGCCATGGTGTTTTAGTCCAGACCATGCAAAATGTCCACCCCCAGAATATATTTAGGTATGGGAGAGACATACACAGTATATAGGCAGGGAGCCAAGCAGCCAAGGCCAAGATGCAGAGACACAGGTTTCACCTTCACTGACTGACCCCCATAACCATCAATGAATGCAGCTTTTCCTGGAAACTTATCCTGGAATTTATTGCTACTCTATAAACTGGATTCCTATAAGCTAGACTGCAGTCTGCACCAGTATCTACCAGTACAAGGACCCTGCTATATATTAGTGGGTTACCAGTGGATCACCAGTTTCACATGTGACCTCTGGTTGGCTGGCATCCTTCAAAGACGGGCACCTCAGCCAGTTCCCTAATTAAACAGGAAAGGCCCCATATTGCTGCCCATCTGCAAATAGTCCTTGAGCTGAAGCATCTGGGCAGGATGAGGTTGAACAACATTGTTTTGCCCCCTCTTGAGCATTTTCTGGAATTGTTGCTCCGGGGATAATTGCTTCCACGGAGCCAACAGCATTCTGTTGCATTGCTTGTCAATTTTATTTCATGGAACCCCAGCTGCAATTAAATCAAACCACATCTGCATGGAAGTTACCTGCTGGGACCCTCTTTTATCTCATGGGATGGTTACCTGAGGAGGGGGCAGCTTCCCCTTCTTTATGGTGCAGATTCCCTGGTCCCACCAATGGCTTTCTGTCTCCCTGAGGACTGCCATAGAAGTAGTCACTTCATGTCTGTGGCTCCCCACATACGGGTTGGGGACAGTGGCCAGAAAGCCAAACGCGTTGAGTGGGAGCCACTGAGCCCAACACAAGATCCCTCATATGGGAGGTAAAGCGTTCATCATCTGGCCCCTGGGTATTCAAATCAAACATGGCCTGCTGCATATCCATCTACTGGAATATCTGCACCAACTCAGTATATGATTTCTATTTACTCACAGATTCTGGTATTTCTCCAGCATCATTCCACACGTCCATATGGCTACCATCAGCCACTCAATGAAAGTGTGGTCACCTTGCCTCTGTGCTAACTGTTGGCATAGCTGCAGCTGCTAATGAAGGAAGAGGTGAGTTGTGATAGAAGCCAGCTTCTCTATCTCGGAGGTGGAGCAGAAAATGCTATCAGCTCCTTCAGCCCAAAGGCAAAGTAACCAGGCAGGAAAGGGCTCCCTCACATGATGCCAGTACTGCTTGACTAACTCTGGCAACTCCGTGGGGGTATAAACACTACGGGAAGTGTGTTCCACCATGGTGGGGTGGGGGGCTCCCTGGGCTCTCTCCTGGAGTCCCATTGGCTGCTCATGTTCTACCTTCTGACAGATTGTGGGGTGAGATCTCAGCAGAGGAGCCTCCTCCTCCTTGGCATCAGACCAAATGGGAGTGTCTGGTCAGGAGGACAGGCTCAAGGTTACACTGACAGCTGTTTCTAACTCCTGTTCCAGGCTGTTTATCTGGGCCTATAAGTGCCCTATTTGTGCCTGGAGGTCCTTCACCCCCAAGTTTTGCTCCAAGCTGTGCATTTAGGTGCCCAGGCATGCAGCTTGTGCCTGGAGGTCCCTTACCTGTGCAGTGTCCCACAGGAACTGAGCATGTACTTCCTGCAGTGCAGTCATAAATGCCCACTTGACTCTGCCAGCAGAGGTGCATTTCTTCTTGGTGCTGTGTGCTTCCAGCTGCTTCAGTGCCTTTCCCACACTCATGGGAGACCCTTCCATTGCCTCCCATGTTCCCATTGGGGCCCATCCAAGCAGTACCTCTGCCACCAGGTACCACAGCCCATGCTGCAGCCACGTAGCTGACCTGGGAGTCTCAGGGGCTGAAAACCCACTCATCTCATCCTGACGACTACACCTAATGTCAGGGTCAGTCCCCAGCTGAGGTCTGAGGGGAGTGGGTGGTGGGGGGCAGCTAGCTGGAAGAACACTTGAGAGACAGCAGGTAGATGAGACATGGCTTTATTCAGCAGCTCTTTCAATGTCAGTATTGCATTTATACGCTTCACAAACAATAGTGGCTTAGAGCCAGATGATGAGCCTCCCATGTTATGGCTACATAGCTGTTGATTATATAATGCATGGAATTGTGCACCTGTGCTCCGATCCTGCTGAGTCATGCAAGATGTTTACTTCAGCCTATGCCTGCCTGGCTGCACCACAGCTACATTCCTTACAGATGATTATGACTAAGACACTGAGTCTCAGAAAATAGGCACTCTATAGGGGATTTTAAGAAGTCCTTGCCAAATCTCTGTGAAGGTTTTCCTGTAGCAAAGAAGATTTGAAAAGGGTTGCCAATGAGAATGAGGGCTCTGGGTGCAGAGAAAGCAGCATAAAGGTTTTCAGTAAAAAAAGAGGGAGAGCTTTCTTGAATGAATACTGGAATCTCTGAAACCCTGCCCATCTCCTACTGCAGTCTTCTATGGCTGAGTGGAAGCCAATCTTGTCTGAAGGCGAGGAATGGCATAGAGCAGTTCTCACATTTGAGTAGGCATCAGAATCCCCTGGATGGATTCTTAAAACACGGATTTCTGGGCTTCATCTCCAGAGTTTTTCATTCATAAGTTCTGAGGTGGGACCCCAAGAAAGTGAGTTTTTGACATGTACTCAGGTGATGCTAATGCTGTTCTTGGGACCACACTTTAAGAACCACTGGTTCAGACCTGGATATCTTAGTTAAATTGCAGATTATCTTTTAGCAGATCTGGCATGGGGACTTAGATCCCCCGATGATATATATGCACATTAAAGTATGAGAAACAATCCAGCTTGGAGGCTTTTCGGCTTCACTGTGAATTAATGGAAAGTATTATTCTATCATGTCTACACATATATTTGCATCTATCTGCATAACAGCCTTAGAGGAAACAGGTAAAACTCAATATTTCAGACTTCTCTCATCTTCCTCCTGCAAGATTTGATTACTTTAGGTATAAAACGGGGTCAGCAAGTTTTCTTCAATGCTGAATCAATCTTTATATATCCCTGGTACAGATGGAAATAAGTGGCACGTTAGAGATATTGGCAACCTACTGCTTGCACCTACCCATGCTGAGCCCAACTGATTGTCCTGGCTGAGCCAATGAGGGGCAATCCAGTGCAGATCAAGTCAAGTGAAAGCAGCTGAGATATTTAACAGTGAATTTAGAGAAGACATTCCCAAATCCAACATATATGCATCAATGTCTATCATAACTCTAATCACAATACCTTCAGAATTTCTGCAGCATACTCCTCAACATGCAAACCATAGACCAGTAGTTTTTAAACTTGGATGCATAATAGAATCACAGATGATACTTATGAACAATGATTTCTGACTCCATTCCCTGATTGACTAAATCAGAATATTTAGGATGAAGCCAAAGTATTTCAATTTTTCACAAGCAGCCTATTATTCAGTGTTTATCAATGTTTAAAAAGGATCACCACAGTGAGAAACTCTTGAGATAAAGTTTTCTCTCTTCTAAGGCTTTTATGAGATGGCTCCATTTACCTTCAAATCTTGAATAGTCAAGAGAGTGACAGCTGTAGAAGAAAGATAGATAACTACTCACCTATGCTTTAGCAGGAGGAGATGAAAGAAGTAAGATAATTCCTGGTCTTCTATTTATCCCAAAAAAAAAAGGTTGTGTTTTGCAATGGTCACACAGAAGATTGAACTGGAATAAACACTGTTCCATGAATTCTGGCCTAAAAAATTTATGGCCTTTGAAATTGATTGAGCTTAACACCTGGAGTCATAATCCACAGCAAACAAGCAGCTGCTTCGGACTTTGCAGAGAATGAAAATCATATGTTTGGAACAGCCTTATTCTCAGGGGATAAGAAAGAAGGATATTCAGCTGGGATTGATGATGGGAAATCTCTGTCTGGAGATATTCTTTTATTACCAAACTTTGGGTCTTTCACCTGCATCTCTGTAGCCTGTTCCAGCAATACATAAAACACACACAGAAAAGGGTGCCCTAAGTGTGAAATTTTCGACTTGCTATGTCATTTGGATTTTAGGGATTTTGCATTTCAATAGGCTTTCCTGAAAAACTCCAGTTCTAATATTGAGAGAGGCAGACTTCACTTTTGCTGGAAGAGTAGCAAAGTACAATAAAATAAACACTGAATTGGGAATCAGGAGGCCTATGTTCTACCCAGACACTTTTACTAATAAACTCTCTGACATCATGATATCCTGATCCTCAGTTTCATCATTTCACAGTAAGAGAGTTGAGCAAATTGCTTTAGAAGGCCTCTCAGTTATAATGCTCTTATTTAGTAGATACCCAATATCAAGGATCAAGTAGTAAAGTGCTTAAGCACATAAGATTTGGTGTCAAGCTGTGTAAGTTCAAATCCAAGCTCTACTACTTAGCTGACCCTGGGCAAACTTTTTAAACTCTAAGAAACCCGGTTTTATTATCTATAAATGGGAATAATAGCAATATACCTGATAGATTTATGTCTGGCACATGACAAGTTTTCAGTAAGTTTATTATTCTTATGCTTATTCTTATTCTTATTGATTCTTCCCTGAATTGCCATACTCATTTTATAAGATGTCAGTAGATATTGAAAATGTGGTAGCAACCATGAGGGTCCCTGACAAAACTACTTTTTCTACCATGTCAAATGACAGTTCTAAAGAATTATTTTTAGTTTTCTTACTCTTTGCTAAATAATTAAACTGATCACGTCATTGTGCTACATTTTTTCAATGGCTCCCTATTATCTACAAAGAAAAGTCTCAACTCCTTGGAGTGGTATACAAGGCCCTCCATTATTTGGTCCTTGCACACGTCTCTAGCTTCACCTTTCACTGCTCTTTTCATAAGTTTTTGTTCTGGTCATAGAAGACTAATGGTGCAGTTCCTCACATACATCCTTTCCTGTTTCCAAAAATATCCATGCCATAGTTCTAGCTGTTCCTTCTAACTAAAGTGGTTTATCCTGATATTTTCAACTTCTAAATTTTTCCAGGGCCATCTTGTTACTTCAGTCTGTAGTCTTCTCTCTTTCTTCCAGATTCTCAAAGATTTTTGTATACTTCAGTCCTTAATTATCTTGAAAAGGAGGCGCCTTATCCTATGCCTTGTTCACTGCAGTATCCAGGGTATGGAGTAAATGCTAAGACTAGAACAGCTGGGTCTGACGTAGGGTAAACCATATAATTTGGCTAGTGCAAAGGTTGGAGTGGGGCAGGGGTTGATTTAATTTAAAAAATACTTTTTTTTTTTTTTTTTTAAAGGGAGGATGGTTCAGTGCACTGACATGAAAATAACTGATTTGGAGAGAGGTTGGGTGGTTTTGGGAGGTTGGGGAGATGTTGGTAAAAAGATAAAAAATTACAGTAAATAGGAGGAATAAATTCAAAAGATATACTATACAGCACAGTAACTATAGTTAATGATGCTAGATTGTATTGAAATATGCTAACAGTGGAGAAATATTCTCATCACAAAGTGATAACTATGTGAGGTAACTCATGTGTTAATTAGCTAGATTTAACAATGCCACAATTTATATATGTTTTAAAACATCATGCTGTTCATAGTAAACACAAAAAATGAAATTGTATCATTTTCAGCCACATGGATGAATCTGGATATTCTCACTTATGTTGGAGCTTAAAAAGTTTGTCTCATGGAGGTAGAGAGTACAGTGAAAGTTACCAGAGGCTTGAAAGGGCTAGGGGGCAGTTTAACTGTCAATTAAAATTAAAAAATAAATACATTTAAATATTCTAACAAAAGATTAATTTCAAGTTGGAGTAGGGATAAACCAATTTGCCCTAGCTGGCAGAACAAGCTTATATTAGAGAGTGATAGAATATTTTAAAAAGTCCTACTGTTCCCTATAAAAACATTATTATCTTTGTAGATTAAATGGATAAATTTAGCTCTGGTAATATTAATTAGAAGGATTCATACTGAACAAAATTTAAAACCATTAGCTACTGAATCAATGTTAGTCTGGTGTATGCTTTTTTTTTTGTATTTGACTCTCTCCTACTCAAAGTTTGGATATCTTACTCATAGATGAGAAATTTCCAATACTCAGATGGACAGTGTCAACAAAAAAGGAGATTCCCATCCCCGGAGATAATCAGTAAGAGGCAAAACTTTTTATTGCTTTTAATTTTAACATTTAGATTTTTTTAAATTGATACACAATAATTTTACATATCCATTGGGTAAATGTGATATTTTGATACGTACATACAATGTGTAATGATCAAATCAAGTTAATTAAGATATCCATCGCTTCAAACATTTATTGTTTCTTTGTGTTGGGAGTATTCCTTTTTTATTATTATACTTTAAGTTTTAGGGTACATGTGCACAATGTGCAGGTTAGTTACATATGTATACATGTGCCATGCTGGTGCGCTGCACCCACTAACTCGTCATCTAGCATTAGGGAATATTCCAAACTTTTTCTTCTAGCTATTTTGAAATTCACAATAAATTATTGCTAACTATAGTCACCCTACTGTGCTGTCAAACACTAGAACTTACTCTTTCTATCTAACTGTGTGTTTGTACCTATTAACCATCTCTTCATGCCCCCCTCCCCCCTCTGATGCTTCCCAGACTCTGGTAACTTTCATTCTACTCTCTATCTCCATGAGACAAACTTTTTAATCTCCCACTTAAGTGAGAACATCCAGTTCCATCCAAGTGGCTGCAAATGATGCGATTTCATTTTTTATTTTATTCCAATGTGGGTATATACAATATTTTCTTTATCCATTCATTCATTGAGAGACACTTAGGTTGAGTCCATATTTTGGCTATTGTGAATAGAGCTGCAATACACATGAAAGTGATGGTATGCCTTTGATATATTGATTTCCTTTCTTTAAAATAAATACCCAGTAGTAGAATGCTTGATCATATGGCAGTTATAATTTTAGTTTGTTGAGGAAGCTCCATACTGTTTTTCATACTGGATAGGATAATTTAAATTCCTACTAAGAGTGAGAATGGCTTCTTTTTATTCCACATTCTCACTAGCACTTGCTATTGTCTTTTTGATAATAGCCACTCTAAATGGAATGAGATGATAACCTTATTGTCGTTTTAATTTTCATTTCTCTGATGACTAGTGAAGTTGACCATTTTTTTCAAATGCCTGTTGTCCATTTGTATGTTTTCTGTGTAGAAATGTCTATTCAGGGGCCGGGTGCGATAGCTCATGCCTGTAATCCCAGCACTTTGGGAGGCCGAGGAGGGTGGATCACGAGGTCAGGAGATCGAGACCATCCTGGCTAACATGGTGAAGCCCTGTCTTTACCAAAAATAAAATAAAAAAAAAAAATAGCCAGACATGGTGGCAGGCACCTGTAGTCTCAGCTACTCAGGAGGCTGAGGCAGGAGCATCTCCTGAACCCGGCAGGCAGAAGTTACAGTGAGCCGAGATTGCGCCACTGCACTCCAACCTGGGCAACAGAGTGAGACTCCATCTCTAAACAACGACAACAACAAAACAAAAATAAATGTCTATTCATATCCTTTGCCCAACTTTTTAAAAAATATTTTTTTTTTTGAGACAGAGTATCACTCTGTCACCCAGGCTGGAGTGAGGTGGCATGATCTCAGCTCACTGCAACATCCGCCTCCCAAGTTCAAGCGATTCTCCTGCCTCTTCCTCTTAGAGTAGCTGAGATTACAGGTATTTGAGATCATACCTGGCTCATTTTTGTATTTTTTGTAGATGTGGGGACTCACCATGTTGCCCAGGCTGATCTTGAACTCCTGGCCTCAAGTGATCTGCCCACCTCAGTCTTTCAAAATGCTGGGATCACAGGCACAAACCACCATGCCCAACCAATTTGCCCACTTTTTAATGGGGGTTTATTTTCTTATTTTCTTTCTTTTTTTTTTCTTTCTTTCTTTTTTTTTTTTTTTTTTTTTTTTGAGACGCAGTCTCACTCTGTTGCCTAGGCTGGAGTGCAGTGCCATGATCTCAGCTCACTGCAAGCTCCACCTCCCGGGTTCATGCCATTCTCCTGCCTCAGCCTCCCGAGTAGCTGGGACTACAGGCACCCACCACCACACCCGGCTAATTTTTTTTGTATTTTTAGTAGAGAAGGGGTTTCACCGTGTTAGCCAGGATGGTCTCGATCTCCTGACTTCCTGATCCACCTGCCTCAGCCTCCCAAAGTGCTGGGATTACAGGCGGTGAGCCACCGCACTCGGCCCTTTAATGGGTTTATTTTCTAATTGTTTTGCCTTTGAGTTATTTCAGTTCCTTGTATTTTCTGGTTATTAGTGCCCTGTCAGATGAATAGTTTGCCAATATTTTCTCCCATTCAAGAAGTTATTTCTTCACTCTGTTGAATGTTTCCTTTTCTGTGCAGAAGCTTTTAAGTCTAATACAGTCCCATTTGTTTATTTTTGTTTTTACTATGTGTGCTTTTGAAGTTTTAGCCATAAAATTGTTGTCCAGACTAATGTCCTGCAAATTTCCCCCATTGTTTTCTTATAGTAGTTTTAACATTTCTGGTCTTATGTTTAAATCTTTAATCCATTTTGAATTGATTTTTGTATATGGTGAGAGATAGGGACCTAGTTTTATTCTTCTGCGTATGGATATCCAGTTTTCCTAAAACCATTTATTGTAAAGGGTGTTGTTTCCCCAATGTATGTTCTTGGTATCTTTCTCAAAAATCAGTTGGCTGTAAATGTATGGACTAATTTCTGGGTTCTCTATTCTGTTCCATTGGTCTATGTGTTTGTTGGTATGCCAGTACTATGCTGTTTTGGTTACTATAGCTTTGTTGTATATTTTTGAAGTCAGATAGTGTGATGCTTCCAGCTTCATACTTTTTGCTCAGATTTGTTGTATCTATTTGGGGTCTCTTGTAGTTCCACACAAATTTTAGGATTGTTTTTCTATTTCTGTGAAGAATGTCATTGGCATTTTGACAAACATTACATTGAATCTGTACATTGCTTTGGGTAATATGGTTATTTTAACAATATTAATACTTTTGATTCATGAACATGGGATGTCTTTCTATTTATTTGTGTCCTTTTCAATTTATTCCACCAGTTTTCTCTGCATGGTCTTTCACCTCCTTAGTAAAATTTATTCCTAGGGGTTTTTTCTTATAGTTATTGTAAATGGGATTGCTTTCTTGATTTCTTTTACAGCTAGTTAATTATTGCATTATAGAAGTGCTACTGATTTTTTATGTTGATTTACTGTCCTCCTGAAAGTTTACTGAATTCATTGACAGTTCTTAGAGTTTTTCTTGGTGAAGTCTCTAGGGTTTCTTTTTTATTTATTTATTTATTTTGCATATAAGATTATGTCATCTGCAAAATAAATTGACTTCCTCTTTTGCAATTTTTTTTGTTTTAGCTGTTATTTGTAACTCTATGACATAAATATTGCATATCTTTTTTATTTTTCACCAAACAACTCATGAACAGGTACTGAGGACTCACCAGATCAAATCGACAGGTGTTTAACTTAATTTCGTTGAAACAACAGCAACAGCAAAAACAAACCACTGGCTGAGGATGAGCTGTGTGCCAGGCCTTGTGCTAAGTCTGAAAGTTCATGAGGTGTAAAGCAAGATTCCCTTTGTGGAGAGCATACCTGCAGTGAGTAAACAGGAGGGCAACGGAGAGGAAAACATGGAAATGCCAGGAAGCATAAAATAGGATCCCAATTATTAAGAGGACAGTAGTTTCCAAATATTGTTCTATGAAACACATTTTTCAGAGGCCTTCAAGAGGGAATCCTCAAACTTTTCAATTCAAATTTCCTTTTTTTAAATTTTTATTCCAACTTTTGTTTTAGGTTCAGGGAGTACATGCACATGTTTGCTACATGGGTAAATTGTGTGCCATAGGTGTTGGGTGTAAAGATTATTTTATCACCCAGGTAATGAGCATAGTACCTGATAGGCAGTTTTTTGACCCTCACTCTCTTCCCACCCTGCACCTTCAAGAATTAGCTAGTGTCTATTGTTATCTTCTTTGTGCCCATGTGTACTCAAAGTTTATCTACCACTTATAAAAGAGAACATGTCGTATTTGGTTTTATCCTCCTTCATTAATTCACTTAGGGTAATATGAACCACATTTTCTTTACCCAATCTGCCATTAATGGACATTTAGGTTGATTCTATGTCTTTGCTGTTGTGAACACGGCTGCTATGAATATATGCATATGTGTGTCTTTATGGTAGAGTAATTTTTTTTTCTTTACGTATATATATGCAACAATGGGATTGCTGAATCAGTTGGAAGTTCTGTTTTAAGTTTTTTGAAAAATCTCCAAACTGCCTTCCAGAGTAGCTGTACTAATTTACATTCCCACCAAAAGGGTATAAGCATTTCCTTTACTCCATAGCCTCACCAGCATCTGTTTTTTGACTTTTTAGTAACAGCCATTCTGACTGGTGAGAGATGGTATCTCCTTGTGGTTTTTATTTGAATTTCTCTTATAGTTAGTGCTGCTGACCATTTTTTTTTCATATGCTTGTTGGTCGCATGTATACCTTCTTTTGAGAAGTGTCTATTCATATCCTTTGCCAATTTTTAATGGAGCTTTTGCTTTTTGCTTGTTGATTTGTTTAAGTTTTGCATAGATTCTTCATATTAGACCATTGTTGGATGCATACTTTGAGAATATTTTCTCTCATTCCGCTGGTTTTCTGTTTACTCTGTTGATCGTTTCTTTTGCTGTGCAGAAGGTCTTTAGTTTAATTAGGATCCACTTGTCAATATTTGTTTCTGTTGCAATTGTTTCTGGGGCCTTAGCCACATATTCTTTGTCAAGGTTCATGTCAAGAAGGGAATTCCCTAGGTTGACTTCTGGGATTTTTATAGTTTGAGGTCTTACATTTAAATTTCTAATTCATCTTGAGTTAATTTTTCTATATGGTGAAAGATAAGGCTTTAGCTTCATTCTTCTGCCTATGGCTAGCCAGTTATCTCAGCACAATCTATCGAATAGACCCTTTCCCCATTGCTTGCTTTTGTCAGCCTTGTCAAAGATCAGATGATAGTACATACGTGGCTTTATTTTGGAGTTTTCTATTCTGTTACATTGGTTTATGTGTTTGTTTTTGAGGAGTACCATGCTGTTTTGATTACTCTAGCATTACTGTATAGTTTAAGTCAGGTAGTGTGATGCCTACAGCTTTTTTATTTCTTATGATTGCTTTGACTATTTGGGGTATTTTTTGGTTCCATATGAATTTTAGAGTAGATTTATTTCTAATCCTGTGAGGAATGACATGGTAGTTTAATAGAAATAGCATTCAATCTGTAAATTACTTTGGGCAGTATGGCCATTTTAATATTTATTTTTCCAATCCATGAGCATGGAATGTTTTTCCACTTATTTGTGTTGTCTGTGATTTCTTTCAGCAGTGTTTCATAGTTCTTTTTGTAGAGAATTCCCATCTCCTTGGGTGGCTGTATTCCTAGGTATTTCATTTTCTTTATGGCTATTGTAAATGGGATTGTATTCTTCATTTGACTCTCAGCCTGGGTATTATTGGTGTATAAAAATACTACTCATTCCTGTTGATTGATTTTGTATCCTGAAACCTTGCTAAAATCACTTATGAGTTATAGCAGCCTTCTGAAAGAGTCTTTCAGGTTTTCTAAGTACAGAATTATATAGTCAGTGAGGAGAGATAGTTTGACTTCTTTTCGTATTTGAATGTTCAGATTCTATTTCTGATTTGACTTCTCTTGCTATTTCTACCACATCTGCAGTTATTTATTCCACTAAAAATTTAAAGCTCTCAAAGTCAACCATGAATGTTAGAATCAACTTCTTCCAAAGTCCTGTTAATATTGATATTTTTACTTCCTCCCATGCATCACGAATGTTCTTAATAGCATCTATAATCTTCAAATTTTTCAGAAGGTTTTTAATTTACTTTAAATTAAATTCGCCAGATTCGCCAGAAAAAAAAATCATTATCTATGGCATCTATTGCCTTATGAAATGTATTTCTTATATAAGAAGACTTGAAAATAAAAATTGCTCCTGATTCATGGGCTGAAGAATAGATGACATGCTAGTAGGCATAAAAACAACATTGTCAATGATCAGTAATGTTTTTAAATGAATATTTCTTTTCTGAGCAACAGGTCTCAACAGTGGGCTTATAATATTTAGTAAACCATGCTGTAAACAGTTTGCTGTCATCCAGGCCTTGTTGTTGCATTTAAGAAGCACAGGTAGAATAGATTTAGCATAATTCTTCAGGGCCCTATGATTTTTTGAGTGGTGAATTAGCATTGGTTTTAACCTAAAGTCACCATCTGAATAATCCATAATAAGAGTCAGCCCATTATTTGAAACTTTGAAGCCAAGCATTGACATTTCTATAGCTACAGAAGTCCAAGATGGCATCTTCCTCCAATAGAAGGCTGTTTCATTTACATTGATACTTGCTGCTCTACCTTGGCCTTTTATGTTATAAAAATGGCTCCTTCCCTTAAATCTCATGAACCAATGCCTGCTGGCTTTAAAGTTTTCTTCCGTAGCATCCTCACGTCTCTAAGCTTTCACAGATTTGAAGAGAGCTAGGGTCTTTCTCTGTGTTGGGCTTTTGTTTAAGGGAATGTCACGATTGATTTGATCTTCTATCCAGACAACGAAAGCTCTCTTGATATCAGCAATAAAACTATTTAATTTCTATTCATTAATCTGTTCACCGAAGTAGCACTTTAAATTTCCTTCAAGAACATTTCTTCTGCATTTTTTTTTCTTTTTTTAATTTTAATTTTAATTTAATTTTATTATTATTATACTTTAAGTTTTAGGTTACAGGTGCACAATGTGCAGGTTAGTTACACATGTATACATGTGCCATGCTGTTGTGCTGCACCCATCAACTCGTCATTTAGCATTAGTTATATCTCCTCATGCTATTCCTCCCCCCTCTCCCCACCCCACAACAGTCCCCAGAGTATGATGTTTCCCTTCCTGTGTCCATGTGTTCTCTTTGTTCAATTCCCACCTATGAGTGAGAATATGTGGTGTTTGGTTTTTTGTCCTTGTGATAGTTTACTGAGAATGATGATTTCCAATTTCATCCATGTACCTACAAAGGACATGAACTCATCATTTTTTATGGCAGCATAGTATTCCATGGTGTATATGTGCCACATTTTCTTAATCCAGTCTATCATTATTGGACATTTGGGTTGGTTCCAAGTCTTTTCTATTGTGAATAGTGCTGCAATAAACATACGTGTGCATGTGTCTTCATAGCAGCATGATTTATAGTCCTTTGGGTATATACCCAGTAATGGGATGGCTGGGTCAAATGGAATTTCTAGTTCTAGATCCCTGAGGAATCGCCACACTGACTTCCACAATGGTTGAACAAGTTTACAGTCCCACCAACAGTGTAAAAGTGTTCCTACTTCTCCACATTCTCTCCAGCACCTGTTGTTTCCTGACTTTTTAATGATTGCCATTCTAACTGGTGTGAGATGGTATCTCGTGGTGGGTTTGATTTGCATTTCTCTGATGACCAGTGATGGTGAGCATTTTTTCATGTGTTTTTTGGCTGCATAAATGTCTTCTTTTGAGAAGTGTCTGTTCATGTCCTTCACCCACTTTTTGAGGGGGTTGTTTGATTTTTTCTTGTAAATTTGTTTGAGTTCATTGTAGATTCTGGATATTAGCCCTTTGTCAGATGTGTAGGTTGCAAAAATTTTGTCCCATTTTGTAGGTTACCTGTTCACTCTGATGGTAGTTTCTTTTCCTGTGCAGAAGCTCTTTAGTTTAATTAGGTCCCATTTGTCAATTTTGGCTTCTGTTGCCATTGCTTTTGGTGGTTTAGACATGAAGTCCTTGCCCATGTCTATGTCCTGAATGGTAATGCCTAGGTTTTCTTCTAGGGTTTTTATGGTTTTAGGTCTAACGTTTAAGTCTTTAATCCATCTTGAATTAATTTTTGTATAAGGTGTAAGGAAGGGATCCAGTTTCAGCTTTCTACATCTGGCTAGCCAGTTTTCCCAGCACCATTTATTAAATAGGAAATCCTTTCCCCATTGCTTGTTTTTCTCAGATTTGTCAAAGATCAGATAGTTGTAGATATGTGGCATTATTTCTGAGGGCTCTGTTCAGTTCCATTGATCTATGTCTCTGTTTTAGTAGCAGTACCATGCTGTTTTGGTACTAAATTCTGTAGCCTTGTAGTATAGTTTGAAGTCAGGTAGCGTGATGCCTCCATCTTTGTTCTTTTGGCTTAGGATTGACTTGGTGATGTGGGCTCTTTTTTGGTTCCATATCAACTTTAAAGTACTTTTTTCCAATTCTGTGAAGAAAGTCATTGCTAGCTTGATTGGGATGGCATTGAATCTATAAATTACCTTGGGCAGTATGGCCATTTTCACAATATTGATTCTTCCTACCCATGAGCATGGAATGTTCTTCCGTTTCTTTGTATCCTCTTTTATTTCATTGAGCAGTGGTTTGTAGTTCTCCTTGATGAGGTCCTTCATGTGCCTTGTAAGTTGGATTCCTAGGTATTTTATTCTCTTTGAAGCAATTGTGAATGGGATTTTGGAACTGGTTCCATTCCTTCTGAAACTATTCCAATCAATAGAAAAAGAGGGAATCCTCCCTAACTCATTTTATAAGGCCAGCATCATCCTGATACCAAAGCTGGGCAGAGACACAACCAAAAAAGAAAATTTTAGACCAATATCCTTGATGAACATTGATGCAAAAATACTCAATAAAATACTGGCAAACCGAATCCAGAAGCACATCAAAAAGCTTATCCACCATGATCAAGTGGGCTTCATCCCTGGGATGCAGTGCTGGTTCAATATATGCAAATCAGTAAATATAATCCAGCATATAAACAGAACCAAATACAAAAACCACATGATTATCTCAATAGATGTAGAAAAGGCCTTTGACAAAATTCAACAACGCTTCATGCTAAAAACTCTCAATAAATTAGGTATTGATGGGATGTATCTCAAACTAATAAGAGCTGTCTATGACAAACCCACAGCCAATATCATACTGAATGCGCAAAAACTGGAAGCATTCCCTTTGAATACTGGCACAAGACAGGGATGCCCTCTCTCACCACTCCTATTCAACATAATGTTGGAAGTTCTGGCCAGGGCAATTAGGCAGGAGAAGGAAATAAAGGGTATTCAATTAGGAAAAGAGGAAGTCAAATTGTCCCTGTTTGCAGATGACATGATTGTATATCTAGAAAACCCCATTCTCTCAGCCCAAAATCTCCTTAAGCTGATAAGCAACTTCAGCAAAGTCTCAGGATACAAAATCAATGTGCAAAAATCACAAGCATTCTTATACACCAATAACAGAAAAACAGAGAGCCAAATCATGAGTGAACTCCCTCTTCTGCATTTTCAACTTTGTTAATTATTTGGTTCAAGAGGCCTAGCTTTCAACCTATCTTGAGTTTCAACATGCCTTCCTCAGTAAGCTTAATCCTTTTTAGCTTTTGATTTTAAATACAAGTTGTGTGACTCTTCCTTTCACTGGAACTCTTGGAGACCATTGTAAGGTTATTACTTGGCCTAATTTAAATATTGTGTCTCAAGGTCTCCAGGAATATGGGGTTCTTAGGACAAGGAGAAAAATGGGAAACAGCTTCTTGGTGGAGCAGTCAGAACACACACAACATTCATTAAGCTCACAATCCCCTGTGGTTTGTGGCACCCCCAAGCAATTACAATAGTAACATCAAATATCACTAATCACAAATCACCATAGCAGATATATTAGTGAAAATGTTTAAAATGTTGTGAGAATTACCAAAATGTGACATGAAGATATGATGTGATCACATGCTCTTGGAAAAATTGTGCTGGAAGACTTGCTTGATACAAGGTTGCCACAAATCTTCAATTTTAAAAAACAAAATATCTGAAAAGGACAATAAAGTAAATGAAATAAAATAAGGCATTCTTTTGCTACTATAAGAAGTTCATATTGGGAGAAAATAGGTGCTGAACATATGGAAACTCTGTGTTATCTTCACTTTTTTTGTAAATCAAACTGTTCTAAAAATAAAGTTTATTAAAAATGTCACAGGGTTGGGTGCGGTGGCTCACACCTGTAATCCCACCACTTTGAGAGGTCAAGGTGGGCAGATCGCTTGAGTTCAAGAGTTTGAGACCAGCCTAGCCAACATGGCGAATCCCCATCACTACTAAAAATCCAAAAATTAGCCGGGTGTGGTGGTGCACTCTGTAGTTCCAGTGACTCGGGAGGCTGAGGCAGGAGAATCACTTGAACCCAGGATGCAGAGGTTGCAGTGAGCCAAGATTGTGCCACTGCACTTCAGCCTGGGTGACAGAACCAGACTCCATCTCAAAAGAAACAAACAAACAAAAAATGTCATGGGAAGCCATTTGTGTATTTTAAGTAGGTATGGGATAATGAAAGTGATGTGATTATGTTTACGCTTTGAGAAGATCACTCTGGCTGTTGGAGTCAAGACCTGTAGAGCAGTGTGGAAATAAGTAAAGACCAATGGCATGAGAACAAGAAAAGTCTATTTATTCAGAATTTGCTATAGAAAGGGAGTCAACTATCATCACTTGCATTTTGGCAGACACTCAAAGGCAGGCAGAGAAGTGTAAAAGTTTTATAGTGAAAAAATGGAAGGCTTCAAATATGTCCTTGTTAGAGGCTGTTGGCATGGAGAAGCTGTAGGCAGGTTAACTGGAAGTGGAGCATCGTAGGTGATTGGCTAGAGATGCATATTTGACTTTCTCTTTTTGGTCTTAAGTTGAAAGCAGGCCCTAAATTTAAAACTTCTCCAAGATTAGGGAGGCTATAAGTTATCAATCATTCCCAGGCCATTTGGGAACAATTATTCCAGGGGTTATTATTTGGCTTTCTGGGCCACTTAGGAGAAATGGTAGCCAGACTTTCTACAAGTTTGACATAGATAGTTGGCTTCCTGTGTTGGTCACTGTAGAAAATGGACTGGTTTCCTAGGCACGTTGCTGCAGGTTGTGAATCAGAGTTCTAACTTTATATATGGTCTGGTCATGTTTTGTTAGTATGTTTAGTCTCTCTGCAGTACAAATGAAATCTATGGATGCTTAGAGTCTACACAAGGCTGCAAAAAAGAGGAGCTAGTGAAAAAAAATGAGTGATATCTAAAACTGTAAGTTGAATGTGACTCTACTTTGACCTTTAAAAAGATACTTGACCTGCAGTGTTATAACAAAAGTGTTGAAGTAGGTGACTTTATCTATTGGGTTCTCTTGCCTTTTTGATGTTCTGGCATTTGTGTTGGTTCATACTCTTTTGGGGATCTCCTTATGTCAAGCATCTTATTTTATATGTACCATCCTCCCTAGCTTCTGCTGATCCTGCTTTTTGGAATTAAGAATTCCCAAACAGGTTGCTTCCAAGACGGCTGAATAGGAACAGCTCCAGTCTACAACTCCCAGTGAGATCGATGCAGAAGGTGGGTGATTTCTGCATTTCCAACTGAGGTACCTACTTCATTTCATTGAGACTGGTTGGACAGTGGGTGCAGCCCATAGAGGGTGAGCAGAAGCAGGGTGGGGTGTCACCCCACCTGGGATGTGCAAGGGGTGGGGAGATTTCCCTTTTTTAGTCAAGGTAAGCTGTGAGTGACTGTACCTGGAGGATCAGTACACTGCTGCCCAAATGCTGGTCTTTTCCCACAGTCTTCACAACCAGCAGACCAGGAGAGTCTCTCCTGTGCCTGGCTCTGTGGGTCCCACACCCATGGAGCCTTGCTTGCTGCTAGTGCAGTAGTCTGAGATTGACCTGGAATGCTGAAGCTTGGTGAGGGAAGGGACATCTATCATTGATGAAGCTTGAGTAGGCAGTTCTATGCTTACAGTGTAAACAAAGTGGCAGGGAAACTAGAACTGGGCAGAGACCACCACAGCTCAGCAAGGCCTACTGCCTCCCTAGATTCCACCTCTGGGGGCAGGGCATATCTGAACAAAAGACAGCAGACAGCTTCTGCAGACTTAAACGTCCCTGCCTGACAGCTCTGAAGAGAGCAGTGGTTCTCCCAGAAGAGTGTTTGAGATCCAATAAGGGACAGACTGCCTCCTCAAGTGGGTCCCTGACCCACGTATAGTCTGACTGGGAGACACCTCCCAGTAGGGGCTGACTGACACCTCATAAAGGCGAGTGCCCCTCTGAGATGAAGCTTCCAGAGGAAGGGTCAGGCAGAAATATTTGCTATTCTGCAGCCTGCGCTGGTGATACCCAGGCAAACGGTCTGGAGTGGACCTCTGGCAAACTCCAACAGACCTGCAGCTGAGGAGCCGGTATGTTAGAAGAAAACCTAACAAACAGAAAGGGATAGTGTTAACATCAACAAAAATGACATCCGCACCAAAACCCCATCTATAGGTCACCAACATCAAAGACCAAAGATAGATAAAATCACAAAGATGGGGAGAAACCAGAGCAGAAAGGCTGAAAATTCCAGAAACAAGAATGCCTCTTCCCCTCCAAAGGAACACAACTCCTCACCAGCAAGGGAACAAAACTGGATGGAGAATGAGTTTGACAGGTTGACAGAGGTAGACTTCAGAAGGTTGGTGATAACAAACTTCTCCAAGCTAAAGGAGCATGTTCTAACCCATAGCAAGGAAGCTAAAAACCTTGAAGAAAGGTTAGACGAATGGCTAACTAGAATAACTGTATAGAGAAGACCTTAAATGACCCGATAGAGCTGAAAACCACAGTACAAGAAATTCATGAATCATACACAAGCTTCAATAGCTGACTTGATCAAGCAGAAGAAAGGATATCAGTGATTGAAGATCAAATTAATGAAATAAAGTGAGAAGACAAGATTAGAGGAAAAAGAGTGAAAAGAAACAAACAAAGCCTCCAAGAAATATGGAACTATATGAAAAGACCAAATCTATGTTTGATTGGTGCACCTGAAAGTGACAGGGAGAATGGAACCAAGTTGGAAAACACTCTGCAGGATATTATATAGGAGAAATTCCCCAACCTAGCAAGGCAGGCCAACATTGAAATTCAGAGGAAATACAGAGAACACCACAAAGATACTCCTCGAGATTATCAACCCAAGACACATATTTGTCAGATTCACCAAGGTTGGAATGAAGGATAAAATGTTAAGAACAGCCAGAGGGAAAGGTCTGGCTACCCACAAAGGGAAGCCCATCAGACTAATAGCAGATGTCTCAGCAGAAACCCTACAAGCCAGAAGAGAGTAGGGGCCAATATTCAACATTCCTAAAGAAAAGAATTTTCAACCCAGAATTTCATATTCAGCCAAACTAAGCTTCATAAGTGAAGGAGAAATAAAATTCTTTACAGACAAGCAAATGCTGAGAGATTTTGTCACCAATAGGCCTGTCTTACAAGAATTCCTGAAGGAAGCACTAAACATGGAAAGGAACAACCAGTACCAGCCACGGCAAAAACATGCCAAATTGTAAAGACCATCCATGCTATGAAGAAACTGCATCAATTAGTGGGTGAAATAACCAGCTAGCAACATAATGACAGAATCAAATTCACACATAACAATATTAACCTTAAATGTAAATGGGCTAAATGCCCCAATTAAAAGACACAGAGTGGCAAATTGGATAATGAGCCAAGACCCATCGGTGTACTGTATCCAGGAGACCCATCTCACATGCAAAGACACACATAGGCTCAAAATAAAGGGATAGAAGCAGGTCTACCAAACAATTGGAAAGCAAAAAAAAAAAAAAAAAAAAAAATAACAAGAGTTTCAATCCTGGTCTCTGATAAAACAGACTTTAAACCAACAAAGATTAAAAAAAGACAAAGAAGGGCAATACATAATGATAAAGGGATCAATTCAACAAGAAGAGATAACTATCCTAAATATATATGCACTCAATACAGAAGCACCCAGATTAACAGAGCTAGTTCTTAGAGACCCACGAAGAGACTTAGACTCCCACACAATAATAATGGGAGACTTTAACACCCCACTGTCCATATTAGACAGATCAATGAGACAGAAAATTAACAAAGATATCCAGGAATTGAACTCAGCTCTGGACCAAGCAGGCCTAATAGACATCTACAGAGCTATCCACCCCAAATCAACAGAATATACATTCTTCTCGGCACCACATTGAACTTATTCTAAAGCTGACCACACAAATGGAAGTAAAACACTCCTCAGAAAATGTAAAAGATCAGAAATAACAAAAACTGTCTCTCAGGCTACAGAGCAATCAAATTAGAACTCAGAATTAAGAAACTCACTGAAAACCGTACAACTACATGGAAACTGAATAACCTCCTCCTGAATGACTACTGAGTAAGTAACAAAATGAACGCAGAAATAAAGATGTTCTTTGAAACCAATGAGAACAAACATACAACGTACAAGAATCCCTGGGATACATTTAAAGCAGTGTGTAGAGGGAAATCTATAGCACTAAATGGCCACAAGAGAAAGCAGGAAAGATCTAAAATCAACACCCTAATGTCACAATTTCAAGAACTAGAGAAGCAAGAACAAACACTTCAAAAGCTAGGAGAAAACAAGAAATAACTAAGACCAGAGAAGAACTGAAGGACATAGAGAAACAAAAAACCCTTCAAAAAATCAATGAATCCAGAAACTGTTTTTTTCGAAAGATCAACAAAGTAAATAGACCACTACCCAGATTAATAAAGAAGAAAAGAGAGAAGAATCAAATAGACTCAATAAAGAATGATAAAGGGGATATCACCACCGATCTCAGAGAAATACAAACTACCATCAGAGAATACTATAAACAACTCTACGCAAATAAATTAGAAAATCTAGAAGAAATGGATAGACTCCTGGACACATACACCCTCCCAAGACTAAACCAGGAAGAAGTTGAATCTCTGAATAGACCAATAACAGGTTCTGAAATTGAGGCAATAATTAATAGCTTACCAACCAAAAAAAGTCCAGGAGCAGACAGATTCACAGCTTAATTGTACCAGAGGTACACAGAGGAACTGGTACCATTTCTTCTGAAGCTATTTCCTTTTTTTTTTTATACTTTCAGTTTTAGGGTACATGTGCACAACGTGCAGGTTAGTTACATATGTATACATGTGCCATGTTGGTGTGCTGCATCCATTAACTCGTCATTTAACATTAGGTATATCTCCTAATGCTATCCCTCCCCCCTCCCCCCACCCCACAACAGGCCCCAGTGTGTGATGTTCCCCTTCCTGTGTCCATGTGTTCTCATTGTTCAATTCCCACCTATGAGTGAGAACATGCGGTGTTTGGTTTTTTGTCCTTGCAATAGTTTGCTTAGAATGATGGTTTCCAGCTTCAATAGAAGCTTCAATAGAAACAGGAGTCCTCCCTAACTCATTGTATTAGGCCAGCATCATCCTGGTACCAAATCCTGGCAGAGACACATAAAAAAAAGAGAATTTTAGGCCAATATGCACATGAAGATTGATGTAAAAATCCTCAATAAAATACTGTCAAACTGTATCCAGAAGCACATCAAAAACCTCATCCAACACAAACGAGTCGGCTTCATCCCTAGGATGCAAGGCTGGTTCAACATATGCAAATCAATAAATGTAATCTGTCACATAAACAGAACCAACGAAAAAATCATATGATTATCTCATTAGATGCAGAAAAGGTCTTCGACAAAATTCACAGCTTTTCATGCTAAATACTCTCAATGAACTAGGTATTGATGGAACATATCTCAAAATAATAACAACTACTTAGAGCAAACCCACAGCCAATATCATACTAAATAGGCAAAAATTGGAAGCATTCCCTTTGAAAACTGGCACAAGACAGGGATGCCGTCTCTCACCACTGCTGTTCAACGTAGCATTGGCCAGGGCAATGAGGCAAGAGAAAGCAATAAAGCATATTCAAACAGGAAAAGAGGAAGTCAAATTGTCTCTGTTTGCAGGTGACATGATTGTATATTTAGAAAACCCCATCATCTCAGCCCAAAATCTCCTTAAGCTGATAAGCAACTTCAGCAAAATCTCATGATACAAGATCAATGTGCAAAAATCACAATCATTCCTATACACCAAGAACAGACAAACGGACAGCCACACGATGAGTGAACTCTCATTCCTAATTGCTCCTAAGAGAATAAAATACCTAGGAATCCAACTTACAAGGGATGTGAAGGACCTCTTTAAGGAGAACTACAAATCACTGCTCAATGAAATAAAAGAGGACAGAAGCAAATGGAAGAACATTCCATGCTCATGGGTAGGAAGAATCAATATCGTGAAAATGGCCATACTGCCCAAGGTAATTTATAGATTCAATGCTATCCCCATCAAGCTACCAATGACTTTCTTCAGAAAACCAGAAAAAACTACTTTAAATTTCATATGAAACCAGAAAGGAGCCCGCATAGCCAAGACAATCCTAAGCAAAAAGAACAAAGCTGGAGGCATTACACTACCAGACTTCAAACTATACTGCAAGATTACAGTCACCAAAACAGCATGATACTGGTACCAAAACAGAGATATAGACCAATGAAACAGAACAGAGGCCTCAGAAATAACATCACACATCTACAACCATCTGATCTTTGACAAACCTAACAAAAACAAGCAATGGAGAAAGGATTTGCTATTTAATAAATGGTGCTGGGATAACTGGCTAGCCATATGTAGAAAGCTGAAACTGGATCCCTTCCTTACACCTTACACAAAAATTAACTCAAGATGAATTAAAGACTTAAATGTAAGACCTAGAACCTTAAAAACCCTAGAAGAAAACCTAGGCAATACCATTCAGGACATAGGCATGGGCAAAGACTTCATGACTAAAACATCAAAAGCAATAGCAACAAAAGCCAAAATAGACAAGTGGGATCTAATTAAACTAAAGAGCTTCTGCACAGCAAAAGAAACTACCAACAGAGTGAACAGGCAACCTACAGAATGGGAGAAAATTTTTGCAATCTATCCATCTGACAAAGGGCTAATAGAACTTAAACAAATTTACAAGAAAAAAAACAAAAAACCCCATCAAAAAGTGGGCAAAGGATATGAACAGACACTTCTCAAAAGAAGACATTTATGCAGCCAACAGACATATGAAAAAATGCTCATCATCACTGGTCAACAGAAAAATGCAAATCAAAACCACAATGAGATACCATCTCACACCAGTTAGAATGGCGATCATTAGAAAGTCAGGAAACATCAGATAATGGAGACGATGTGGAGAAACAGAAATGCTTTTATGCTGTTTTTGGAGTGTAAATTAGTTCAACCATTGTGGAAGACAGTGTGGCAATTCCTCACGGATCTAGAACTAGAAATACCATTTGACCTAGCAATCCCATTGTTTGATGTATACCCAAAGGAATATAAATCATGCTAGTATAAAGACACTTGCACATGTATGTTTACTGCGGCACTATTCACAATAGCAAAGACTTGGAACCCACCCAAATGTCCATCAATACTAGACTGGATAAAGAAAATGTGGCACATATACACCATGGAATACTATGCAACCATAAAAAAGGATGAGTTCATGTCCTTTGCAGGTACATGGATGAAGCTGGAAACCATCATTCTCAGCAAACTATCACAAGGACAAAAAACCAAACACCTCATGTTGTCACTCATACGTGGGAATTGAACAATGAGAACACATGTACACAGAGAGGGGAACATCACACACTGGGGCCTGTTGGACAGTGGAGGGCTGGGGGAGGGAGAGCGTTAGGAGAAATAGCTAATGTAAATGATGAGTTGATGGGTGCAGCAAACCAACATGGCATATGTATACCTATGTAAAAAACCTGCATGCTCTGCACATGCACCCTAGAACTTAAGGTATAATAATAATAATAAGAAGAAGAATTCCCAAACACCCCATGTCCCTATTGTACTGTTGGTCATTTTATACTTTCTAGTTCAGGAGACAGAATTGTCAGGGTTATCAACTGGTCAAAAAAACTTATGATGAGCTTATAAAAGAAGGCTAGAGGTTTCGTTTATCTAGCTACAGTTGCATTTTTATTTATTTTATAGATTTATTTATTTAGTTTTCATGTCTCCTGAATATCTTTTATTTCTTTATTTTATTTTGTTTTTATAGATTAGGGGGTATTATTGCAGTTTTGTTACATGGATATATTGCATAGTGATGAAGTTTGGGCTTTTAGTGTAATCATCACCTTAATAGTGTATATTTTATCCATTAGTAATTTCTCTTCTCTCAAAATTCTTCCACCCTCCCATCTCTCAGAGTCTCCAATGTATATTATTCCACTCTCTGTGTCCATATGTATACATTATTTAGCTCCCACTTATAAGTGAGAACGTCTGGTATTTGACTATCTGTTTCTGAATTATTTCACTTAATATAATGGCCTGCAGTTCCAAGTTCCACCCATGTTGCTTCAAATGACATGATTTTATTCTTTTTTATGGCTGAATTGTATTCCGTGTGTGCGTGTGTGTGTGTGTGTGTGTGTGTGACATTTTCTTTATCCAATCATCTGTTGATGGCGGACACTTACGATGATTCCATATCTTTGCTTTTGTGAATAGTGCTATTATAAACAGGTATCTTTTTGATATAATGATTTCCTTTCTTTTGGGTAGATATCCAGTAGTAAGATTTCTGGGTTGAGTGGTAGTTTTATTTTTAGTTCTTTAAGAAATTAATTTGGCTTTATGAGAAATTATACTTTTTCCATGGGGACTCTACTAATAAACATTCCAAGCAGCAGTGTATAATTATTCACTTTTCTTTACATTTTTGCCAACATCTTTTTTTTTTTGACATTTAATAGTAGCCATTGTTACTGGTATAAGATGATATTTCATTGTGGTCTTAATTTGCTTTTTCTGATGATTAGTTATGTCAAACTTTTTTTTAACATGCTTGTTGACCATTTGTACATCTTCTTGTGAAAAATGTCTACTAATGTCTTTTGACCACTTTTTAATGGGGTTATTTGCTTTTATCTCTTCAGTTGTTTGTGTCTGGATCTTACTCCTTTGTCAAATGCATAGTTTGCAAATACTTTCTCCCATTTTGTATGCTGTCTGTTCTCTCTGTATCTTTTGCCATGCAGAAGCTTTTTAGTTTCATTGAATCCCATTAGCCTACTTTTGTTTTTGTTGCATTTGCTTTTGAGGTCTTAGTTATAAACTCTTTGCCAAGGCTAATGTCGAGAGAACTTTTTCCAAAGCTTTCTTTAAATAAAGTTTTTATAATTACAGGTATTATAATTTAAGTATTTAATCCATCTTGAGTTAATTTTTATACATGGTGAGACATAGGAGCTTAGTGTCATTCTTCTGCATATGGCTATCCAATTTTCACAGCACTATTTATTGAATAGGGTGTCCTTGCCACAGTGTATGTTTTATTGTCAACTTTATAAAAATCAGTTGGTTGCAGGTATGTGGCTTAATGTCTGGGTTCTCTCTTCTGTTTTATTTATCTCATGTGTCTATTTTTATTTCAGTACCATGTTGTTTTGGTTCCTATAATCTTGTGGTATAATTTGAAGTAAGGTAATATGATGCTTCCAGTTGTGCTATTTGTGCTTAGGATGGCTATTTGGACTCTTTTATTTTCTGGTTATGTTTTTATTTTTGGATTATTTTTCTAACTGTGTAAAATAATAATATATTGATAAGCACTGCATTGTCTGTAGATCGCTTTGTGCCATGTATTCATTTTAATGATATTGATTCTTCCAACCCATGAGCTTGGGAAATTTCACCATTTATCTTTGTCTTCTACAGTTTATTTACCAACCTTCAGAAGGTTGGTAATAACAAACTTCTCCTAGCTAAAGGAGCATGTTCTAACCCATAGCAAGGAAGCTAAAAACCTTGAAAAAAGGTTAGATGAATGGCTAACTAGAATAACTGTATAGAGAAGACCTTAAATGACCTGATAGAGCTGAAAACCACAGTACGAGAAATTCATGAATCATACACAAGCTTCAATAGCCGATTCGATCAAGCAGAAGAAAGGATATCCGTGATTGAAGATCAAATTAATGAAATAAAGTGAGAAGACAAGATTAGAGAAAAAACAGTGAAAAGAAACAAACAAAGCCTTGTAGAGAGGCTTCATCACATTGGTTAAATGTATTTCTAGCTATTTTATATTTATGTAGTTATTGTAAATGGGATTGAGTTTTTGATTTGGTACTCAGCTTCTCCTAATTGGTGAATAGAAATGCTACTGATTTTTGTACATTGATATTGTACTCTCAAACTTTATTGAAGTACATAGATATTGTATTCTCAAACTTTATTGAAGTCATTTATTAAACTAGGAATCTTTTGGCAGAACCTTTAGAGTTTTCTAGGTGAAAGATCATATAATCAGCAAACAAAGATAATTTGACTGTCTCTTTCCAAATTTGGATTTTTTTTTCTTTCTTTTGCCTGATTGCTCTGGCTAGAACTTCCATACTATGTTGAATAGGAGTGGTGAAAGTGGGCATTCTTGTCTTGTTTCAGTTTTTAGGGGAAATATTTCAACTTTCCCCATTTGGTATGATGTTGACTGTGGATTTGCCATGTATGGCTTTCTTATTTTGAGGTATGTTCCTTCTATGCCTAGTTTGTTGAATGTTTTTATTATAAAAATTGCTGAATTTTATCAAATGCTTTTTCTGCATCTATTGAGAGGATCATATGGTTTCTGTTTTTTAATTCTGTTTATGTGGTGAATCACATTTACTGATTTGCATATGTTGTACTATCCTTGCGTTTCTGAAATAAAACCCACTTAATTGTGGTGTATTATCTTTTTGATGTGCTGTTGGATTCAATTTGCTACTATTTTGTTGAGAAGTTTTGCATCGATGTTCTTCAGATATATTGGTTTGTAGCTTTCTTTTTTTGTTGTTTCCTTGTCTGGCTTTGGTATCACAATGATATTGGCTTTGTAGATTGAGTTAGAGAGGATTTTGTCCTCCTCTAATTTTGGAACATTTTCAAGAGAATATGTACCAGTTTTATCTTGTATATCTTGAAGAATTCAGCTGCAATTCCATCTGGTCCTGGGCTTTTTCTTGGCAGGTGGAGAAATATGTTTTTAATTACTGACTCACTACCTGTTATTGATCAGTTGAGGATTCTATTTCTTCCTGGTTTAATCTTGGTAGGTTGTATGTTTTTAGGAATTTACTCATTTTCTTTATGTTTCCTAGTTTGTGAGCATAGACATGTTCATAGCAGTTTTTGATTACCTTCTGTATTTATGTGGTATCAGTTGTAATGTCTCCTTTTTCATTTCTCACTGTGCTTATTTGAATCTTCTATCTTCTTTTCTTGTTTATTATAGCTAGTGGGCTATCAGTTTTGTTTATCTTTTGAAAGAACCAACTTTTCATTTAGTTAATCCATTGTATTGTATTTTTGTCTCATTTTTACTTAGATCTAATTTGATCTTTGTTATCTCTCTTTTGCTGGCATTGGTTGGGTTTTTTCTTGTTTTTCTAGTTTCTAGAGGTGCAGTGTTAGGATATTAATTAGTGATCTTCTTATGTTTTTTACATAGGTATTTAATGATAAAATCTCCCCTCTTAGAACTTTTTTCTCTGCATCCCAGAGGTTTGGGTATGTTGTGTCTCTATTTTCATTCATTTCTACAAACTTTTTGCTTTCCATCTTAATTTCATAATTGAATCCAAAGATCATTCAGAATCAGGTGGTTTAATTTCCATGTATTTGTATAATTTTGAGAGTTCCCATCAGAAATCATTTCTAGTTTTATTCTACTGTGGTCTGAGAAGATATTTGATATGATTTCAATTTTTTAAAATTTATTAACACTTGTTTTGTCCTTGGGGGTTTATCTTCACTCTAGATTACATTGCAAATCTCAGTTGGCAGCCTCTCCCAGCATGTGACTACTGCCTGAGTTGGCTGGCAGATTTCCCCAAGGTACCCTGGAATTAGGATCAGAGATGGCTTTTTCTTTTCTGTTGACACTGGGGTCTAAGAGTTATGCAAAATGCTACATTTTTTTCTGCAAAATGCTACTTTTTTTCTGAAGACTCCCCTCTCTCACCAAGTAAGATCCAGTGCTGGGTAGTGTCAAGGAACTCTCCTGTGGCCTGGATTGCCCAGTTCCCTGGTGGGAATGTGTATCATCAAGATAGTCTCTCCTACTTCACTCTATGAAGACTTACGGTTTCTCCTTCCTTCCTTCTTTCCTTCCTTCCTTCCTTCTTTCCTTCCATTTTTTCTTCCTTCTCCTCTCTCCTTCCCACCCCACTCTTTCTTTCTCCCTCTCCCTCTCCCCCTCCCTCTCCCTCTCCTCTCCGTTCTTTTCCTTTCATTTCCTCTCTTTCTCTCTTTCTTTCTCTTCTTTCTTAAATGGGGTTTTACTCTGTCTTCTAGGTGGAGTGCAGTGGCATGATCATGGCACACTGCAACCTCAATCTCAGCTCACTGTAGCTTTGACTCCTGGGCTCAAGTGATCCTTCCACCTCCACCTCCTGAATACTTGGGACTACAAGCACGTACCACCATGCTTGTTTTGTTGTTGTTGTTGTTGTTGTTGTTTGTTTTCTTAGTAAAAATCAGGGGTCTTGCAATGGTGCTCAGACTGATCTTGAACTCCTGAGTCAAGCAATCCCATCCACCTTGGCCTCCCAAAATGCTGTGCCCAACCAAGATTTGCAGTTTTCTGCTGGACCCTTGGGTCAGGCAGCTGTCCACAGTTTCTTTCAAAGTATCCAAACTTTCTTTCACTTTTTCTGTTGAGCTCCCATGTTCTTTCTTGGATAAAATTTCACAGTGTGAGGGCTGGGTGCTGTGACTCATGCCTGTAATCCAAGCACTTTGGGAGGCCAAGGCGGGTGGATCACCTGAGGTCAGGAGGTCAAGACCAGCCTGACCAACATCGTGAAACCCCATCCCTACTAAAAATACAAAAATTAGCTGGGCATGGTGGTGTATACCTGTAATCCCAGCTACTTGGCATGCTGAGGCAGGAGAATGGCTTGAACACAGGAGGTGGAGGTTGCAGTGAGCTGAGATCATGCCATTGCACTCCAGCCCGGGTGACAAGAGCAAAACTCCGTCTCAAAAAAAAAAAAAAAAATTAACATCACACACCAGGGCCTGTCAGCGGGTGGAGGCCAAGGGGAGGGAGAGCATTAGGACAAGTACCTAATGCATGCAGGGCTTAAAACCTAGATGATGGGTTGAAAGGTGCAGCAAATCACGATGGCACATATATACCTATGTAACAAACCTGCACGTTCTGCACATGTGTCCCAGAACTTAAAAAAAAAATCACAGTGTGAAAGTTTCTACACACGGTTTTGCTCTTTCCAAGAGGGTAAGGTGTGCTAACAAAGCCTCAAATCCACCATCTTGGGGAAGAAAAACCATTTTGCATTTTTAACTGGAAGGAGGCTTTTTGTTCTTTGACTCTGAAGAATATTTAAAGTATACGGATTTGAGACTGGTATGAGAAAAGAGTAGGATGTAATACTGGAAAAAGATATTTGGAGGCAAGTATGAAGCTGTGGACTTCAAATAAGCATAGATAGATACCTATTCTGCTTTTGTATAGAATAGCTTCATGACTTAGATAGACTTTAAACCAATCTCCCTTTAACAAGACTCCCTTTCTGGAGTACCTTCCTGAATTTCTTCATACTTCTAATAGGTGCTTTTGGGACTTCAAATTACATATTACACTTCCATGAGAGTACTGGCATATTTGAAATCTCGTTCACTTCCAACCACATAGGTATCTAGAGCAGGTACCTTACCAATTTAGGGGTGCCTTTATTTTCTCTTTCTTTTAATCCACAGCTGAGGATTCAATATTTCTTCTTCCTTTACCTCCTTGTTTCTATAAGAAATAGCTAAGCAAAAAAAGTGATTATACCCTGAGACAGAAATCCAGAACCACAGCTGATTTGAGTAATAGATGTGCTTTATTTTTATTTTTCCTCTTCCAACACACCACAGCCATTTTAGTCCCATGAAGTGGAGAGCAGGGAAAGGTGACTTTCATTTGAGGCTAATAAAACAAGACTACTGAAACTGCCACAGAAGTAGATGCAAACTAGGAAAAATCAGTGGGTTCAGCCTGAAGACCTTAAAGTCAACTTCAACAATATTACAAAAGAAGGAAGTAATGCCTATCCTTGAAGAGCTCCCTGGGTGTTTCACTGGTTACCTCGAGGTACCACCTGTGGACAATTTGAGCTCATCCAAGATTTGATGTCCAGAGTTAAAAGAAAGGTGGTAACATTTTGTTTGCTATCCAAGGCCACATAGTAGACTTTATCAGAAATGTGGTGACTTCTAAATATGGCAGAAGAGTGACATAAATAGAAGTTAATTGCTATAAAAACATTTCCCCAAAACAGAATGCTGCCTTTGCTTCCAAGCTGTGAAGCAGTGACTCATATTATTTTTGAAATTATAATTAATGATTAAGACAGATTAAAAAAAGATAAAATCCAAACACTCCAAACTCACTGGGGGAGAAATCAACTCAATTTATCATTAAGAATTGGAGCTCAACCACACAGACATACTTTACATCTTGCATTTTTATGATTCATTATAAAGACCTTAATTGAACAGCAATAGTTCTATCATTTTGTTTAATGGAGATGATTCGTCACTCATTTCTATTCCAAAAGAATTTTGTTTGTCTTTGCTTTCCAGAAGATATCATTTCTTCTGTGAAAAAGTCAAGCAGAAACATTGATGTAAGTCCCACTTAGGCACTTTGGAGTGATTTTAAACATTTGCACTGCAATGTACTTGTAAGACAAGTGTTCTTTCCTCTAAGGAAACAGTGTTAATCAAAATATGTATTCACATCATTTCAGAGTACAAACACAAATATCACTGGAGAAGCTGAGCCTGTTGATTATATAGGAGGAAAGGGGAAAAAGTGATGGGGGAGGGTAAGGTGGGGAGATGGAGTTTGGTGAGGGAGGGAGTAAAACACAACTCACTATGGCAAAAGTGCTTTTTAATTGGTAGTTTCTTCACATCCATATGCACAAGACAGAAGCCTCATAATTGTCTCCATAAACCACATGCTACATAGTTGTTTATTTTTTATATTTTCCAAAATACTTGACAGAGTGATTTACATATAGAATGTTGCTTGTATAGATAGCACAAAAAGTCTTGGAAAACTGAAATTGGCAATGGTTTCAGCTAAAGGCTAAAGGGAGCAGGTCAGTGGAGTTTATTTGGTAATATTGGTCCTAGATTGAGTTTATTTGTTAACATATTCTGAATAACTTTGGAATTCAAAGTTACTCACAATTGTGTCCCAGTTTTTATAAAGCAATCTCTATTTCCAATAATAAATCATCTACTGAGGTAAGCTTTTCTACTCATTGTCAAAACATGTCATGTGCACACCTACCTTCAAATTTCTACTTATGTTATATTCACAGCCAGACCTGAATTTCTCTTATTCATCTTCTCTCCATTTGTCTACATCGTCAATCAAAAGGAAGAAGCTGAAAAAAATTAATATAAGTAGAAAGTTTATTTGGGCCAAGCTTGAGGATTGTAACCTAGAAGCATAGATTCATGTTGCCCTGAATATACACTTCAATTAACAACAGTTACAAGTGGATTTTTAAAGCCAGAAAAAAGGGGGGCAGGGAGTGAGCTGAGACAAAGCTGCTCGTCAGAAATTCTTTTTGGTTTATAGAAATAATATTGATTAGTGATTGGTTATATATTGTTAAGCTATAGGATATATGTTATAGTGTCTGGTGTGACATTATTAGGTTAATTTATAGCTACTTGAGGCAAAAACAAACAGTTTGAAGATATAAGCTCTTAGCTCAAAATGGGAAATGGAGCATGATTGAGGTCTCATTTTAATTTCTCTCTGGGCCTGATAATTAAAAAGAACTCGCATTCCTCAGATAAAAGTTTCTTTCTTTTCTCAACATGTTTCTTAGACATCAAGACTCAGACTACACTACCTCTTCTCCAATACTTTTTTCTAATATTCAACACTATCACTGGCTCATGGTGGCAGCCTCCTCTGACATGATAATCTGTACCAGTCATTTTGTTCTTAGCAGCTACACTGATAAGCAATGACCTCTTGCTTACCTCTCAGATACTGGGCATTGTCTATAGTGAACACAAACTAAGGGTCAATTTAGGCTAAATATGTGTTTTGTTTGGCTTAAACAGTGTTTGAAATTCAGCCAATATTTTTATTTAATTGGCAAATTTAACATTTAAAAATGAACATTTCTTTCTTTTGAAAACCAGAAGATTTGACAAACCTGGGCTTCTATTCCTACATGGTAGCAATTGGCTGGAACTAAGTAGTAGCCACTCCCTTTAGACTGGGTATTTGCCCTCTTCCTGGCTTTCCTTATTGATCTATATTATCTACTTAATTTCTGTATATTTGAGTTTTCAACTTGTACTCTTAGACGTAAGACATCTACTTAAGCTGACTTCATAGGACTTATTTCCTCCCCCTTTACTGAGATATAATTGACAAATAAAAATTGTATGTATTTAAGTTGTACAACCTGATTATCTGTAATATGTACACAATGTGAAATAATTACCAAAATCAAGACATATCCATCACCTCACAAAGTAATTTCTTGTTTTTATCCTTGTTTCTGCGGTGAGAACACTTAAGATATATTCCCTTAGCACATTTCAAGTATACAATACATTGTTAACTATAGTCACCATAATATATATTAGATCCCCAGAACTTATAAAACTATAAATGAAAGTTTGTTCTCCAACAACACCTCTCCATTACTGCCACCCAACCAGTCCTTGGTTACCACCCTTCTGTTCTGTTTCTATGAGTTCAACTTCTTTAGGTTTCTCATATAAGTGAGATCATGCAGTATTTGTCTTTCTGTATCTGGCTTATCTCACTTAGCACAATGTCTTCTGGGCTCACCCATGTTGTTGCAAATAGCAGGTTTTCTTTCCTTTTTAGGGCTGAATAATATTCCATTGTGCATGCGTGTGTGTGTGTGTATTCATTTTTTTATCCATCCATCCATGGATACTTAAGTTGATTCTTTTGACTGTTCTGAATAATGCTGCAATAAACATGGGAGTGCAGATATATCTTTGAGATTCTGAATTTATATCTTTCAGATACACATCAAGAAGTGGGATATGGGATTGATGTATCATATGGTGGTTCTATTTTTAATTTTTTAAAGAAGGTCAATACTGTTTTCCATGATGGATCTGATAATTTACATTACCACCAACAGTGCACAAAGGTTCTCTTTTCTTCACATCCATGACAACACTTGTTATCTTTTCATGTTTTGATCATACTCTTCCTAATAGGTGTGAGGTGGTATCTCAGTGCGTATTTGATTTGTAGTTCTGTGATCAATAGTGATTTTGAGTATTTTTTCATATACTTGTTGATAATTTTTATGTCTTCTTTTGATAAATGTCTATACAAGCCTTTTGCCTACTTTTAATACTATTATTTGCTTTTTGGTATTGAATTGTATGTTTCCCTTACATGTTTTGGATATTAACTCATTATAGATTTTGGTTTTATAGTTTGCAAATATTTTGTCCTATTCTGTAGGTTACTCTTTCATTTTGTTGATTCTTTCCTTTGCTGTGTAGAAACTTTTTAGTTTGATGTGGTCCCACTTGTTTACTTTTGCATTTGTTACCCGTGCTTTTTGGGTCATATCCCCAAAATCATTGCTAAGATGAATGTCAGGAAGATTTTTTCCCTGTGTTTTATTGTATATTCTTGTATTTGTAGATAATATTTTGCATATTTATGGAGTACATGTGAGTGTTTGTTATGTGTATAGAATGTGTAATAATCAAGTCAGGGTATTTGGGGTATCCATCACCTTGAATATTTATCATTTCTCTATGTTGGTATCATTTCAAGTCCTCTCTTCTAGTTATTTTAAAATATACAAAATATTCTTAAGTATGGTCACCTCAGTCTGCTATCAAACATAAGAACTTATTTCTTCTATCTGTGTTTGTACCCATTAACCAAGCTCTCTCATTCCCCACCCTACCCCACCCACTCACCTTTTCCATTCTCTGGTATCTGTCATTCTGTTCCCTAGGCCCACAGGATCAAGGTTTTTAGCCCCGACATATGAATGAGGACGTGCAGTATTTGGCTTTCTGTGGCTGGTTTATTCACTTAACATAATGATCTCCAGTTCCATCCATGTTGCTGCACATAATGTGCTTTCATTGATTTTGTCATCTATTTATTACTATTATGGCAGAATGTTATTCCATTGTGTGTATATATGTGTATATATCATACTTTTTTATTCATTCATGGAAACTTAAATTGATTCTATATCTTTGCTATTGTGAATAGTGTTCTGATAAACAGGCAAGTGTGGGTATTCCTTTGATATGCTGATTTCTTTTGCATAAACAGTAGTGAAATTGCTGGATCAAAGGTAGTTCTATTTGTAGTATTTTCAGAAATTTCATACTGTTTTCAACAGTGGTTGTATTAAGTTATGTTCCCACCAACAGTGTATGGTTCCCTTTTCTTCACATCCTCACCAGCATCTCTTATTTGTTGTCTTGTTAATAATAGCCACTCTAACTGGGGTGAAATGATGTCTCATTGTGGCTCTCATTTACATTTTCATGATGATTAGGCATGTTGAGCATTTTTAATATACCTAGTGTCATTTACATGTCTTCATTTTAGAAATGTTTATTCATGCTCTTTGCCCATTTTAATAGGATTTTTTTGTTGTTGTTGAGTTGCTTGAGTTTCTTGTACATTCTTATTAGTCCCCTGTTGGATGAGTAGTTTGCAAATATTTCCTCCCATTCAAGAGGGTGTCTCTTCACTCAATGTTTTTGTTCTGCAGCAGCTTTTTAATTTAATATAGTCCCATTTGTCTATTTTTGTTTTTGTTGCCTGTGCTTTTAAGGTCTTATCTGTAATATCCTTCCCTAGACTAACTGTCCTGAAGCGTTTTCTCTTAGTAGTTTTACAATTTTGGGTCTCTCATTTAAGTCTTTAATCCTTCTTGAATTGACTTTTGTATACCGTGATATATATGGGTCCAGTTTCATTCTTCTTCATATGGTTATCCAGTTTTCCTACACAATTTATTGAAGAGTGTTTCTTTTTCCCAATATATATTCCTGATGGCTTTATCAAAGATAAGTTGGGTTAGGTATGTGGATTTATTTCTGCATTCTCTATACTGTTTTATTGGCCTGTAGGTCTATTTTTATACCATACTACAGCCTTGTAATATATTTTGAAGTTAGATAGCGTGATGCCTTCACCTTTATTCTTTTTGCTTAAGATTGGATTGGCTATTCTGGCTTTTTCTTGGTTTCATATGAATTGTAGAATTATTTTTTCTATGTATTTGAAAAATGACATTGGTACTTTGATAGGGATTGCATTAAATCTGTAAATAGCTTTGGGCAATATGGACATTTAAATATTAATTCTTTCAATCCATGACCATGGTATGCCATTCCATTTCCTCCGTCCTCTTTAGTTATTTTCATCAGTGTTTTGTAGATTTCCTTGAAGAGACCTGTAACCTCCCTTGTTAAATTGATTTCTAGTTATTTTAATTTTAATTTTTTGGTATAAATTGTAAAAGGAATTGGAATCTTAATTTATTTTGGCCATTTCATTATTGGTTTATATAAATGCTACTAATTTTTGGATATTGATTTTCTATCCTGTAACTTTACTGAATTCATTTAGCTATTCTAAGGTTTTTTTTTTTTTTTTTTTTTGGTAGAGTCTTCATGTTTTCCTAAATGTGATATCTTGTCATCTGCAAAGAGGAACAATTTGTTGACTTCCTGTTTTCTAATTTGGATACTTTTTCTTTCTTTATTTATTTTTTCCAGATTACTCTGACTAGGACTAGTATTATGTTGATTAGGAGCAGTGAAAGTGGGAATCATTGTCTTGTTCTAGTTTTTAAAGAAAGGACCTTCAGCTTTTCCCCATTTCTTATTATGTTAGCTGTGTGTTTGTCATGTATGGCTTTTGTTGTTTTGAAGTATGTTCCTTTTACGACTAATTTGCTTTGAGGTTTATAATGAAGGGGTGTTAAATTTTATCAAATGAATTTTCTGCATCTGTTGAGATAGTTGTATGGTTTTTGGTCTTCATTCTGTTGATGTGATGTATCTTATTTTATTTTATTTTATTTTATTATTATTATACTTTAAGTTTTAGGGTACATGTGCACAATGTGCAGGTTTCTTACATATGTATACATTTGCCATGTTGGTGTGCTGCACCCATTAACTCGTCATTTAACATTAAGTATATCTCCTAATGCTATCCCTCCCCCCTCCCCCCACCCCACAACAGTCCCCAGAGTGTGATGTTCCCCTTCCTGTGTCCATGTGTTCTCATTGTTCAATTCCCACCTATGAGTGAGAACATGCAGTGTTTGGTTTTTTGTCCTTGCGATAGTTTGCTGCTGAGAATGATGGTTTCCAGTTTCATCCATGTCACTGCAAAGGACGTGAACTCTTCATTTTTTATGGCTGCATAGTGTACCATGGTGTATATGTGCCACATTTTCTTAATCCAGTCTATCATTGTTGGACATTTGGGTTGGTTTCAAGTCTTTGCTATTGTGAATAGTGCCACAATAAACTTACGTGTGCATGTGTCTTTATAGCAGCATGATTTATAATCCTTTGGGTATATACCCAGTAATGGGATGGCTGGGTCAAATGGTATTTCTAGTTCTAGATCCCTGAGGAAGCGTCACACTGACTTCCACAATGGTTGAACTAGTTTACAATCCCACCAACAGTGTAAAAGTGTTCCTATTTCTCCACATCCTCTCCAGCACCTGTTGTTTCCTGACTTTTTAATGATCGCCATTCTAACTGGTGTGAGATGGTATCTCATTGTGGTTTTGGTTTGCATTTCTCTGATGGCCAGTGATGATGAGCATTTTTTCATGTGTTTTTTGGCTGCATAAATGTCTTCTTTTGAGAACTGTCTGTTCATATCCTTTGCCCACTTTTTGATGGGGTTGTTTTTTTCTTGTAAATTTGTTTGTGTTCATTTTAGATTCTGGATATTAGCCCTTTGTCAGATGAGTAGGTTGTGAAAGTTTTCTCCCATTTTGTAGGTTGCCTGTTCACTCTGATGGTAGTTTCTTTTCCTGTGCAGAAGCTCTTTAGTTTAATTAGATCCCATTTGTCAATTTTGTCTTTTGTTGCCATTGCTTTTGGTGTTTTAGACATGAAGTCCTTGCCCATGCCTATGTCCTGAATGGAATTGCCTAGGTTTTCTTCTAGGGTTTTTATGGTTTTAGGTCTAACGTTTAAGTCTTAAATCCATCTTGAATTAATTTTTGTATAAGGTATAAGGAAGGGATCCAGTTTCAGCTTTCTATATCTGGCTAGCCAGTTTTCCCAGCACCATTTATTAAATACGGAATCCTTTCTCCATTGCTTGCTTTTGTCAGGTTTGTCAAAGATCAGATGGTTGCAGATATGTAGCATTATTTCTGAGGGCTCTGTTCTGTTCCATTGGTCTATATCTCTGTTTTGGTACCAGTATCATGCTGTTTTGGTTACTATAGCCTTGTAGTATAGTTTGAAGTCAAGTAGCCTGATGCCTCCGACTTTGTTCTTTTGGCCTAGGATTGACTTCGCGATGTGGGCTTTTTTGGTTCCATATGAACTTTAAAGTAGTTTTTTCCAATTCTGGAAAGAAAGTCATTGCTAGCTTGATGGGGATGGCATTGAATGTATAAATTACCTTGGGCAGTATGGCCATTTTCATGATATTGATTCTTTCTACCCATGAGCATGGAATGTTCTTCCATTTGTTTGTATCCTCTTTTATTTCATTGATGTAGTTCTCCTTGAAGAGGTCCTTCACATCTCTTGTAAGTTGGATTCCTAGGTATTTTATTCTCTTTGAAGCAATTGTGAATGGGAGTTCACTCATGATTTGGCTCTCTGTTTGTCTGTTATTGGTGTATAAGAATGCTTCTGATTTTTGTACATTGATTTTGTATCCTGAGACTTTGCTGAAGTTGCTTATCAGCTTAAGGGGATTTTGGGCTGAGACAATGGGGTTTTCTAGATATACAATCATGTCATCTGCAAACGGGGACAGTTTAACTTCCTCTTTTCCTAATCGAATACCCTTTATTTCCTTCTCCTGCCTAATTGCCCTGGCTAGAACTTCCAACACTATGTTGAATAGGAGTGGTGAGAGAAGCCATCCATGTCTTGTGCCAGTTTTCAAAGGGAATGCTTCCAGTTTTTGCCCATTCAGTATGATTTTGGCTGTGGGTTTGTCATAGATAGCTCTTATTATTTTGAGATATGTCCCATCAATATCTAATTTATTGAGAGTTTTTAGCATGAAGTTTTTGAATTTTGTCAAAGGCCTTTTCTACATCTATTGAGATAATCATGTGGTTTTTGACTTTGGTTCTGTATATATGCTGGATTACATTTATTGATTTGTGTAGGTTGAACCAGCCTTGCATCCCAGGGATGAAGCCCACTTGATCATGGTGGATAAGCTTTTTGATGTGTAGCTGGATTCTGTTTGCCAGTATTTTATTGAGCATTTTTGCATCAATGTTCATCAAGGATAGTGGTCTAAAATTCTCTTTTTTTGTTGTGTCTCTGCCAGGCTTTCGTATCAGGATGATGCTGGCATCATGAAATGAGTTAGGGAGGATTCCCTCTTTTTCTATTGATTGGAATAATTTCAGAGGAAAGGTATCAGCTCCTCCTTTTACCTCTGGTAGAATTCGGCTGTGAATCCATCTGGTCCTGAACTGTTTTAGGGTGGTAAGCTATTGATTATTGGCACAACTTCAGAGCCTGTTATTGGTCTATGCAGAGATTCAATTTCTTCCTAGTTTAGTCTTGGGAGAGTGTATGTGTCGAGGAATTTATCCATTTCTTCTAGATTTTCTAGTTTATTTGCATAGAGGTGTTTGTAGTATTCTCTGATGGTAGTTTGTATTTCTGTGGGATTGGTGGTGATATCCCCATTATCATTTTTTTTGCATCTATTTTATTCTTCTCTCTTTTCTTCTTTATTAGTCTTTTTTATTTTTTATTTTATTTTATTATTATTATACTTTAAGTTTTAGGGTACATGTGCATGATGTGCAGGTTAGTTACGTATGTATGCCTGTGCCATGCTGGTGTGCTGCACCCATTAACTCCTTATTTAGCATTAGGTGTATCTCCTAATGCTATCCCTCCCCTCTTCCCCCAGCCCACAGCGGTCCCCAGAGTGTGATGTTCCCCTTCCTGTGTCCATGTGTTCTTATTGTTCAATTTCCACCTGTGAGTGAGAACATGCGTTGTTTGGTTTTTTGTTCTTGTGATAGTTTACTGAGAATGATGATTTTAATTTCATCCATGTCCCTACAAAGGACATGAACTCATCATTTTTTATGGCAGCATAGTATTCCATGGTGTATATGTGCCACATTTTCTTAATCCAGTCTATCATTGTTGGACATTTGGGTTGGTTCCAAGTCTTTGCTTTTGTGAATAGTGCCACAATAAACATACGTGTGCATGTGTCTTTATAGCAACATGATTTATAATCCTTTGGGTATATACCCAGTAATGGGATGGCTGGGTCAAATGGTATTTCTAGTTCTAGATCCCTGAGGAATTGCCACACTGACTTCCACAATGATTGAACTAGTTTACAATCCCACCAACAGTGAAAAAGTGTTCCTATTTCTCTACATCCTCTCCAGCACCTGTTGTTTCCTGACTTTTTAATGATTGCCATTCTAACTGGTGTGAGATGTTATCTCATTGTGGTTTTGATTTGGTAGTGGTCAATCAATTTTGTTGACCTTTCAAAAAACCAGCTCCTGGATTCCTTAATTTTTTGAAAGGTTTTTTTGTGTCTCTATTTCCTTCAGTTCTGCTGTGATTTTAGTTATTTCTTGCCTTATTCTAGCTTTTGAATGTGTTTGCTCTTGCTTTTGTAGTTCTTTTAATTGTGACATTAGCATGTCAATTTTAGATCTTTCCTGTGTTCTCTCGTGGGCATTTAGTGTTGTAAATTTCCCTCTACACACTGCTTTGAATGTGTCCCAGAGATTCTGGTGTGTTGTGTCTTTGTTCTCATTGGTTTCAAAGAACATCTTTATTTCTGCCTTCATTTCGTTATGTACCCAGTAGTCATTCAGGAGCAGGTTGCTCTGTTTCCATGTAGTTAAGCAGTTTTGAGTCAGTTTCTTAATCCTGAGTTCTAGTTTGATTGCACTGTGGTCTGAGAGACAGTTTGTTATAATTTCTTTTCTTTTACATTTGCTGAGGAGTGCTTTACTTCCAACTATTTGGTCAATTTTGGAATAGGTGTGGTGTGGTGCTGAAAAAATGTATATTCTGTTGATTTGGGGTGGAGAGTTCTGTAGATGTCTATTAGGTCCGCTTGGTGTTGAGCTGAGTTCAATCCCTGTGTATCCTTGTTAACTTTCTGCCTCATTGATCTGTCTAATGTTGACAGTGGGGTGTTAAAGTCTCCCATTATTATTTTGTGGGAGTTTAAGTCTCTTCGTAGGTCACTAAGGACTTGCTTTTTGAATCTGGGTGCTCCTGTATTGGGTGCATATATATTTACCATAGTTAGCTCTTCTGTGTTGAATTGATCCCTTTACCATTATATAATGGCCTTCTTTGTCTCTTTTGATCTTTGTTGGTTTAAAGTCTGTTTTATAAGAGACTAGGATTGCAACCCCTGCCTTTTTTTGTTTTCCATTTGCTTGGTAGGCCTTCCTCCATCCCTTTATTTTGAGCCTATGTGTGTCTCTGCATGTGAGATGGGTTTCCTGAATACAGCACACTGATGGTTCTTGAATCTTTATCCAGTTTGCCAGTCTGTGTCTTTTAATTGGAGCATTTAGCCCATTTACATTTAAAGTTAATATTGTTATGTGTTTATTTGGACCTGTCATAATGATGTTAGCTGGTTATTTTGCTCGTTAGTTGATGCAGTTTCTTCCTAGCCTTGTTCGTCGTTACATTTTGTCATGTTTTGGCAGTGGCTGGTTCCGGTTGTTCCTTTCCATGTTTAGCACTTCCTTCAGTTCTTTTAGGGCAGGCCTGGTGGTGACAAAATCTCTCAGCATTTGTTTGTCTGTAAAGGATTTTATTTCTCCTTCACTTATGAAGATTGGTTTGGCTGGATATGAAATTCTGGGTTGAAAATTCTTTTCTTTAAGAATTTTGAATATTGGCCCCCACTCTCTTCTGGCTTGTAGAGTTTCTGTCGAGAGATCTGCTGTTAGTCTGATGGGCTTCCCTTTGAGGGTAACCCGACCTTTCTCTCTGGCTGCCCTTAACATTTTTTCCTTCATTTCAACTTTGGTGAATCTGACAGTTATGTTTCTTGGAGTTGCTCTTCTCGAGGAGTATCTTTGTGGCATTCTCTGTATTTCCTGAAACTGAATGTTGGCCTGTCTTGCTAGATTGGGGAAGTTCTCCTGGATAATATCCTTCAGAGTGTTTTCCAACTTGGTTCCATTCTCCCCGTCACTTTCAGGTACACCAATCAGACGTAGATTTGGTCTTTTCACATAGTCCCACATTTCTTGGAGGCTTTGTTCATTTCTTTTTATTCTTTTTTCTCTAAACTTCCCTTCTCACTTCATTTCATTCATTTCATCTTCCGTCACTGATATCCTTTCTTCCAGTTGATTGCATCTGCTCCTGAGGCTTCTGCATTCTTCACATAGTTCTCGAGCCTTGGCTTTCAGCTCCATCAGCTCCTTTAAGGACTTATCTGCATTTGTTTTTCTAGTTATACATTCATCTAATTTTTTTTCCAGTTTTTAACTTCTTTGCCATTGGTTTGAATTTCCTCCTGTAGCTCAGAGTAGTTTGATCGTCCGAAGCCTTCTTCTCTCAGCTCATCAAAGTCATTCTACATCCAGCTTTGTTCCATTGCTGGTGAGGAGCTGTGTTCCTTTGCAGGAGGGGAGGTGCTCTGCTTTTTAGAGTTTCCAGTTTTTCTGCTCTGTTTTTTCCCCATCTTTGTAGTTTTATCTACTTTTGGTCTTTGATGACAGTGTCGTACAGAAGGGTTTTTCGTGTGGATGTCCTTTCTGTTTGTTAATTTTCCTTCTAACAGACAGGACCCTCAGCTGCAGGTCTGTTGGAGTTTGCTAGAGGTCTACTCCAGACCCTGTTTCCCTGGGTATCAGCATCAGTGGCTGCAGGACAACAGATCTTGGTGAACCACAAATGCTGCTGTCTGATGGTTCCTCTGGAAGTTTTGTCTCAGAGGAGTACCCGGCCATGTGAGGTGTCCATCTGCCCCTACTGTGGAGTGCCTCCCAGTTAGGCTGCTCAGGGGTCAAGGAGCCACTTGAGGAGGCAGTCTGCCCGTTCTCAGATCTCAAGCTGTGTGCTGGGAGAACCACTACTCTCTTCAAAGCTGTCAGACAGGGACATTTAAGTCTGCAGAGGTTACTGCTGTCTTTTCCTTTGTCTGTGCCCTGCCCCCAGAGCTGGAGCCTACAGAGGCAGGCAGGCCTCCTTGAGCTGTGGTGGGTTCCACTCAGTTCGAGCTTCCAGGCAGCTTTGTTTTCCTAATCAAGCCTGGGCAATATCAGGCGCCCCTCCCCCAGCCTCGCTGCCACCTTGCACTTTGATCTCAGACTGCTGTGCTAGCAGTCAGTGAGACTCCATGGGCGTAGGACCCTCCAAGCCAGGTGCAGGATATAATCTCTTGGTGTGCCATTTTTTAAGCCCGTTGGAAAAGCACAGTATTAGGGTGGGAGTGACCCAATTTTCCAGGTGCCGTCTGTCACCCTTTTCTTTTACTAGGAAAGTGAACTCCCTGACCCCTTACACTTCCCGAGTGAGGCAATGCCTCACCCTGCTTCGGCTTGCACACAGTGTGCTGCACCCACTTTCCTGCACCCACTGTCTGGCACTCCCTAGTGAGATGAATCCTGTACCTCAGATTGAAATGCAGAAATCACCTGTGTTCTGTGTTGCTCACACTGGGAGCTGTAGACCGGAGCTGTTCCTATTCGGCCATCTTCGTATCTTTTTTTTTATCTGTGTATGTTGAAACTTCCTTGAATCCGTGGTATAAGGCCCAGTTGATTATGGTACATTATATTTTTGAGTTGTTGTTGAATTCAGCTTGCTACTATTTTGTTGAATATTTTTGCATCTATCTTCACCAGGTATACTCAGTACTCATTATTGGTCTATTCAGGTGTTCTTTTTCTTCCTGATTCAATCTTGGTAGGTTATATGTTTCCAGGAATTTATCCATTTCCTCTAGGTTTTTCAGTTTGTTAGTACATAGTTGTTCATAATAGTCTCTGATGATCCTCTGTATTTCTGTGATATCAGTTGCAATTTTTTTTTTCTGATTTTGCTTATTTGGGTCCTCTCTCTTTTTTGGCTATTCTAGCTAGTGATAGATAAATTTTGTTAATTTTTTAGAAAATCAAATTTGGTCTTGTTGATTTTTTGGTATTGTTTTTCAGTTTTGATTTTATTAAGAAGTTCTGATTTTATTATTTCTTTTCTACTGCTAATTTGGATTTCGCTTGTTCTTAATTTTTTTAAAAAAAGTATTGCATTTTACTTCATTTTATTACAAATAAACTCTTTTTTTTTTAATTTGTTTTTTTGAGACCTAGTTTCACTCTTGTTTCCCAGGCTGGAGTCCAGTGGTGTGATCTCAGCTCACTGCAACCTCTGTCTCCTGGGTTCAGGCGATTCTCCTGCCTCAGCCTCCTGAGTAGCTGGGATTTCAGGTCCAGCCAGCACACCTGACTAATTTTTTGTATTTTTAGTAGAGACGGGGTGTCACCATGTTGGCCAGGCTGGTCTCTAACTCCTGATCTCAGGTGATCCACCCACCTTGGCCTCTCAAAGTGCAAGGATTACAGGTGTGAGCCACTGTGCCAGGCCTATTTTTTCTCAATAATTAAAAAGTTACATATTTTATGTAGAGCTATTTATATATTGTTGAGGGTTAGAAATTTGCTATTATTAGAAAAGAACAGAAACATGAGTTAAATATAACTATGATGTTTCCTAATCTCAGAACTATATTAACAGTTTTTTATTCATTTTAGATTCAAGGGTACCTGTGGAGTTTTGTTACATATATTTATTTTATAATACTGAGGTTTGGGCTTCTGTTGAAACCATCACGCAAATAATAAAAATAGTATGAGAAAAGTAGTTTTTCAACTTTTGCCCTTTCCTCCCTTCCACATTTTAGAATCCTGTGTGTTTATTGTTTCCATCTTTATGTCCATGTATACCCATTGTTTAGATCCCATTTATAAGTGAGAACATGCAGTATTGGATTTTCTGTTTCTGTGCTAATTCATTTAGGATAATGACCCCAGCTGCATCCATGTTGCTGTGGAGGACATAATTGCATTCTCTTTTATGGCTGCATAGTATTCTATAGTGTATATGTATCACTTTTTAAAAATCCAATCCACTGTTGATGGGGACCTACATTGATTCCATGGCTGTGCTATTGTGAACAGTGGTGCAATAGACATAATAGTATAGGTATCTTTTTGGTAGGATGATTTATTTTTCTTTGGGCAGATAGTCAATAGCGGGAATGGTAGTTCTGTTTTAAGTTCTTTGAGAAATCTCCATACTGCTTTTCCCAAGGGCTGAACTAATTTACACTCTCACCAACAGGGTATAACATTTCCCTTTTTTTTCACATCCTGACCAACATCTGTTATTTTTTTGACTTTTTTGTAATAGCCATTCTGACTGGTGTGAAATGGTATATCATGGTGGTTTTCATTTGTGTTTATGTGATAATTAGTATAATTAGTGATGTTGAGCTTTTTTCTTCATGTTTTTAGGTTGCTCGTATGTCTTATTTTGAGAAGTGTTTATTCATATCCTTTGTCCACTTTTTAATGGAGTTATTTGTGGGGATTTTGTTGAGTTCTTTCCCTAAATCAATGTCCAGCTGGGTTTCACTTAGTTTTCATTTGTTCTTGCTTTTTATTTCCTTGAGGTACACTGTTAGGCCATGGAACATGTTTAATTTTCATTTATTTTGTAGTTTCAGAGTCCTTCTTTGTATGGATTTCTAGTTTTATTTCATTGTGTTCTGAGATAACAATTGGTATAATTTTGATTTTTATAAGTTTGATCACAGTTGTAATGTGGCCTATTATATAGTCCATCCTGGAGAATGTTCCATGTGCTGATGAGAAGAATGTGTTTTCTGTAGTTGTTGGATAACATGTTTTGTAAATACATGTTAGGTTCATTTGGTCTAAAGTGTAGTTGGAATCCAATGTTTCTTTGTTAATTTTCTGTCTAGATTATCTGTCTAATGCTGAGATTGGTTTGTTGAAATTCCCCCCTATTATTGTATTGGTGTCTCTCTTTCTCCCTAGATCTAGTAATATTTGCTGTATGACTCTGGGTGCTCCAGCATTGTGTACATATGGATTTAGAATAGGTGTATTATCTTTCAGGAGTGATCACTTTATCATTATATAATGATCTTCTTTGTAATTTTCTGTTTTTGACTTAAAGCCTATTTCATCTGAAATGAGTCTAACAACTGCTAACTTTTGGTTTATGTTTGCATGAAATATCTTATTCTATCCCTTTACTTTCAGTCTATATGTGTCTTTACATATGAGGTGATTTTCTTGTAGGCAGTATATAGTTGGGTTATGTTATTTATTTCTTTAGCCAATCTAGGTTTTTTAAGTAGAGATTTTAATCCATTTACAGTCAACGTTATTATTGATATGTGAGACTTTTTTCCTTCATATTTCTGTTTGTTTTCTAATTTGTGTATTATTTTTTCTTTTTCCTTTTTTTTTTTTTTTTTTTTTGAGATGCAGTTTTACTCTTGTTGCCCAGGCTGGAGTCCAATGGTGGAATCTCGGCTCACCACAACTTCCGCCTTCTGGACTCAAGCGATTATCTTGCCTCAGCATCCTGACTAGCTGGGATTATAGGCATGTGCCACCACCCCTGGCTAATTTTGTATTTTTAGTAGAAACACGTTTTCTCCATGTTGCTCAGGCTGGTCTCGAACTCCCAACCTCAGGTGATCTACCCATCTCAGCCTCCCAAATTGCTGGGATTACATGTGTGAGCCACCACACCTGATCATGTATTCTTTATTCTTTTCTTTTTCTCTTATTGTTTGTCCTTGTGGTTTGGTAGCTTTGTGTAATGTTACCATTTAAATCTTTTCTTTTCCTTATTTTTATATTTTCTTTGCCAGTAAGTACTGTTGTCCTCTCTCTTCCATGTTTAGAAATCCTTTGAGCCTTTCTTCTAGGACCAGTCTAGTGGTGATGAATTCCTTTAGTAGTTGCTTGTCTTTGAAATACTGTATTTATTCCTCATTCGTGAAGAATAATTTTGCTGAATATAGTATTTTAAATGGCTATGTTTTTCTTCCAGTGCTTTGAATAAATCATTTCATTCTCTCCTGGCTTGTAAGATAGCTGCTAAGTCCACTGTTAGTGTGGTGAAAGTTGTTTATAGATGACTAGATGGTTTTCTCTTGCTGTTTCTAGGATTTGCTCTGTCTTTGACTTTAGAGTGTCAAAAGAGTTGTTGTGCCTTGGAGAAGATCTTTCTGTATTTATCTTTTTGGTGTTTGGAGAGCTTCCTGTATCTGGATGTCTAAATGTCTTCCTAGACTTGGAAACTTTTCATATATTACATGTCCTTACATTGTTTTCTGCACATCTGGTGTAATAGTTGCTTCTTCTAATCTTTTTTTTTTTTGGTGAGTACACAGGTGTTCAGTTTATTATTATTCTCCATACACATGAATAATGGTTTTTTGAAAATACTTAATATTTAACAAAAATTAATGTAAGAAATAGAGCCTAACCATAGTTCTCTATGTTTTTGACTCACAGTAGAGAATAGTAAAAGGAACATGAGTTCCTTTGGCATTAAGTAGATCCGAATTCAAGCCACAAAGCTGTATAACCTCTGGGATGTTACAGTCTCTTAGTAATAGGTTTCTCACCAGTAAAATGGTTTTGGTAATAGTTACCCAGCAGGGTCATAGTAAGGATTAAATGAGACAATTTACATAAGTTTTATAGTCAGTGCCTGGCACCTATCAGGCGCTTAAAAATATTAGTTGCTATTCTATAACTTTGTCCATGCTTCCCATTTTTCCCCCTTTTAGAAAGCTTTCATTTTCATCATTTAACTTCATTCAATTTAATGATTTCCTGCAAGCAAAGCATTATGTGGGTGGGCTATACTTTAAAGTGTGGGTTTTTTTTTTTTTTTTGGTATTTTAAGTCAGTTTTCAAAATGTCATTATCTCATCTGATTCTCAGTTTCAATCCTCAGTGCCTAGCACAGGTTGGAACATGGAAAGAGACCAATAAATCTAAGCAAATTAGTGAATGTAATAGGTAGGTGTTAGGGGCTGAATTGAATTCTCCTAAAATTAATATGTTGAAGTGCTAACCCCCAGTTGTTCAAAATGTAACTGTATATAGTGATAAGAAGCCTCAGGAGCCGATGCGATCAACTGGAAGAAAGGGTATCAGCAATGGAAGATGAAATGAATGAAATGAAGTGAGAAGGGAAGTTTAGAGAAAAAAGAATAAAAAGAAATGAGCAAAGCCTCCAAGAAATATGGGACTATGTGAAAATACCAAATCTACGTCTGATTGGTGTACCTGAAAGTGACGGGGAGAATGGAACCAAGTTGGAAAACACTCTGCAGGATATTATCCAGGAGAACTTCCCCAATCTAGCAAGGCAGGCCAACGTTCAGATTCAGGAAATACAGAGAACACCACAAAGATACTCCTAGAGAAGAGCAACTCCAAGACACATAATTGTCAGATTCACCAAAGTTGAAATGAAGGAAAAAATGTTAAGCGCAGCCAGAGAGAAAGGTCGGGTTACCCTCAAAGGGAAGCCCATCAGACTAACAGCGGATCTCTCGGCAGAAACCCTACAAGCCAGAAGAGAGTGGGGGCCAATAGTCAACATTCTTAAAGAAAAGAATTTTCAACCCAGAATTTCATATCCAGCCAAACTAAGCTTCATAAGTGAAGGAGAAATAAAATATTTTACAGACAAGCAAATGCTGAGAGATTTTGTCACCACCAGGCCTGCCCTAAAAGAGCTCCTGAAGGAAGCGCTAAACATGGAAAGGAACAACCGGTACCAGCCACTGCAAAATCATGCCAAAATGTAAAGACCACCGAGACTAGGAAGAAACTGCATCAACTAACGAGCAAAATAACCAGCTAACATCATAATGACAGCTTCTTCTAATCTTTTGAATTGGCTTTTGTAGGGAAGAGCTTCTCCTGAAGATATATCTGTGGTGTTTATTGGGTACGGCATTTTGGCTTTTATTCTCAGGGCTTGAAGTAGTGTACTGTCTGTATGATTTCTTAGGGTGAAGACATCAGTGGTGTCTGTGATTTCCTTGGTGGCTTATGTTGTGATTATTAGTGGAGGCTGAAGTGATGTTTTGCTGTGGACGGGGTGGCAGGTGGGCCAGGCTGTGGGCCCCAGTGGTGGCAGAAGTGGGCTTAGAATGCCTGTCTTTGAGCCCAGAGGGTTGTATACTGGTCCTGGTGCTAGTGGGTCCAGGTGGGCCAATTCATGAGCCTCTAGGTTTGTTGCTTAGATGCCAGTAATGATAGTGGTGAGCTGGGAAGGTGTACAGGTTCTTGAAACACTGGGAAGTTGATGTGGCATGGATGATGGCAGTGACAATTGTAGGACAAGTCTCTGGGTCCCAAGTGGTACATGCTGGTTTTGGCAGTGGCTGCAACAGGCAGTTACCAGGCTTCTAGGTGTTATGTGTGAGTAGGTGTTGTCTGTAATACTGGCGGCTGGCTGAGTGGGCCAATATTCAGGTTTCTGTGATAAGTGCACAAATGCCAGAGGTGGTAGAATGGATGGTGTGATCCCCGGGTCCTCAGGCAGTGTGCTTAACCACTGCAGGGGGTGGTTCCAGGCCAGGTGGGTCTGACCTGAGGCCCCAGGTTGTTTGCAGAGGTGTAGGCTACAGTAGGCAAGGCAGGGTAATCTATTGCAATGGGTGTGGAGAACCTGACCTCAGGTCCAGTGTTAGAGCATGAGGGTTTTCTGTTGGTGTTGGTGGGTTTGCTATCAGAAGTTCCCCAGCAGGCAGCTCTCAGGCTTGAGGGAGTTCACTCTTCATCTTTCAGATCTTTGAGGAAAGGCTTTTAGTTTTTCCACATTGAGTATAATACTAGCTGTGGGCTGTCATAAATGGCTTTTATTATGTTGTGGTATGTTTCTTTTATACCCAGTTACTTGAGAATTTTTCTCATGAAGGGATGTTGAATTTTATCAAATGCTTTTTCAGCATCAATTGAAATGATCACATGGTTTTTGTCCTTCATTCTGTTGATAGAATGTATCACATTGATTGATTTATATATCTTGAGCCATCCTTGCACCCCAGGGATAAATCCCTCTTGGTCATGATGAATGATCTTTCTAATATATTGTTGAATTCAGTTTGCTAGTAATTTGTTGAGAATGTTTGCATTTATATTCATCACAGATATTGGCCTGTCATTTTCTTTTTTTGGTGTGTCTTTGTCTGGTCTTGGTATCAGGTTACTACTGGCCTCATAGAACGAGTTTGTAGTGTTTCCTCCTCCTCTATTTTTTGGAATAATTTGAGTTGGATTGCTATTACTTTTTCTTTAAAAGTTTGGTAGAATACAGCAATGAAGCCATAGGGTCTTAGACTTTTCCTTACTGGGAGACTTTTTATTACAGCTTTAGTTTTGTTACTTGTTATTTTTCTGTTTAGGTTTTGGATATCTTCATGGTTCAATCTTGGTAGATTGCATGTGTCTAGAAATCTGTCAATTTTATCTAGATTTTCTAATTTATTGTCATGTAGTTTCTCATAGTAGCTACTAATGATCCTTTGAATTTCTGTGGTATCACCAGTTGTAATGTCTTCTTTTTCATTTCTAATTTTATTTGTATCTTCTCTCTTTTTTCTTTGATAATTCAGCTTAAAGATTGTCAATTTTGTTTAACTTTTCCAAAAACCAACTTTTTGTTTTATTGATCTTCTGTATTGTTTTCTTCACTTCAATTTTATTTTTTATGCTCTGATCTTTATTCTGTTTTCTTCTACTTATTTTGGGCTTTGTTTGATCTTGCTTTTCTAGTTATTTAAGATTCATCATTAGCTTGTTTATCTGATGTTTTTCTTTTTTTTGATGCAGTCAATTTTAGATACATTTTAGCTATAAACTTCCTTCTTAGTACTGCTTTAGCTGTATCCCATAGGTTTTGGTATGTTGAGTTTCCATTATCATTTGTTTCAAGGATTTTTTCAGTTCCCTTCTTAATTTCTTCTTTGACTCACTGGTCATGCAGGAGCATATTCTTTAATTTTCATATATTTGTATAATTTCCAAAATTCCTCTTGTTAATTTCTAGGTTTTGTTCATTGTGGTCATAGAAGATGCTTGAGATTTATTTAATTTTTTGAATGTTTTAAGAATTGTTTTGTGACCTAACATAAGGTCTATCCTTGAGAATAACCAATGTGTTAAGAAAAACCATAGGTATTCTCTAGCTCTTGTATAAAATATTCTGTAAATATTTATTAGATCCATTTGGTCTATAGCACAGACTAAGTTCAATGCTTCTTTATTGATTTTCTGTCTCAAAGTTCTGTCCAGTGCTAACAACGGGGTTTCAAAACATCCAGATATTAATATATTGGAGCCCAACTGCTCTGTAATAATATTTGCTTTATGTATTTGGATTTTTCAGTGTTGGGTGCATACATATTTACAAGTATTATAGTCTCTTATTAAATTGACCTTGTTATCATTATATGGTGACATTCTATGTTTCTTCTTCTAGTTTTTGTCTTGAAATCTATTTTGTTTGGTACGTGCATTGCTATTTCTGGACTTTTATGATTTTCACTATCATCATAGAATACTATTTTCTATCCCATTATTTTCAGTATTTTATATGGAAAGTGTGTTTCTTTTAGTCACTAGATCAATGATCCTTTTGTAAAAACTCATCCAGCCAGTCTGTGTCTTTTATTAGGACGGTTTAGTCCACTTACATTGCTTGTTATTATTGATAAATAAAGACTTGTTTTTGTCATTTTGTTGTTTTATTGTTGTTTCACTCTCATCTCTTCCTTCTTCCCCTCATTCTTGTCTTCCTTTAGTAAATGTAATTTTCTCTGGTGATATAATTAGGATTTTTAATTTTTTTGCATCTCCATTGTATTTTTTTTTTAATTTTAGGTTACCATGAGACTTGCAGATAATATCTTATAATTTGTTATTTTAACCTGATAACAACAGTGTTTGCATAAACAAGCAAGAGTAAATCCAATTAAAACTCGATGTCTTAACATTATACTCTCACTTTTAAACTTCTTGTTACAATTTGTATATCTTATTGTACTGTCTATGCCTTGAGATGTTTTTGTAGTTGTTATTTTCTATTGTTCATTATTATTCTTATTTTTTATTTTTCATTTCAATAGGTTTTTGGGGAGCAGGTGGTGTTTGGTTACATGAATATGTTCTTTAGTGGTGAATTCTGAGATTTTGGTGTACCCATTAGCTAAGCAGTGTACACTCTACCTACCCTTTCCCCAGTGTCCCCAACATTAAATGTATTATTCTTATGCCTTTGCATCCTTATAGCTTAGCTCCCACATGTGAGTGAGAACATAAGATATTTGGTTTTCCATTCCTGAATTAGGCTGGTTCTGTAGTTTTGCAATGGCAAATTGTGCTGCTACAAGCATGTGTGTGCCATTATCTTTTTTCGTATAATGACTTCTTTTCCTTTCGGTAGATACCCAGTATTGGAATTCTTAAATCAAAAGGTAGATCTACTTTTAATTCTTTAAGGAATCTCTACACAGATTTTCATGATGGTTATGCTAGTTTACATTTCCACCAACAGTGTATAAGTGTCCCCATTTCACTGCATCTACATCAACATCTATTTTTTTTTATTTTTTCATTATGGCCGTTTTTGCAGGAGTGATGTGGTATCTATTGAATTGTGGTTTTGATTTGCATTTCCCTGATAATTAGTGATGTTGAGCATTTTTCCATATGCTTGTAGGCCCTTTGTATAACTTCTTTTGTGAATTGTCTATTCATGTCCTTAGCCGACTTTCTGATGTGATTTTTTTTTCTTGCTAATTTGTTTGAGTTATTTGTAGATTCTGGATATTATCCTTTGTCAGATGTATAGATTGTAAAGATTTTCTCCCACTCTCTGGGTTGTCTGTTTACTATGCTGATTATTTCGTTAGCTGTGCAGGAGCTTTTTAGTTTAAGTCACATCTATTTATATTTGGTTTTGCTGCATTTACTTTTGGGTTCTTGGTCATAAAGTTCTGGCCTAAGCCAATGTCTAGAAGGGTTTTTCGGATGTTATCTTTTATAATCTTTATGGTTCCAGGTCTTAGATTTAAGTCTTTGATCCATCCTGAGTTGATTTTTGTATGAAGTGAGAGATGAAGATCCAGGTTCATTCTTCTCCATGTGGCTTGCCTATTATCCCAGCACCATTTGTTGAGTAGGGTGTCATTTCCCCACTTTATGTTTCAGATTGCTTTGTCAAAGATCAGTTGTCTGTAAGTATTTGAGTTTATTTCTGGGTTTTCTATTCTGTTCCATTGGTCTGTGTTCTTATTTTTATACCAGTATCATGCTGTTTTGGTGACTATGGCGTTATAGTATAGTTGGAAGTCGAGTATTGTGATACCTCCAAATTTGTTCTATTTGCTTAGTCTTGCTTTGACTATGCAGGCTCATTTTTTGTTCAATATGAATTTTAGAATTGTTTTTCTTAGTTCCATGAAGAATGATGGTGGTATTTTGATGGGAATTGCATTGAATTTGTAGATTTCTTTTGGCAGTGTGGTCATTTTCATAATATTGATTCTACCTATCCATGAGCATAGAATTTTTTTATTTGTTCTTGTCATTTATTATTTTTTCAGCAGTGTTTTGCAGTTTTCCTCGTACAAGTCTTTCACGTCCTTGGTTAGGTATTTTTCTAATTATTTTATTTTCTTTGCAGCTATTGTGAATGTGGTTGAGTTCTTGATTTGATTCTCAGCTTGATCGCTGTTGGTATATAACAGAACTACTGATTTCTGTACACTGATTTTGTAACCTGAGACTTTACTGAATTTGTTAATCAAATTGAAGAGTGTTTGGGTGGAATCTAGAATTTTATAGACATATGATTATATCATCAGCAAACAGTGACAGTCTGACTTCCTCTTTACTGATTTGGTTGCCCTTTTTTTCTGTTGTCTGATTGCTCTGGCTAGAACTTTCAGTACTATATTGAACAGAAGAGTTAAAAGTGGACATTCTTGCCTTTTTCCAGTTCTCAGAGGTAATGCTTTAAACGTTTCCCCATTCAGTATGATGCTGGCTGTGGGTTTGTTGTAGATGGCTTTTATTACCTTAACGTATGTCTCTTCTATGCCAATTTTGCTGAGGGTTTTAATCATAAAAGATACTGAATTTTGTCATATGTTTTTTCTGCATCTATTGAGATAATCATTTGATTTTTTTTCAATTCTGCTTATGTGGTGTATCACATTTATTTACTTGTGTATGTTAAACCATCCCTGCAACCCTGGTATAAAATCTACTTGATCATGGTGGATTATCTTTTTGATATGCTGTTGGATTTAGTTCGCTAGTATTTTGTTGAAGATATTTGCATCTACATTCATCAGGAATATTGGTCTGTAGTTTTCTTTTTTCTTATATCCTTCCCTGGTTTTGGTATTAGGGTGATACTGGCTTCATAGAATGATTTAGGGAGGATTCCCTTTTTTTTGTCTTTTGGAATAGTGTCAATAGGTATTGGTACCAAATCTTTTTTGAACGTCTTATAGAATTCAGTTGTGAATCCATCTGGTCCTGGATATTTTTGTTGTTGTTTTTGTTGGCAACTTTTAAATTACCATTTCAATCTCACTGCTTGTTTCTGGTCTGTTCAGAGACTCTATGTTTACCTGGTTTAATCTAAGAGGGTTGTATATTTCCAGGAATTTATCCACCTCCTCTAGATTTTCTAGTTTATGTGCATAAAGGTGTTAATAGTAGCCTTGAATGATCTTTTGTATTTCTGTGGTATCACTTGTAATATCCCTTGTTTTATTTCTAATTGAGCTTATTTGCATCTGCTCTCTTCTTTTCTTGGTTAATCTTGCTAATCATTTATCATATTTATTTGTTTTTTTCAAAGAACCAGGTTTTTGCTTTGTTTATATTTTGTTGGGTTTTTTTTCAATTCCATTTAGTTCTGCTCTGATCTTGGTTATTTTCTTTCTTCTGCTGAGGTTGACTTTGTTCTTGTTTCTCCAGGTCCATGAGGTGTGATCTTAGTTTGTCTATTTGTGCTCTTTCGGGTTTTTTGATGTAGGCATTTAATGCTATAAACTTTCCTCCTAGCACTGCTTCTACTGTATCCCAGAGGTTTTGATTGGTTTTCTCACTGTTATCATTCATTTCAAAGAATTTTTTATATTTTTATCTTAATTTCATTTTTGACCTAACAATTATTCAAGCACAGGTTTTAAAATTTCCATATGTCGGCATGGCTATGAGGGTTCTTTTTGGAGTTGATTCCTAATTTCATTCCACTGTGGTCTGAGAGAGTACTTGATATGATTTTGATTTTCTTAAATTTACTGAGACTTGTTTTGTGGTCTATCATATGGTCTATCTTGGAGAATGTTCCATGTGCTTTGAATAGAATGCATATTCTGCAGTTGTTGGGTAGAATGTTCTGTAAATATCTGTTAAGTCAATTTTTGTATGGTATAGTTTAAATTCATTGTTTCTTTGTTGAATTTCTGTCTTATTGACTTGTCTAGTGCTGTCAGTGAAGTATTAAAACCCCCCCCTCTATTATTGTACTGCACACTATCTCACTTCTTAGGTCTACTAGTAATTGTCATATTAATTTTTGGAGCTCCTGTGATAGGTGTATATATATTTAAAATTGTGATATTTTCCTGTTGGCCTAGTCCTTTCATCATTATATAATCTTCCTCCTTGTGTTTCTAACTGCTGTTTCTTTAAAGCTTGTTTTGTCTGATGTAAAAATAGCTAATCCTGCTTGCTTTTGCTGTCCATTTGCATGGAATATCTTTTTTCATTCCTTTGCCTTAAGTTTGAGTCTTTATGTGTTAGGTGAGTCTCTTGAAGACAGCAGAAACTTGGCTGTGACTTATGCATTCTGCCATTCTGTAACTTTCAAGTGGAGCATTTAGGCTTTTTACATGCAATGTTAGTATTGAGATGTGAGGTAGTATTTTATTCATCATGCTATTTGTTGCCTGAATTCCTTGTTTTTTGTTTTTATTATTTTTTTCTGTTTTTTGGTGTGTGTATTATTGTTATATAGCTACTGTGAGATTTATGCCTTAAATAAATTCTATTTGTGTTTATTTTTATTATTTGTTTCAAGATTTAGAGATCCTTTTAGCATTTCTTGTAGTGCTGGCTTGGTAGTGATGAATTCTCTCAGCATTTGTTTGTCTAAAAAGAGTGTATCTTTCCTGCATTTATGAAACTTAGTTTTGCTGGATAAAAAATTCTTGGCTGGTATTTGTTTTAAGAAGGGCACAATCCCTTCTAACTTGTAGGGTTTCTGCTGAGAAATCTGCTGTTAATCTGATAGGTTTTCCTTTGTAGGTTATCAGATGCCTTTGTCTCACAGCTCTTAATATTCTTTCCATCATCTTGACTTTAGATAACCTGTTGACTATGTGCGTAGGCAATAATCTTTTTGCAATGAATTTCCCAGGTGTTATTTCAACTTCTAGTATTTTGATGTCTAGACCTATAGCAAGGCTAGGGAAGTTTTCCTCAATTATTCCCTCAAATATATTCTCCAAACTTTTGGATTTCTCTTCTTTCTTAAAAACACCAATTATTCTTAGGTTTGGATGTTTAATATAGTCCCAAACTTCTTGGAGAATGTTTATTTTCATTTTAATTATATTTTCTTTGTCTTTGATGGACTGGATTAATTCAAAAGCCTGTCCTTAAACTCTGAAGTTCTTTCTTCTAATTTTTTTATTCCATTGCTGAGAGTTTCCAGTGCATTTTGCATTTATCAAAGTGTGTCCTTGATTTCCCGAAGTTGTGATTGTTTTTTATTTATGCTATCTATTTCATTGAAGAATTTTCCTTTTGTGTCATTTATCATGTTTTTTATTTCTTTACGTTCAACTTCACCTTTCTCTGGTGCCTTCTTAATTAGCTTAATAATTGACCTTCTTAATTCCTTTTATGGCAATTCAGAGATTTTTGTATTGATTTGGGTCCATTGGTGGTGAGCTGGTATAATCTTTTCAGGGTGTTAAGGAACCAAGTTTTGTCATATTACCAGACTTGTTTTTCTGGTTTCTTCTCATTTGAAGAGGCTATGTCAGAGGGAAGATCTGGGATTTAAGTGCTGTTGTTCTAATTCTTTTGTCCTACTGTGTGCTCTCTTGATGTGGTGTTCTCCCCATTCCCCTAGGAATGGGGATTCCTGAGAGCCAAACTGTAGTGATTGTTTTTGCTCTTCTGGGTCTAGCCACCCAGTGGAGCTACCAGGCTCTAGGCTGAAACTGGAGAGTGTCTGCAAAGAGTCCTGTGATGTGATCTGTCTTCAGGTCTTGCAGACATGTATACCAGCACCTGCTCTGATGGAGATAGCAGGGGAGTGAAGTAGACTCTGTGAGGGTCCTCGATTGTGTTCTTGTTTAGTGGGCTTGTTTTTTATTGATTGGCCTTCAGCCAGGAGGTGACACTTTTAAAAGTGCATCAGCTGTTGTACTATAGGTAGGAAGCAAACTTGCACTAGGGTCAACTGGTTAAGTATTCAGGTTTCTTAGGTGGTGGGCAGGGCCATAGAACTCCCAAGAGATTATGATCTTTGTCTTTTGCTGCCAGGGCAGGGAGAGAAAGACCACCAGGTGCGGGCAGGAATAAGCTTTTCTGAGCTGAGCCTCTCCTTGGGTGCGGTTGCTGTGAAGGATGGGGGTGTGGTTCCCATCCCAGTGGAGTTTGTATTCTCAGGGGGGTTATGGCTGTCTCTGCTGAGTCATACTGGTCTCCATGAAAGCGGGGGAAAGCCGGCAGTCAGAGGCCTCGCCTTGCTCCTATGTAGCCCACAGCCCTTAAGGCTGATCTCTCTCCCATCACTCCCCACCCCCAACAGCACCGAGTCTATTTCCAGGCAGCTGGTGACCAGGGCCGAGAACTTGCCCCAGACTGTGAGCCTCCTCATTGAGAAAGCAAACAGACTCACAGTTTTTCAGTGTCTCAGATAGCCTGCAGCAGTGATACAGTTTTTTCAAAGGGTCTGTGGATCCTTGCAGCTTTCTGATACGTTTCTGCAGTAGTTCTTGGAGCAAAAGTTCACTCTGTGAGTCTCCACGCACTGGTGTGTCCATCCGATCAGGAGCTGCAAGATAGTCTAGCCTCCTATCCACCGTCTTAATCCATTTCTGATTGGTTTATTATTTAGTCTTTGTAATTCAGATAAGAGAAGTTTACATACCACAGTTACAGTGTTATGATATTCAGTGGTGTTTTTTGTTTGTTTGTTTGTTTTTTCTTGAGTCTTGCTCTGTCACCCAGGCTGGAGTGCAGTGGTGCCATCTCAGCTCACTGCAACCTCTGCCTCCTGGGTTCAAGCAATTCTCCTGCCTCAGCCTCCCGAGTAGTTGGGATTACAGGCACATGCAAACGTGCCCAGGTAATTTTTGTATTTTTTTTAGTAGAGACAGGGTTTCACCATTTTGGCCAGGCTGGTCTCAAACTCCTGACCTTGTGATCTGCCCACCTTGGCCTTCCAAAGTGCTGGGATTACAGGCGTGAGCCACCAAGTGCAGAAGTTTTTTTTTTTTTTTGTACTTACTATATTACCAGTGAGTTTTGTACCTTCATGTGATCACTAATTGCTCATTAATGTCTTTTTGTTTCCGATTGAAGTACTACATTTAGCATTTTTTTGTAGGACAGTTCTGGTGTTGAAATCCCTCAGCTTTTGTCTGTCTGGTAAAGACTTTATTTCTCCTTCATGTTTGAAGAATATTTTCACCTGATAAACTATTCTAGGTTAAACATGGCTTTTTTTTTTAGCACTTTAAATATGTCATGCCTCTTGACGTATTTAAATATGTCACTCTCTCTTGGCCTGTATGGTTTCCATTGAAAAGTCTGCTGCCAGGCATATTTCAGCCCCAATATATGTTGTTTGTTTGTTGTTTTCTTGCTGAGTTTAGAATTCTTTATTTATAATAAGTCTTTTGGAGTTTAATTATTAAATGCCTAGAGTCAGTCTTCTTTGGGTTAAATCTACTTAATGTTCTATAACCTTCTTGTACTTGAATTGTGGTATTTTTCTCTAGGTTTGAGAAATTCTCTGTCATTATCTTTTTGAATAAACATTCTAGCCCTCTCTTTTTCTCTATATATTCTCTTTAATGCCAACAACCCTTAGATTTGCTTTCTTGAGGCTATTTTCCAGTTCCCGTAGGTGTGCTTTATTTTTAAAACTTTTTTCTTTTGTCTCCTCTGACTAAAAACTTTCAAATAGCCTGACTTCATGCTCAGTATTTCTACTGTTAAAAGACTCTGATACTTTCTTCAGTATGTCAATTGCATTTTTAACTTTAGAATTTCTGCTTGATTCTGTTTAATTATTTCAACTTTTTGTTAAATTTATCTTATATAATTTTGAATTCCTTCTCTGTGTTATCTTGACTTTTTTTTTTCAGGTTGCCCATTACAGCTATTTTGAATTCTCTGTCTAAACGGTCACATATCTCTGTCTTCCCAGGATAGGATTCTTGTACCTTATTTAGTTCATTTTTTGAGGTCACATTTTTCTGGGTGGTGTTGATGTTAGTAGATGTTCTTTGGTGTCTGGGAAGTGAAGAACTAGGTATTTATTGCAGTCTTCACTGTTTGGGTTTGTTTCTACCCATCCTTCTTGGGGAGACTTTCCAGATATTTGAAATGACTTGGATGTTGTGATCTGAGCTATATCTGCTTTAAGGGACATCCCAAGCAGAGTAATGCTGTGGTTCTTGAGAACTCATAGAACTACCACCTTGATGGTCTTAGACAAGATCTGGTAAAATTCTCTTGATTACCAGGTAGGAACTCTTGTTCTTTCCTTTCACTTTCTCCCAAACAAATTGAATCTCTCTCTCTGTTCTGAGCCACCTAAAGTTAGAGATGGAGTGACACAAGTAACCCTTTGGCCACCACTACTAGGACTGTACTGGATCAGACCTGAAGCCAACACAGCACTGGGTCTCATCCAAGGGCGATGATACCCACTCCCTGGCTACTGCCTATGATCACTCAAGGCACTGACGCTCTACAGTTGAAAATTGGCAAATCCAGCCAGACCTGTGTCATTCCCCTCAGGTTGACAAGTTCCCCCAGCCTGGGTTCATCCAGAGGTGCCCTTTGGGAGTCAGGGACTAGAGTGAAAAACCTTAAATCTACATGGTGTTCTATTGTACTATGCCTAAGTTGGCAATCAAACCACAAGATGCAGACCTTTCTATTGTTCCCTCCTTTCTCCAAAGACAGAAGAGCCTCACCTTGTAGTCACTGCCACCGCAGACCATGGGGAGTACTGCCAGACTATCACTGATGTTCCCTTAAGGCACAAGCATTCTTAAGTCAGCTTTTGGTGAATGCTAACATGCCTGGGACTCATTTTTCAGAGAATTAAGCTCCTCTGTGGCCCAGGGTGGGTCCAGAAATGTCATCCAAGAGTCAAGTCCTGGAATCAGGGACCCCAAGGGCCTGTTGGCACACTACCCATGCCCCAGATGGCAATGCTGTTAGCTAAGGTGCAAGACAAAGTCCTTTTTACTTTACTCTCTCCTTTTCTCAAGCAGAAAATGATTTGTATAATAGCCACCACAGCTGGTAATGTGTTGAGTTTCACCTGAAGCTCACAAGTCTTAAGGGCTCACCCAAGTCCCTCAACATAGAACCTGGGTATCACTGCTGATTATTCAAGGCCTAAGGGCTCTTCAGCTGCAGGTGATGAATGCTGCCAGGACTGGGTCTTTTCTCTCAAGGCAAGCAGGTTTACTTCTGGCCCAGAGTGCATCTAGAAATACTGTCTGGGAGTTAGGGCCTGGATAGGGGACCTCACAACTCTGACTAGTACCCTATCCTGCTGTGACTGAGCTGGTATCCAAGATGCAAGACAAAGTCCTTCCCACTCTTTCTTCTCTTCTCCTCAAGTGAAAGGAAGGTATATTTTTAGGAGTCATGAACTGTGCAGCCTGTGGTTGGGGGAGGGGTGATGCGAGCACTACTTTTCCCACCCCCAGCTTGTGTCTCAGTAGATTGTATGTCCTCCCAGTTCCACTGTCTCTGGGCCCAGTTCACCACTAGAACTCACCTAGAGTTGTTTTCAGGAACTCACGTTCTAACTTCTGGGATTACAATTTTTCTCTGGCTAGGTCTGATTTTAATTCTCCTGCTGTGGGCAGGCATCAGCTGAGTTTGGTCTGGTTTTTCTTTCTGCTCCAGAAGGACAGCACTGAGTTCAGTGATTCACAATTTCTGGCACTGTTTCCCCTAGAGCCCAGAGAAGCTCCCTGAACTATGCTGCTGCTGCCAGGGGGTGTGAGAGGGCTAGCTTCAGTGATTCAAGGTTTTTTTTCTATCTTTTCAGTGTGTCGTTCAGTGATACGAAGTTAAATACAGGTACTATGAGGGCTCACCTGATTTTTGGTTCTTATGAATGTAATTTTTTTTTTTTTTGTCGATAGTTGATCAATTAGTGTCATTGCAGGGTAACCAGTTGATTGTCATCTAGCTCTGCTTCTGCTTTTTGCTTTTTTTATTGTTTGATGCCCTTGATGGTTTGAGTGTGTTATCCATTTGGTTTAGCTAATTGGTTTGTTTCTGGAAGATCTGGAAGATTTTATGGGTCCAAATCTCAGCTCAGCACATCTGGGCTGCATGCTCCAGCCCTGGGACATGCAGAGCTTTTTTTCTCTGGCCACTGGAGGTTAAGCACTTGCTTCACTGGAGGGGCTAAAGTATTGCCAGTCCATTGGTAACAACATTCATAAGGGAATTGCTGACAAATGCACTTAACCAGGGCTGTGGTAGGTGGTGGTTCTTGCCTATGCATGCTTGCCCAGTAGTGGGATGAGATGGTGGTGGGGTCAGCATGTGTGCACATGCCAGTCAAACAGCCGTGGGATACTGTGGGTGAACACTCCCTGGTGAATTAGCGGGGGACATTGTGGGCTACTGTATTCCAGTGAAGGCAGTGGGACTAGTGTATTCCAGTGAAGGTAATGGGAGGCCGTGAGCAAGTGTGTGCCAGTGAGGCAGGGTTCTTGTTCGGTGTGCATTGGTGGTGGTCTGCCCACAGATGCTATTAGGTGGACTCTGCCAGCAAAAGAGCTATAGTGGTGGCCGCTTACAAGTGCTTTGGCTGGGCAGCTGAGTCTGCACTGAAAGTGGGTGCAGCCTGGCAGGGAGCCTGAAATAGCAAATAGGAGTCACTCAGATCAGATTGGCCCTGTTCTATGGGCAAGATAATGCTGTTGTGTCCAGGTCTGACAGCAAAAAAAGGCTAAAGCTACCTAGAAGTGTATGACAAGCATTGAGTGATGGATGCCCATGGCCATTCTCCACTGCAGCTGTTCGAGCATCAAACTTTCTTGGCTCTTTGCAGGCTGGGGTTCTGTCTCTGCCATCTCTCTGGCAGTTCTCCCTGCCAGCTCAGATGTCCATAGGGGTTGTGGGTTCTCCTACAGCTAGAATTTTTGAGGTCCACAGTGAGAGTGGGCCACTCCATGCCTCTTTCACTCACCCCTCTTTAGGAGCTGCTTGGAGCTAGGAATGAGTTATGGTTTTCAGCAATCCCATGCAGCATTTCCAGCTTTCTCCCTTTTCAGCCTGTGATCTGTGTCCTCTCTTCACCCGCTCTCAATGCTTTCTTTCTGAAGATCTGTTCAGAGTGTGCCAATCTCTTTGATGGTCTGGTCTCTTGGTGGGAGAAGCTCTTCCTGTCTGTATCTAGTTGGCCATGTTGGCTCCAAGTTAAATTTTATTATCTTAACTATATATTTTTTTGTTTACAGCTAAGAAGTGTTAACTACATTCACATGGTGGTGCCATATGTTTCTATGTCTTTTTTATGTTGCAGAACTGAATCTCCACATTCATTAAACAATAACTCCCCTTTTCCCTTCCTTTCAACCCTGGCAATGACTACTCCTTCTTTTTATAAATTTGACTATTTTAGAAACTCATATAAGTGAAATCATTCAGTATTTGTTTTATTGGGACAGCCTCATTTCACTTAGAATAGCATCCTTAAGGTTCATTCAAGTTTTTGAAGAACCACTAATTATTAAGCATCTATCTTGTGCTACAAAATTCCTACAAATTACTTCATTCAATCCTCCCAACATCTCTATAAATTAGTTTTATTCTTCTATATTGCAGTTAATATAATTAAGACTCAAATTAGTTAAGTGACTTTCCCAAGGGTCACCAAGTCAAACGTGTGTTTTTCCCAAATCCTTTGTTTATCCCTTAGGCCACTTTGTGGCAGCTATTTGCAGTTGATCTATGTCCGTAAGGAAGACAATAAAAACAAAATTTATTGAACAATTCAATTTTATGTTCCCTTAATCCCTGATTATTTGTTTTGTTTTCATTTGGGTAAGAAGTAGGCATCATATGTAGATTTTTTGAAGAGATGCTGCTAAGAAACACAACAGGCTATGTGAAAATCGTGGGCCTGAAATGCTCATAATACAGCTCTAACATTACATGTTTATATGAACAAATTATTTTGGCATATTTTGGTTTAAGTGCAAATCATAGAACATTTATTATTATAGGTATAAAAAAAGGTTGCCAAACACTTTGGGCCTAGTGCTTATGAAACAATACCACTCAATGCTTCAAAATACTAAATAACACAATAAGCAAAATCTTAGCTTCTGACCAAGTAAACAAGTCGAATGATCCAGAGATCTAATGGCTTAGGTTTTTAGCCTATTTTTGGGATTAATGTGAATGTGTACTTTATGTCTGTCTTCTTCTTGGCAGAATCTGCAACCTGGCACATTTCCCATTTACCTGGAATACTGAGCACTTGCCTCACTGTGTATTCAGCCCAGTCAGAGTGAACAGAAGTGAGAATTTTCAGGAGTAGAATACGTGTAGGTCAAGATTCTGGATATTGTTACGTACTGTGTGTTAATAAGACTAACTCCATTTTGAGAAGTATAAATGTTAGCCAAACTAAACTTAATTGAGCCTGCTCATACATGTGAGGACTCATGGTCTCATATGTATTGGGGGTGGGAAAGAATAAAATGTGGATCCCTCTAAGTTAGCATGTCCTAAAACTTTCCAGGCAAAATTTCTGTCTTAGCGTAATTTACAAAATTCTTTTTTTCTCTGAATTTTTCTCTTCTTTACAAGCTGAACTTTAACTAAAGAGAAGCAATATTCTCTCTTAGGTTAGTAGTATCAACTATAACAATAAGCCTGAGAGGCAAAAATTCAGTATCAAACATAAGGTAATTTATACATTTTATTGGTTGTGCAGTGTATCATTGAAAATAAAGTGTGGAGTAATATCCGTCATTGAAAGCAGAGATAGTTTAATCTTTTGGTGTCCAGCTGCTGTTTTGGGTGCGTTTGCTAAAGGAATAATCCCATTAGTTATATAAAACAAAATTTACCAAAGTTAGAATGGAGAAGAATTCTGGGAAATAAGTCACCAAATGGTAGGCTATAGCTTACAATAGTTTCTCCCTTGTACATTTATTTAAAAATTCACACTGCATATGTATTCCAGAACTTAAAGTAAAATTAAAAAAATAAAAAAATCACATCAAAAGATACTTCTCTATTCCACTAAGATTAATTTTGGACACCAAAATATGTCTTTGCCTTATAACTTTATCAACGCCAAAACACTGTACTTGTAAAACAAAAACAAAAACAAAAGCAAAAGCAAAACAAAACAGCATTACTAAAAACAAAGAATAAGTAGGCCAGTGACAGTGGCTCATGCCTGAAACCCCAGCACTTTGAGATGCCGAGGTGGGCAGATCACTTGGGTCCAGGAGTTCAAGACCAGCATAGGCTACATGATGAAACCCCTTCTTTAAAAGAAATACAAAAATTAGCCAGGCGTGTAGTCCCAGCTACTTGGGAGGCTGAGGTGGGAGGATCACTTGAGCCTGGGAGGCAGAGGTTGCAGTGAGCCAAGATCATGCCACTGCATTCCAGGCTGGGTGACAGAGTGAGACTCTGCCTCAAATAAAAAAATAAGAAGAAAACATATAAGAGAGCAAATAAAGGAAAAATTAAGTATTAAAAGATCAAGTTTACAAAAGGCTGACATTCTCATCTGTCATAGATTTTCTGATTCACAGATTCTATTTCACATGGTCTAAGGAAACCAGGAGAAATGTCTTCTAAATTCTTAGACTTATATCTTCACTTTCATTTTCTTCTTTGTGCCTCCCCTGTACTTTAAAAATATACATCATGGTAGGCAACTACTTTTAAAGGAAAGAGTGGGTAAAAAATTCAGATAATTTTCTTTTCCATGAGTAAGCATAAAATTCCCATATTACTTTAGGAATAACAAAATGGAAAGAGGCATTGAAACTTCCTATTATTTCTTTTTCACTTAGAAAGGATAAAGAGTTCTTTTTTTTGTTTGTTTTGCAGAACCACAAAGAGTGAGGCTTCAGTAAGAAAATTAAAAATATATAGGTAATTTTGAAGATCCAATGATAGAATGGATATAAAATAAAAAGATAGTAGATTATCCTGGTGATTAGCAAGCCCCTCAAAGTATTATACATCCACTTTGCTATCTGTCTAGTCATTCTTCTTCTATACTTACAACAACAAAGACTGATCAGGGAGTCCAAGGCAACTGTAGGCAGGAGAGCTCCCCCAGCACAGCCTAGTGCTCTAAGGAGAAGTGATCAGGCTGCTTAGTCACATGGATCTTGAATCCCATTTCTCTTCACTGGGTGGAATCTCTCAACCAGGGTGTCCAGTAAACCCTGCTGGTGTTTTCCAACCAAAAACAGTTTAAAACCTCCCTGGGACACAGCTCCCAAGGGGAGGGGTGGGCCACCATCTTTGCTGTTTTGCCTGCCTTGGCTGTTTTTGCCTTTGTGCTTTGGAGAGTCCAAAGCAACTGGGGGCTGGAGTGGAACCCCAGCACACATAGATGCTCTACAAAAATGCGATTAGGCTGAATATTTATTTTATTTTATTTTTATTTCCATAGGTTTTGAGAAACAGGTGGGATTTGATTAGATGAGTAACTACTTTAGTGGTGATTTCTGAGATTTCAGTGCACCCATTAACCTAGCAGTATACACTGTACCAAATTTGTAGTCTTTTCTTCCTCAACCCCCTCCCACCCTTTCCCCCAAGGCCCCAACGTCCATTGTATCATTCCTACGCCTTTGCATCCTCATAGCTTAGCTCCCACTTATGAGTGAGAACATAGGATTTTTGGTTTTCCATTCCTGAGTTACTTCACTTAAAACAATGGTCTTCAATTTCATTCAGGATGCTGCAAATGCCATTAATTTTTTCCTTTTCGTGGCTGAACAGTATTCCATTCTATATGTATACCACAATTTCTTTATCCACTAATTGATCAATGGACATTTAGGCTGATTTCATAATTTTGCAACTGTAAATTATGCTGCTATAAACATGTGTGTGCAAGTATCTTTTTTGCATAATGACTTATTTTCCTCTGGGTAGACACCCAGTGGTGGGATGGATGTATCAAATGATAATTCTACTTTTAGTTCCTTAAGATGTTTCCACATTGTTTTCCACAGTGGTTGTACTACTTCACATTCCCACCAACAGTGTAAAAGTGTTCTCTTTTTACCACATCCCTGCCAAGATCTATAATTATTTTTTTTTAATTTTTTCATTATGGCCATTCTTGCAGGAGTAAGGTGGTAACACACTGTGGTTTTGATTTGCATTTACTTGATCATTAATGATGTTGAGCATTTTTTCACATGCTTGTTGGCTATTTGTACATCTTCCTTTAAGAATTGTCTATTCATGTCCTTAGCCTATTTTTTGATGTCACTCTTTTCTTTTTTTATCTTGCTAATTTCCTTGAGCTTCTTGTAGATTCTGGATATTAGTCCTCTGAAGGATGTACAGATTGTGACAATTTTCTCCAACACTGTGGGTTGTCTGTTTACTCTGCTCATTATTTCTTTAGCTGTGCAGGAGCGTTTTATTTAAGTCACATCTATTTATCTTTGTTTTTGTTACATTTGCTTTTAGGTTCTTGGCCATGAAGTCTTTGCCTAAGCCAATGTCTAGAAAAGTTTTTATGATGTTATCTTGTAAAATTTTTATAATTTCAAGTCTTAGATGTAAGTTTTTGATGCAGCTTGAGTTGATTTTTGTATAAGTTGAGAGATGAGAATCCAGTTTCATTTTTCTCCATGTGACTTGCCAATTATCCGAGCAACATTTGTTAAATAGGATGTGTTTTCCTCAGTTTACGTTTTTATTTGCTTTGTCAAAAATAAATTGGCGTTAAGTATTTGGGTTTATTTTCGGATTCTCTATTTTGTTCCATTGGTCTGCATGCTTAATTTTATACCAGTACCACACTGTTTTGGTGACTATGGCCTTATAGTATAGTTAAAAGTTGAGTAATGGGATGCCTCCAAATTTGTTCTTTTTGCTTAGTCTTGCTTTGGCTATGTGGACTCATTTTTGTTCCATATGAATTTTAGGATTTTTTTTTTTTTAGTTCTGTGAAGAATGATGGTGGTATTTTAATGAGAATTGCCTTGAATTTTTAGATTGCTTTTGGCAGTATGGTCATTTTCACAATATTGATTCTACCCATCCATGAGCATGGGATGTTTTTCCATTTGTTTAGTTCATCTATGATTTCTTTCAGTAGTTTTGCAGTTTTCCCTGTAGAGGTCTTTCACCTCCTTGGTTTGTATATATTTGATTTTTTGCAGCTATTGTAAAAGGGGTTGAGTTCTTGATTTGATTCTCAGCTCAGTTGCTGTTGGTGTGTGGTAGAGCTACTGATTGTGCACATTAATTTTGTATCCTGAAACTTTGCTGAATTCATTTATCAGTTCTAGGACCTTTTTGAAGGAATCTTTAGGGTTTTCTAGGTATACAATCATATCATCAGCAAACAGCAACAGTTTGGCGTTTTTTGTTTGTTTTTAACTGATTTGGATGCGCTTTATTGCTTTCTCTTGTTTGATTGCTGTGGATAAGACTTCGAGTACTATACTGATTGAAAGTGGTTATAGTGGGCATCCTTGTCTTGTTCCAGTTCTCAGGGGGAATGCTTTCAGCTTTTTCCCATTCAGTATTATGTTGGCTGTGGGTTTATCATAGATGGCTCTTATTACGTTAAGGTATGTCCTTCTATGCTGATTTTGCTGAGGGTTTTAATCATAAAGGGATGCTGGATATTGTCAAGTGCTTTTTCTGCATCTGTTGAGATAATCATGTGATTTTTGTTTTTAATTCTGTTTAAGTGGTGTATCACAATTATTGACTTGCTGATGTTAAACCATCCCTGCATCCCTGGTATGACACACACTTGATCATGGTGGACTATCTTTTTGATATGCTGTTAGATTAGATTAGCTATTATTTTGTTAAGGAGTTTTGCATCTCTGTTTATCAGAGATATTGGTCTGTAGTTTTCTTTTTTTTGTTATGTTCTTCCCTGGTTTTGGTATTAGTGTGATGCTGGATTCATAGAATGATTTAGGGAGGATTCCTTCTTTCTCTATCTTGTGGAATAGTATCAAATAGATTGGTACAAATTCGTTTTTGAATGTTGATAGAATTCAGTTGAGAATCTCTCTGGTCCTGGACTTTTTTATTTTTGGAAATCTCAAAATTACTATTTCAATCTCGCTGCTTGTTATTGGTAGGTTCAAGGTTTCTAATTCTTCCTGGTTTAAGCTAGGAGGGCTGCATATTTACAGCAATGTATCCATCTTCTCTAGGTTTTTTAGTTTATGCTTGTAAAGTTGCTCATAGAAACCTTGAATAATCTTTTGTATTTATGTGGTGTTGGTTGGTTCTAGTATTTCCCATTTGTTTTCTTTCTTTTTCTTTCTTTTTCTTTTTTTTTTTTTTTTGGAGACAGAGTCTTGTCTTGCACTGTCACCCAGGATGGAGTGCAGTGGTGCAATCTCGGCTCACTGCAACCTCTTGCCTCAGCCTCCTGAGTAGCTGGGATCACAGGCGCCTGCCACCAAGCCCAGCTAATTTTTTATTAGAGACGAAGTTTCACTATGTTGGCCAGACTGGTTTTGAACTCCTGACCTCGTGATCTGCCTGCCCCGGCATCCCAAAGTGCTGGGATTACAGGCATGAGCCACTGCGTTTTGTCCCCATTTCTTTTCTAATGGAGCATATTTGGATCTTCTATGTTGTTTTCTTGGTTAATTTTGCTAGTGGTCTATCAATATTATTTATCTTTTCAAAGAACCAGAGTTTTCTTTCATTTGTCTTGTGGATTTTTTTTTGTTTCAATTTCATTTAGTTCTGTTCTGATCTTGTTTTTTTTTTTTTTTGTTTTTTCTTCTGCTGGGTTTGGGTGTGGTTTGTTCTTGTTTCTCTAGTTGCTTGAGGTGTGACCTTAGATCATCAATCATGTTCTTTCAAACTTTTTCATGTAAGCATCTAAGGCTATGAACTTTTCTCTTAGCACTGCCTTTGCCATATCCCAGAGGTTTTGATAGATTGTGTCACTATTATTGTTCAGTTTAGATAATTTTTAAATTTCCATCTTGATTTCATTGTTGACTCAACGATCATTCAGGAGTAAATTATTCAATTTCCATTTATTTGCACACTTTTGAAGGTTCCCTTTGGAATTCATTTCGAATTTTATTCCACTATGGTCAGAGAGAGTACTTCATATAATATCAATTTTCTTAAGTTTATTGAGACTTGTTTAGTCATCTATCATAAGGTCTGTCTTAAAAAGTATTCTACGCACTGATGAATAGAATGTATATTCTGCAGTTGTTGGGTAGGATGTTCCGTAAACATCTGTTAAGTCCATTTGTTCTAGGTTATAGCTTATGTCCATTATTTCTTGGTTAAATTTTATCTTTATAACCTGTCTAGTTCTGTCAGTGGAGTATTGAAGTCCCCCACTATTATTGTGTTGCTGTTTATCCCATTTCTTAGGTTTAGTAGTAATTGTTTTATAAATTTGACAGCTCCAGTGTTAGGTGCATATATATTTAGAATTCTGATATTTTCCTGTTGGACAAGAACTTTGATCATTATATAATGCCCCTCTTTGTCTTTTTTTTTTTTTATTATACTCTAAGTTTTAGGGTACATGTGCACCTTGTGCAGGTTAGTTACATATGTATACATGTGCCATGCTGGTGTGCTGCACCCACTAATGTGTCATCTAGCATTAGGTATATCTCCAACCACTGTTTCTATGAAGTTTGTTTCGTGTGATATAAGAATAGCTACTCCAGCTCACTTTTGGTCTCCATTTGCATGGAATGTCTTTTTCTCCTCCTTTGCCTTAAGTTTATGTAAGTCCTTATGTGGTAGGTGAGTCTCTTGAAGACAGCAGATACTTGGTTGGTAAATTCTTATTTATTCTGCCATTCTGTATTTTTCAAGTAGAGCATTTAGGCCATTTTCATTCAATGTTAGTATTGAGATGTGAGCTACCATTTTATTCATCATGCTATTTGTTGCCTGAATACCTTGGTTTCTTAAAAATGTATTGTGTTGCTATTTTATAGGTCCTGTGAGATTTAGGCTTTAAGGAAGTTTTGTTTTGATGTATTTCAATAATTTTTTTCAAGATTTAGAACTCATTTTAGCACCACAGCACAATAAAAATAGAAGTCAAGACTTAAAAAAATTGTTCAAAACCATGCAATTGCATGGAAATTAAACAACATGCTGCCAAATAAACCTTGGGTAAATAATGAAATTAAGACAGAAATCAAGAAGTTTTTTGAAACTAACAAGAACAAAGATACAACTTACTGGAATATCTGGACACAGCTAAGGCAGTGTTAAGAGGGGAATTCATAGCACTAAATGCCCACATCAAAACAATAGAAAGATTCTAAATGAACAACCTAAAATCATAACTGAAAGAATTAGAGAAGCAAGAGCAAACCAACTCCAAAACTAACAGAAGACCAAAAATAAAAATAAAAATCGGAGCTGAACTGAAAGAAATCAAGACACAAAAACCATTCAAAAAATAAACAAATCTAGGAGTTGTTTTCTTGACAAAATTAATGATAAACCATTAGCTAGACTAATAAAGAAAAAATATAGAAGATTCAAATAAACATAATTAGAAATGAAAAAGAGAATGCTACCACTGACACCGCAGAGAAAAAATAACTATAGAAAACTGCTATAAACAACTCTATGCACACAAAGTATAAAATCTAGAAGAGGTGAGTAAATTTCTTGACACAAACACCCTTCCAAGACTGAACCAGGAAAAAATTGATTCCCTGAACAGACCAAGAAAGAGCTCCAAAATTGAATCAGTAATAAATACAGTGTCAACCAAAACAAATCCAAGACCAGATGGATTCATAGCTGAATTCTCCCAGATGTACAAAGAAGATCTGGTGCCATTCCCACTAAAACTATTCCACAAAATTTAGGAGGAGGGACTTTTTCCCAACTCATTCTATGAGGCCAACATCATTCTGATACCAAAACCTGGTAGAGACACAGCAGAAAAAGAAAACTTCAGGGCAATGTCTTTGATGAACATTGATGCAAAAATCCTCAACAAAAAAAATTGCAAACCCCATCCAGCAGCAAATCAAAAAGCTAACCAAACAGAATCAAGTAGGCTTCATCCTCAAGATGCAAGATCAGTTCAACATACAAAAATCAGTATATGTAACAGTAATCATGTAAACATAAAGACAAAATCCACATGATTATCTCAATAGATGCAGAAAAGACTTTCTATAAAACTTAACATCCCTATCTGTTAAAAACTCCTTATGAACTAGATATTTAAGGAACATACCTTAAAATAAAAGAGTCATCTATGACAAACCCACAACTAACATGATACCAAATGGACAAAAGCTGGAAGCATCCCCCTTGAAAACTGGCAAAAGACAGGAATGCCTTTTCTCATCAATAATCTTTAACATAGTATTGGAAGTCCTGGCTAGAGCAATCAGGCAAGAGAAAGAAATAAAGGGCATCCAAATAGGAAGAGAGGAAATCAAACTATCCCTGTTTGCAGATGACATGATTCCATATATAGAAAACCACATAGTCTCAGCCCAACAGCCATATAAGCTGAAAAACAACTTCAGCAGTTTCAGGATACAAAATCATGTACAAAAGTCACAAGGATTCCTATGCACCAACAGCAGCCAAGTTGAGAGTCCGATCAGGAATGCAATGTTATTCACAATTGCTACACAAACATAAAGTCCCTAGGAATACAGCTAACCAGGGAGATAAAAGATCTTTACAATAAAAATTACAAAATACTGCTCAAAGAAATCAGAGATGACACAAATAAAAAGAAAAACATTTCATGTTTACAGATAGAATCAATATCATTAAAATGGTCATACTTCCCAAAGCTATTTACAGATTCAAGCTATTTCTATCAAACTACCAATGACATTCTTCAAAGAACTAGAAAAAGCTATTTTAAAATTTATATTAAAAAAAACCCTGAATAATCAAGGCAATCCTAAGCAAAAAAAACAAAACTGGAGGCATCATACTACTCAACTTCAAAGTATACTACACGGCTACAATATACAAAACAGCATGGTACTAGTACAAAAGCAGACACATAGACCAATGGAAAAGAATAGCGAGACCAGAAATAGTGCTGCACACCTACAACCAACTGTTCTTCGACAAAGATGACAAAAACAAGCAATGAGGAAAAGACTCCATTTTAAATAAATGGTGCTGGGATAACTGGCTAGCCATATGCAGATGACTGATGCTGGACTGCTCTCTTGTATCATATACAAAAACCAAGTCAAGATAGATTAAAGATTTAAATGTAAAACCCAAAGCTGTAAAAACTCTGAAAAAAGACCTATGCATTCCATTCTGGACATAGGAATGGGCAAATATTTCACAATGAAGACACCAAAAGCAATCACAACAAAAGCAAAAATTGGCAAATTTGATCTAATTAAACTATAGATCTTCTATACAGCAATAGAAGCTATCAACAGATTAATCGACAACCCACAGAATGGGAGAAAATATTTGCAAACTATGAAGCTGAAAAATTTTAATATCCACCATATATAAAGAACTTACAGCAGCTTACAAGAAAGAAACAACCCCATTAAAAACTGGGCAAGGGACATTAACGGACATTTTTCAAAAGAAGACATACATGTGGCCAAGAAGCGTATGAAAAAAACCTCAATATCACTGATCATTAGAAAAATTCAAAGCAGGAGGGAGGAGCCAAGATGGCGGAATAGGAACAGCTCTGGTCCACAGCTCCCAGCCTGAGCGACACAGAAGATGAGTGATTTCTGCATTTCCATCTGAGGTACCGGGTTCATCTCACTAGGGAGTGCCAGACAGTGGGTGTGCACACCGTGCGTGAGCAAAAGCAGGGCGAGGCATTGCCTCACTCGGGAAGCGCAAGGGGTCAGGGAGTTCCCTTTCCTAATCAAAGAAAGGGGTGACGGACGCACCTAGAAAATCGGGTCACTCCCACCCAAAAATAATGCGATTTTCCGACAGGCTTAAAAAACGGCACACCACGAGATTGTATCCCGCACCTGGCTCGGAGGGTCCTACGCCCACGGAGTCTCGCTGATTGCTAGCAGAGCAGTCTGAGATCAAACTGCAGGGCGGCAGCCAGGATGGGGGAGGGGTGCCCACCTTTGCCCAGGCTTGCTTAGGTAAACAAAGCAGCCAGGAAGCTCGAACTGGGTGGAGCCCACCACAGCTCAAGGAGCCCTGTGTGCCTCTGTAGGCTCCACATCTTGGAGCAGGGCACAGACAAACAAAAAGACAGCAGTAACCTCTGCAGACTTAAATGTCCCTGTCTGACAGCTTTGAAGAGAGCAGTGGTTCTCCCAGCATGCAGCTGGAGATCTGAGAATGGGCAGACTGCCTCCTCAAGTGGGTCCCTGAACCCTGATCCCCGAGCAGCATAACTGGGAGCCACACACCAGTAGGGGCACACAGACACCTCACACTGCAGGGTACTCCAACAGACCGGCAGCTGAGGGTCCTGTCTGTTAGAAGGAAAACTAACAAAGAGAAAGGACATCCACACCAAAAACCCATCTGTACATCACCATCATCAAAGACCAAAAGTAGATAAAACCACAAAGATGGGGAAAAAACAGAACAGTAAAACTGGAAACTCTAAAAAGCAGAGCAACTCTCCTCCTCCAAAGGAACGCAGCTCCTCACCAGCAACGGAACAAAGCTGGATGGAGAATGACTTCGATGAGCTGAGAGAAGAAGGCTTCAGATGATCAAAATACTCTCAGCTAAGGGAGAACATTCAAACGAAAGGCAAAGAAGTTGAAAACTTTGAAAAAATTTAGAAGAATGTGTAACTAGAATAACCAATACAGAGAAGTGCTCAAAGGAGCTGATGGAGCTGAAAACCAAGGCTCGAGAACTACGTGAAGAATGCAGAAGCCTCAGGAGCCTATGCGATCAACTGGAAGAAAGGGCATCAGCAATGGAAGATGAAATGAATGAAATGAAGCGAGAAGGGAAGTTTAGAGAAAAAAGAATAAAAAGAATTGATCAAAGCCTCCAAGAAATATCGGACTATGTGAAAAGACCAAATCTACGTCTGATTGGTGTACCTGAAAGTGACGGGGAGAATGGAACCAAGTTGGAAAACACTCTGCAGGATATTATCCAGGAGAACTTCCCCAATCTAGCAAGGCAGGCCAACGTTCAGATTCAGGAAATACAGAGAACGCCACAAAGATACTCCTCGAGGAGAGCAACTCCAAGACACATAATTGTCAGATTCACCAAAGTTGAAATGAAGGAAAAAATGTTAAGGGCAGCCGGAGAGAAAGGTCGGGTTACCCTCAAAGAGAAGCCCATCAGACTAACAGTGGATCTCTCGGCAGAAACCTTACAAGCCAGAAGAGAGTGGGGGCCAATTTTCAACATTCTTAAAGAAAAGAATTTTCAACCCAGAATTTCCTATCCAGCCAAATTAAGCTTCATAAGTGAAGGAGAAATAAAATCCTTTACAGACAAGCAAATGCTGAGAGATTTTGTCACCACCAGGCCTGCCCTAAAAGAGCTGCTGAAGGAAGCACTAAACATGGAAAGGAACAACCGGTACCAGCCGCTGCAAAATCATGCCAAAATGTAAAGACCATCGAGACTAGGAAGAAACTGCATCAACTAATGAGCAAAATAACCAGCTAACATCATAATGACAGGATCAAATTCACACATAACAATATTAACTTTAAATGTAAATGGACTAAATACTCCAATTAAAAGACACAGCCTGACAAATTGGATAAAGAGTCAAGACCCATCAGTGTGCTGTATTCATGAAACCCATCTCACATGCAGAGACACACATAGGCTCAAAATAAAAGGATGGAGGAAGATCTACCAAGCAAATGGAAAACAAAAAAAGGCAGGGGTTGCAATCCTAGTCTCTGACAAAACAGACTGTAAACCAACAAAGATCAAAAGAGACAAAGAAGGCCATTACATAATGGTAAAATGATCAATTCAACAAGAAGAGTTAACTATCCTAAATATATATGCACCCAATACAGGAGCGCCCAGATTCATAAAGCAAGTCCTGAGTGACCTACAAAGAGACTTAGACTCCCACACATTAATAATGGGAGACTTTAACACCCCACTGTCAACATTAGACAGATCAATGAGACAGAAAGTCAACAGGGATACTCAGGAATTGAACTCAGCTCTGCACCAAGTGTACCTAATAGACATCTACAGAACTCTCCACCGGAAATCAACAGAATATACATTTTTTTCAGCACCACACCACACCTATTCCAAAATTGACCACATAGTTGGAAGTAAAGCTCTCCTCAGCAAATGTAAAAGAACAGAAATTATAACAAACTATCTCTCAGACCACAGTGCAATCAAACTAGAACTCAGGATTAAGAATCTCACTCAAAACTGCTCAACTACATGGAAACTGAACAACCTCCTCCTGAATGACTACTGGGTACATAATGAAATGAAGGCAGAAATAAAGATGTTCTTTGAAACCAATGAGAACAAAGACACAACATACCAGAATCTCTGGGACACATTCAAAGCAGTGTGTAGAGGGAAATTTATAGCACTAAATGTCCACAGGAGAAAGCAGGAAAGATCAAAAATTGACACCATAACATCACAATTAAAAGAACTAGAAAAGCAAGAGCAAACACATTCAAAGCTAACAGAAGGCAAGAAATAACTAAAATCAGAGCAGAACTGAAGGAAATCGAGATACAAAAACCCTTCAAAAATTAATGAGTCCAGGAGCTGGTTTTTTGAAAGGATCAACAAAATTGATAGACCGCTAGCAAGACTAATAAAGAAAAAAAGAGAGAAGAATCAAATAGACGCAAGAAAAAATGATAAAGGGGATATCACCACCAATCCCACAGAAATACAAACTACCATCAGAGAATACTAAAAACACCTCTACGCAAATAAACTAGAAAATCTAGAAGAGATGGATAAATTCTTTGACACATACACTCTCCCAAGACTAAACCAGGAAGAAGTTGAATCTCTGAATAGACCAATAAAAGGATCTGAAATTGTGGCAATAATCAATAGCTTACCCACCAAAAAGAGTCCAGGACCAGATCAATTCACAGCCGAATTGTACCAGAGGTAAACGCAGGAACTGATATTATTCCTTCTGAAACTATTTCAATCAATAGAAAAAGAGGGAATCCTCCTTAACTCATTTTATGAGGCCAGCATCATTCTGATACCAAAGCCGGGCAGAGACACAACCAAAAAAGAGAATTTTAAACCAATATCCCTGATGAACATTGATGCAAAAATCCTCAATAAAATACTGGCAAACTGAATCCAGCAGCACATCAAAAAGCTTATCCACCATGATCAAGTGGGCTTCATCCCTGGGATGCAAGGCTGGTTCAATATACACAAATCAATAAATGTAATCCAGCAAATAAACAGATCCAAAGACAAAAACCACATGATTATCTCAATAGATGCAGAGAAAGCCTTTGACAAAATTCAACATCCCTTCATGCTAAAAACTCTCAATAAATTAGGTATTGATGGGACATATTTCAAAATAATAAGAGCTATCTATGACAAATCCACAGCCTATATCATATTGAATGGGCAAAAACTGGAAGCATTCCCTTTGAAAACTGGCACAAGACAGGGATGCCCTCTCTCACCACTCCTATTCAACATAGTGTTGGAAGTTCTGGCCAGGGCAATTAGGCAGGAGAAGGAAATAAAGGGTATTCAATTAGGAAAAGAGGAAGTCAAATTGTCCATGTTTGCAGATGACATGATTGTATATCTAGAAAACCCCATTGTCTCAGCCCAAAATCTCCTTCAGCTGATAAGCAACTTCAGCAAAGTCTCAGGATACAAAATCAATGTACAAAAATCACAAGCATTCTTATACACCAACAACAGACAAACAGAGAGCCAAATCATGAGTGAACTTCTATTCACAATTGTTTCAAAGAGAATAAAATACCTAGGAATCCAACTTACAAGGGAAGTGAAGGACCTCTTCAAGGAGAACTACAAACCACTGCTCAAGGAAATAAAAGAGGATACAAACAAATGGAAGAACATTCCATGCTCATGGGTAGGAAGAATCAATATCGTGAAAATGACCATACTGCCCAAGGTAATTTACACATTCAATGCCATCCCCATCAAGCTACCAAAGCCTTTCTTCACAGAATTGGAAAAAACTACTTTAAAGTTCATCTGGAACCAAAAAAGAGTGTGCATTGCCAAGTCAATCCTAAGCCAAAAGAACAAAGATGGAGGCATCACACTACCTGACTTCAAACTATACTACAAGGCTACAGTAACCAAAACAGCATGGTACTGGTACCAAAACAGAGATATAGATCAATGGAACAGAACAGAGCCCTCAGAAATAACACCGCATAGCTACAACTATCTGATCTTTGACAAACCTGACAAAAACAAGAAATGTGGAAAGGATTCCCTATTTAATAAATGGTGCTGGGAAAACTGGCTAGCCATGTGTAGAAAGCTGAAACTGAATCCCTTCCTTACACCTTATACAAAAATCAATTCAAGATGTATTAAAGACTTAAACGTTAGACCTAAAACCATAAAAACCCTAGAAGAAAACCTAGACATTACCATTCAGGACATAGGCATGGGGAAGGACTTCATGTCTAAAACACGAAAAGCAATGGCAACAAAAGACAAAATTGACAAATGGGATCTAATTAAACTAAAGAGCTCCTGCACAGCAAAAGAAACTACCATCAGAGTGAACAGGCAACCTACAAAATGGGAGAAAATTTTCGCAACCTACTCATCTGACAAAGGGCTAATATCCAGAATCTACAATGAACTCAAACAAATTTACAAGAAAAAAACAAACAACCCCATCCAAAAGTGGGCGAAGGACATGAACAGACACTTCTCAAAAGAAGACATTTATGCAGCCAAAAAACACATGAAAAGATGCTCATCATCACTGGCCATCAGAGAAATGCAAATCAAAACCACAATGAGATACCATCTCACACCAGTTAGAATGGCAATCATTAAAAAGTCAGGAAACAACAGGTGCTGGACAGGATGTGGAGAAATAGGAACACTTTTACACTGTTGGTGGGAATGTAAACTAGTTCAACCATTGTGGAAGTCAGTGTGGCGATTCCTCAGGGATCTAGAACTGGAAATACCATTTGACCCAGCCATCCCATTACTGGGTATATACCCAAATGACTATAAATCATGCTGCTATAAAGACACATGCACACGTATGTTTATTGTGGCATTATTCACAATAGCAAAGACTGGGAACCAACCCAAATGTCCAACAATGATAGACTGGATTAAGAAAATGTGGCACATATACACCATGGAATACTATGCAGCCATAAAAAATGATGAGTTCATGTCCTTTTTAGGACATGGATGAAATTGGAAATCATCATTCTCAGTAAACTATCGCAAGGACAAAAAACCAAACACCACATATTCTCACTCATAGGTGGGAATTGAACAATGAGATCACATGGACACAGGAAGGGGAACATCACATTCTGGGGACCGTTGTAGGGTGGGGGGAGGGGGAGGGATAGCATTGGGAGATATACTTAATGCTAGATAACGAGTTAGTGGGTGCAGCGCACCAGCATGACACATGTATACGTATGTAACTAACCTGCACAAAGTGCACATGTACCCTAAAACTTTAAGTATAATAATAAAAAAAAAACTAAAAATTGAAATTAAAAAAAAGGAAAATTTAAAGCAAAATCACAATCAGATACCATCTCACACCTGTCAGATGGCTGTTATTAAAATGTCATAAAATAGCAGATGCTGGCGAGGTTGCAGACAAAGGGGAGCACTTTAACACTGTTGTTTGGAGTGTAAATTAGTTCAAACAATGTGGAAATCAGTGTGGGGTTTCCTCAAACAATTAAAATCAGAACTACCATTCCACCCAGCAATCCCATTACTGGGTATATACCCACAAAATTATAAATCATTCTACCACAAAGACACATGCATGTGAATGTTCATTGTAGCACTATTTACAATAACAAGGATATGGAATCAGCCCAAATGCCCATCAATGACAGATTGGATAAAGACAATGTGTTACATATACACCATGGAATACTATGCAGCTATAAAAAGAATGAGATCATGTCTTTGCAAGAACACAGATGTAGCTGGAGGCCATTATCCTTAGCAAACTAACACAGAAACAGAAAATCAAATACCGAATGTTCTCACTTATAAGTGGGAGCTAAATGATGAGAACTCATAGACACACACAAAAGAGAGAACAACAGGCACTGGGGTCTACTTGAAGGTGGAGGCTGGAAGAAGGAAAAGGAGAAGAAAGAAACAACCGTTGGGCACTAGGCTTAGTACCTTAGTGACGTAGTAATCTGTACAAGAAAACACTGTGACGAGTTTATCTATAAAACAATCCTGCACTTGTACCCCTAAAACTAAAATAATTTTTTTTTTTGGGACAGAGTCTCGCACTCTCTCCCAGGCTGGAGTGCAGTGGCGCAATGTTGGCTCACTGCAAGCTCCGCCTCCCAGGTTCACACCATTCTCCTGCCTCAGCCTCCCAAGTAGCTGGGACTACAGGCACCTGCCACCACGCCCGGTTAGTTTTTTTTGTTTGTTTGTTTGTTTTTTTTTTTTTTGTATTTTTAGTAGAGACAGGGTTTCACCGTGTTAGCCAGGATGGTCTCCATCTCCTGACCTCGTGATCTGCCTGCCTCGGCCTCCCAAAGCGCTGCGATTACAGGCGTGAGCCACCCCGTCCGGCCTAAAATACATTTTTTTTTAAAAAAGATGCTTCCCATTTCCTATTCTTGGTCTCATAACATTGGTTTTGTTATGTTGGGCATATCATGATTGATGGTCCAAGAGATAAAATTATTCATATTGCAGTAATCCAGAGAAGTTCATCTATTACTTGGTTATGGGATAAGTTTCAAGTAAGTTATCTGGCATGGTATTATACCATTAAGTAAAATACAGATAGGCCATAAATTTACTATGTCAACTTATTTTGTTGTCATGAAATTAAATTATGGCCACCAGTTTTCAAAACTGGCTTATCTTTTTTCTTCATAAGGCGCCATGATAATTGGAATGTAACCAGACTAATGGAAATTACTCTTAGTAAGGTCTATAACTCGTGAGAGTTCTAATACGATGTCTGACAACAATGTCACAGGACTTAATTCACAAATGGAGGTGAATCCGGTCTCTGAACACATATCAGAATCTTCTAAACTCTTCAGCCAAAATGAAGGAAAGATGTATTTGTGTGTGTGTGTTTTTGTGTGTAGTTCAGGAGCTCCTCTAATATACCACAGTACCTCTCATGTAGTCCAATATCAAATTGTTCAGATAAGCTTTGGGCTAGACATAAAGATTGATCAAGTAACTACAGAAGTATTTTGTGCTGTTTCTCATAAGCTATGCTGAGCCCTATTTTGATGCTGTGGAAAGACCATTAATTTTGAAATCAAACAGATCTAGTTTTGAATCTCAGGCCCACTATGTTATATCTCTGTGATCATATGGAAGTGTCTTAATCCATTCAGATCTCAGATTTCATATTTTTAAATGGCAGTAATAACAGCCTCATGGAGTATTGGCCATGGAACAGAATGTTTCAGGGGCCAAAAGAATTTCTCTGAGAGTGTGATAAGCATTTGTAACCTCTAGAAAGCAATAAACACCAAAAAAAGAACAGAAAGGTTTAGGGAGGTCCTAGATAAACTAACCAGTAGTAATGTGCTGAACCAAAATAAAATAAATATTATTCCAGGGAATGGGAATATTTGAAAGCAAGTTGTATACAATATGGAATGATATTTCTCAAGGAAAGATATAGAAGGCCCTTGGCTTGAGTCATTTCACATTGAATCAAAGTAAAGCAAAGTAAAATCTATTTTGAGGAGCAATCTTTCCCTGGCTAGGAGACTAAGGAGATGAGCTAATAAAGGCTTTGCATCTGTCTTTTTTTCTAAGCTGGGAATGGAAAAGTCTTCTGGATGCACATCTTCCTGGAGTCTGACTCAGCTGGGGATAAAAAGAAGCAAAAGAAATGCATAGGGAGGAGAGAAAAAAGAAGGAATGCAAGACAGGAATAATAAACAAGAACCAGGAAAGAAAAGATAAGCAAAGTGAAGAGGAGAAGAAATGAGAAAAGAGTAGAGTGAAGCAGAAGGCAAAAAGAAAAAGAAGAAAGAATAGTAGCTGAGAAGGGGTTTAACCAAGGTGTCACTAGGCACAGTGCTGCTAATATCCACTGTTCACTCATGATACCTCCTCCCATTACAAAAGCCTTGTGACCTGGAACTTGACTTCAGAAAACAGCTAATAAATAAACAATCCCAAACCAAGAGATGATCAACAGAAATATCTTTTTAATCCTTCCCAGCAAAAGAAATGTCATTTTTTCTTCTGTTCTTCAAGAGGTAAACAAGTCTTGTTTCCTAGAAACAGTTGGGAATGTAAGGAGGAATATTATCTGTTCTTGCCAGCCCCTAAGTTTATTCCAGGGATCCAATTTCCTTTTTCCATCATACCGGTTCTTTAGACAACCAATTTGCAGATACAAAACTCCACACCCATCAGATATGTGCCAAAGTAGAGACATTTGTATTCCATCAGAGACCCGAGGCTTTGAACAATGCTCTCTGTCTTGAGGTGGCCCCACCTAAATACTTTTATACAAAAGAACAACTAATTTCTACAAGTTTTTTTTTAAGAAAAATACTGTAAACATCTGCATAGACACTCACTGTCTTACCTTGGCTTTTATATGTTTGATTCCTGGTTCTGCTGTACTCATTCCTCCTCTCCCAATATCTTTTATAGCTGTTACATTTCTACTCTAAACCCTTGTACCCTCAACTGTCTATAGCCTCCAGCCATCTCTCTCCAGCTTCTCATCACATGGCTCCAGTGGGAAAAGTAAATTATAAAGGAAATCATTAGTCAAGTAACCCTAGAAAGAATCACTCAGCAAACCATCTGCTTTTTTCTACCTTGAGGAATCTGTCCTTATTTAAACTCTATCAGAGATCAAATTGTACCAAGACATACAGTTAGATAGAAGAAATAAAACCTAGCATTTGATTAATCAGTAGGATGACTTTAGTTAACATTAATCTACTGTACATTTCAAAATGGCTAGAAGGGAATCATTTAAATGCTTTTAGCATAAAGAAAAGAGAGAGATGTTCAAGCTGATGGATGTATTAATCAGTTTTCACACTGCTAATAAAGACCTACCTGAGACTGGGAAATTTACTAAAGAAAGAGATTTAGTGGACTCACAGTTCCACATGGCTGGAGAGGCCTCACAGTCATGGCAGAAGGTGGAAAGAACATATTACATGGTGAGAGAAGAGAAGTTGCATGAAAGAACTTCTCTTTATAAAACCATCAGATCTCATGAGATTTATTCACTATCATGAGAACAGCATGGGAAAGACCCACCTCCATGATTTGATTACCTCCCACGGGGTCCCTTCCACAACACGTGGGAATTCAAGATGAGATTTGGGTGGGGACACAGCCAAGCTATATCAATGGACATCTCAATTACTCTGATTTGATATTATATTAATGTATTGTCACATTTACCGCAAAATATGTACATCTGTTATGTATGAATAAGAAATAATAAAAAAGCTAAAACCAACCAAACAAAATTGTACTCAGGCCAGTGAATATAATAACACCAACAACAATAATCCTGTATTTATTTTTTCTGAGATGGAGTCTCACACTGTCACCCAGGCTGGAGTGCAGAGACGTGATCTTGCCTCACTGCAACCTCTGCCTCCTGGGTTCACGTGAATTATTCTGCCTCAGCCTCCTTAGAGGCTGGGATTACAGGCACACACCACCACACCCGGCTAATTTTTTGTATTTTTAGTAGAGACGGGGTTTCATTATGTTGGTCAGACTGGTCTCAAACTCCTGACCTTGTGATCCGCCCACCTCGGCGTCCCAAAGTGCTGGGATTACAGGCATGAGCCACCGCACCTGGCCAATCCTGTATTTTTCTATGGCACTTTACAACTTACCAAACAGCTTTGTATTCACTATCATACGTAAAACTCAACAACTTTGTGATATTCTGATTCAAATACTCAATTTACACTTGAGGAAGCAATAAGAATAAGAATGTACAAACTGAAAAAAGATGTACAATTTGAGTTGTTGGAAACAATGACAAAAGTACTTGGGTCTTCAAGATAACAATCAGATGTTAATTCAGTGGACAGTGCAGTGGGGAACCAATCTTATAATCGGTGGTATATAAGTGTTCCCCTGCTTGGAATTTCAGACCCTGTGATTAGAATCTCCTTTCCACTAGCTTAACCACTAATCTGGAATTATTTACCCTTGGAATTTAGAAGGAACTTAAAGAATTTAATCCAACTCCTTGCCTGACCTCTGACCCTATCGATATTATTTCTATTAGATGGTATTTTGGCCTTTCCATATAAACTTTCAACAAAAACTCACTAATTCTTGAGACATCCTATGCTTCTAATACTTAGTAGTATCTTTCTATTAACTTGAAATATGTCCCTGTGTTACATCTACCTACCAACAACAGTATACCTTTTTATTCAGATTTTAAGTCACTCCTATTTCCCACAAGAACCCTTGAGATGCTAAGAACAGGGGCCAAGACTTTTCTGGAGGTCTTCTGACTACTCACCCCTATGTCTGTCTGCTCTTCCTTATGTGGCATAATTCAGAGTACTCCCATCATCCTGGTCAAAGCCCTGAAACCTCTCTATCCTCTTTTTCTTCCCCTAAAATGTGATGCCTAGCTTTTATAACCACACTCATTCTTTGCTATGAGAGGTAAGAAGCAGATTGGGCCTATTATCACCTTCTCCCTGGATTCTGAATTCCTGTCTATGCAGCCTCACCACAAGACTTACTCACACCAGCTCTGCTAATTAAGAATTGCTTTAGATCTTGAACTAGAAATACCATTTGACCCAGCCATCCCATTACTGGGTATATACCCAAAGGATTATAAATCATGCTGTTATAAAGACACATGCACAAGTATGTTTATTGTGGCACTATTCACAATAGCAAAGACTTGAAACCAACCCAAATGTCCAACAATGATAGACTGGAGTAAGAAAATATGGCACATATACACCATGGAATACTATGCAGCCATTAAAAATGATGAGTTCATGTCCTTTGTAGGGACATGGATGAAGCTGGAAACCATCATTCTCAGCAAACTATCTCAAGGACAAAATACCAAACACCGCATGTTCTCACTCATAGCTGGGAATTGAACAATGAGAACACATGGACACAGGAAGGGGAACATCACACTCTGGGGCCTGTTGTGGGGTGGGGGGAGGGGGGAGGGATAGCATTAGGAGATATACCTAATGTTAAATGATGAGTTGATGGGTGCAGCACAACAACATGGCACATGTATACATATGTAACTAACCTGCACATTGTGTACATGTACCCTAAAACTTAAAGTATAATAATAATAAAAAAGAATTGCTTTAGGAGATATGCATTTAATTCAGAAAGCATTTTATATCCACTGGGAAGGTGGCACTTTACTCAGCCTATTCATTTCTTTGCTCAAACCATTATCACCCTGAGCAAGACAATTCCCAGTACTATTAAGCTTTCATGAATTACAGAATAATTGAGCCAGAAGGGCTTTTAGAACCAAGAGGCTCGGGGAGGTGAAGTTGTATGCCGAAGGTCACACAGGGTGTTAGTAACTAAGCATAGTCTAGGACTCAGATTTTCTGAAGCCCAGGCAAGAGCTCCTTAGGGCCTTAGAGAGGTTATCCTCAGCTGCCTTTTCTACAGCCCTTGTCTTTCAGGTTATACCTTAGTAGTGGAAACACAGATCCCCAAAGCTGCCAAATACTTCTCCTGACCTCATACATTCCCCATATCTTAAAAACTACTGCCTGACTTCCTGAGGAGCCAAAACATGGAGAATCTCAATGTGTATTAACAAAGGGCCTAAGGAATCTCAGGGAAAACATAAGCTTGTGCCAGAACTGTGGCCACAAGGAAATCAAAAACTCTACAGGACACATAGTACTTGATTGGCTCTATTCTTTGTAGGTTGATGCCAGACCCAAGAGCTAAGGTAAGTATTTTCAGGAGAGGATGTCAATTATACTTTAGTATGGTAAGTACATTCAAGCCCTAGATCCTTCATGCTAAGCACAGACACTTACCAGACTATACCTTTCTTGAGAATAAGAAAACAAAACAAACTTATATACCATCATTTATAACACTGATCCTGGCCACTGCCTACTAAACAAATATCTGATTGTTATCTTGAAGACCCTGGCATTTTTGTCATTATTTCCCACAACACAAAAAGTACATCTTTTTTTTCAGTTTGTTCATTCTTGTCTCCCTCCTCAAGTATAAATTTAATATTTGAATCAGAATATCAGAAAGGTGTTGAGTTTCAACTATGATAATGAATACAAAGCTGTTTGGTAAGTTGTAGAGTAACATAGAAAAATACAGGATTATTATTGTTGGTGTAATTATATTCACTCACAAGAGTACAATTTTGTTTGTCTGAATCAAGAGGTATACAGTGATTTGGGTGGTAACCTTTGGCACTCAGGAGTGGTTTTCTCCAGCTCAAATTGTGGCAGATGGCAGAAGTCCAAAAGAGGTAAAGGTGTGGTTTCAAAAAGCAACGTGTCTGTCAATTTTTCTTCATATTCTTAGTGTTTCAAGTTCCAATAGAACAAGGGGAGTTTGGGGTGGGTGTGGGAGAAATGAGTGTGCAAGTTGGGTAAGGTGAAACTTCTGAGTAAAGATAGCAGATTGAACACACACACATCTAATTTCATTATCTCTTGAAACCTCAATAATATTGGAGAAATGTAATACTTTTGAAGGAAAAAAACCTACAAGCAGGGGAGGAATAAAAATAGAGAGAGAAGTCACTAAATTTTGTCAGCCAGAGTGCAGATGGATACATTACAACCAAATAAATATGCCTAAGAAAACACAATACAGGGGTATTAGAAATAGAGAAGAGCTGAGAACACATTTTATACTTACCCTCAAAAAGCTCAGGAATGGTGATATGACAATAGTTAAATCAAAAGTAAAGATTAAAGGGAGTCAGTTACAATAGGCTAAGTTTTACTGTAGTAACAAACAATCCCAGAATCTCAGGCTTAAAACAAAAAGATATATCTATTGCTCATACTAGTTATCTAATGTAAAACATACACAGTCAGGCTTATGGTGGATCCATATTAAAACATACTTCTGTGACTACCATAGTGGAGAAAAAATAACATGGAAAATCACACACTCACTTTTAAACCTTCTGCCTAGAAATGTCACTTGTCATCTGCTCACATTTAATAGTCAAAACAAGTCACATGGTGTACTTAACATCCAAAGGGAATGCAAAAGTGAAATCCTACCATATGCTTCTAATAAGAAAAACTGGATTATTGTTATATTGCCCTAATATCTACTATAAAGGAGGTTGAAATAAAAATTATTGGTTGAAGGATTTTTAGCAAGCAGGTTTGGATCCTAGATTCTTCCCTCCTGCACCCCCAGATCCATGTTGCTGGGCTACCTTATTTTTCCACCTTGGCAGAAATCTAAGCATTTATTTACTGGAGAAGGTAAAGCAAAAAGTAACTTGACTGAAGGAAAACAGGCATCGTTAAGGACAGGAACGTTGAAGCCATCTGAGACTACCTCCTTCAAGTCTTCTTCCTTTTCTGGGTTCCCAGAAAGCTAGCACATAGGCCTATGCCTTTCAGCTGGGAAGCTGGAAATGTAATGTGGGTGCCATCTGACCATCTTTAAAAGAAAGATATAATCATACTAACAGCTTAAAATGAAGTCCACAGTCAATAAGTTCTTAATGAAAACTCAGAGATTCTTAGCTTAAAGGCAAGAGCAGTCAACTAAAAACTGTAAGACAACCAAGGAGACTAATGGAAAATGCAATTTAAAGCAAACAGAGATTATGTAGGGAGAATTATGAACAGATAAGAACAGGATATTAAAAAAATGGAATATTCAGAGAACAAAAAAGACTCTTGGAACTTAAAAACAGTAAAAATTTTAAAACTTGATACAAATTTTTGAAGATGGTTGAAGAAATCTCCCAGGAAATGGAAGAAAACAACAGAAAATAGGATACAGGAGAGAAAAGATGGGCAAAATTAAAGAAAAATTCAGAAGATACAACATTCTTATAATAGGAGTTACAGAGGAAAAAAACTGTGAAAATGAAAACAGAGAAATGATTCAATTATCAAAAAAACTTAAAAAAAAACTCAGGACTAAAACGTGTAAGTTTCTAGACTGAGAAAGCCTACAGAGTGCCTAGGAAAATGGACAAAAATAGATCCACACCAAGTAATGTTCTTATAGGACTTCAGAGTGCTTACAGCAAAGAAAATATATAAAAGCTTCCAGAAAGATATAAACAGGTTATATATTTAAAAATCACTAATTAGAATGTGTTCAATCTGCTATCTTTACTCAGAAGTTTCACCTTACCCAACTTGCACACTCATTTCTCCCACACCCAACCCAAACTCCCCTTGTTCTATTGGAACTTGAAACACTAAGAATATGAAGAAAAATTGACAGGCACGTTGCTTTTTGAACCCACACGCTTACCTCTTTTGGACTTCTGCAATCTGCCACAATTTGAGCTGGAGAAAACCACTCATGAGTGCCAAATTATTAGATTTCTCAATAAGCAAGAAGTTTACTGAGCAAGCAAGCTAGACAACAATGAGGCAATATTTTCCAAATCTGAAGAAAATTTATTTCTGACATTGAATTTTATGACCAGTCAAATTTTAGTTTGGAATGAAAATATTTTCATACATCTGACTTGCTATGCATTGAATTGTGTCTCCCTAAAATTCACCTGTTGAAGTCCTGAATCCCAGTATCTTAGGACATGACCTTATTTGGAAGTAGGGTTGTTGCAGCTGTAGTTAGTTAAAATGAGGTCATACTGAAGTAGGGTGGACCCTTAATCTAATATGACTGGGATCCTTATTAAAAGGGAAAATTTATATAGACACACACATATTGAGACTGCCATGCAAAGATAAAAGTAGAGACTGGAATGGTGTGTCTACAAGCCAAGGAATGCAAAGGATTTTAAGCAACCCACCAGAAGATAGAAGAGAGATATCAAACAGTTTCTCCATCACAACCCTCAGAAGGAACAAAACCTGCCAACCCCTTGATTTTGAACTCCTAGCCTCTATAACTGTGAGACAATAATGTATGTTGTTTAAGCCACTCAGTTTGTGGTACTTTATTATGGCAGCCCTAGCAAACTCATACATGAAGTTTTAAAAACTTCACCTACTGTGTACCATTTTTCACGTAGAAACTAGAAGTTGTACTCTACCAAAATTAGGTAGTAAATAATAAAATAGAAAAGCATAGGATGCAGGAAACTAGAATCTAATGCATGAAAGAGTCAGAAGGAATCCCCAGGAAAATGGTAAAGGGAGATCTTTGCTTTGCACTGAGTATTGAAGGCAACCAATTTAGACTGGCACAATGTGGTTCAGAACAGACATTAACAAGATTCCTGCTGGGATGATATTATTTATTTTTATAATCTGAGGACAAAATTCATTGGAGGGTCTGGCTCAGATTCTTCTGAGGTACTTGGTTTTCCTAGATCATGTGTTGATGAAGTTCCTATTTTCCCTTTTATGTTCTATAAATCAACTAAGGATGGTGGCAGAGAATGCTCACCCTGCCTCCACACATTGTACTGTGATGTGTTTAAAATAAAATTTTATCGTGATAAACTATCAAAATTTTGTTTATTGCAGTCACTGGTCTACCCTGACTAATGCATCTCAAGTAAAGTGTTTTGCTTTGATCTGCTCCTGAGAGAGGTAGATTGACCATGGTGGTTTTAGACTGAAAAAAATATAGATTAGCCCACCCCTCCATCATATTTGTCAGATGTCCAGTACCAGACCCACATTACTGCTCTGGCATATATCCTCACTTCGATGAGCCTGTTTCCTGGGACTCACTCAAAACTTTGCCTAGAAAGAATTTATAAATTCTTGGAGAAACTGAAGCCAGACTTTGAAACTTGAAGACTCTTTTCAGCCTTCATCTGCGGCAGCACTGTTCTTTCCTTCCATGATAGGGGCTGTGCTAGCTCTCAGTTTTTGTATTGATTATCTTTAGCATTCTTATATTTACATATTTGTTCAGAAATACAACATTTGAAATAAATAGAATAATAATGGGAGAAGCAAATCAAGAAGGCTTTAGATGTCCGATGATATGGGTAATGTAATGAAGAGTTTTTTATTTTCTCCAAAACTTTTTTTTAGGCTTTTGTGGACTATTTCACTCTCCATTTCTGACATTTCAGACTTTATTGATGATACCAGTTCACACTGCCAAATTTAACACATGTAAAAAAATGTAAAAGTAGTATAGTTTACCCTCTGTGTTTTACTGGTACACAAATTGAGAAGTGTATTGTGCAAATCCACATAGACATTAAATGACTGAGCTGGAATTTGAGATCAGTCTGTAAACATGTCTTTTAAATCATTATACTTTACTGTGTCCTCAGACTTAATGTCTAGAAAGGTGGATCTTCATGAAAAAATAGTCTATATAATCTAGAGAGAAAATGAGTATTTGAGATGGGGTGAAGGTTTGAGGGAAAAAAATAAATGTACAATGAAGTTTTAAATGGCATTGATAGAAAAGCATTCAGAAGGACTAAACTAGCATATCTGTAATTTTGTCAGAATCTTAAACTTTTCTCAATGCCCATATTTGCTATTTTTGTTTCCTTCATCTATTTGTCAATGGTTAATATACCTAAAACACAAAGAAATCAGTGAGCTTATTTGAAGGAATAATAGGAAGGAAGATAGGAGTTTAATAAATAATGGCCTACTTTTCAGGCAAGTATGATATGAAGAAATGAAGAGACTTTCCCAAAATATGTAGATGGCCCGTGACTTACAGTGATTTGATTTATGATTTTTTTTTACTTTACAATAGTATGAAAGTGATACACATTCAGTAGAAACTGTACTTTGAGTACTCATACAACCATTCTGTTTCTTACTTTCAGCAGAGTATTCAATAAATTATATGAGATATTTAACACTCTATTTCAAAATACATTTTGTTTTGGATGATTTTCTCCAAGTGTAGGCTAATGTAAGTGTTCTGAGTACATTTAAGATAGGCTAGGCTAAGCTATGATATTTGATCGGTTTGGTTTAGCAAATGATTTTTTGACATAATACTTTTAGCTTACAATGGGCATATACAATGGGTTTAGCAGGACATAAACCCATTATATGTCAAGGAGAACCTGTACTTAGTAATAGAAGCTCTGAATATATATCAGCTATGATCTAGGAGTGATGGGTTCTGCACCAATTAAAAGCACAGGAAGACTGAGTTAGAGCTGGAACTGAGAAGTGGACCAGGGACTGAAGTGATTTGGTATTCATTTGCATGTTGGAATGCTCTGATGCATTCTGGGCCATTATTTAAGTGATATTTGGAGTCCCATGGTTACTCTTCTAGGTTAAACTCATCCCAGGTGTCACAATTGGCTATGGCACTAGTGGCATCCTATACTTCCTTTAATAGCTATTCTTCCATCTCTGTCTGAGATGGTTATCTGGCTATGGCTAAATGATTGGAAATTCATGACCTGGACATTGAAGAGTGATGGAAGACCAGGTGGATCATTATAACTGGTGGAGTTGGAGACAGAATGGTAACTTTTTGACAACTTTTAGGGTATTAAATCAGGGGGAAAAAATCCCAAGCAAACTCCCTCAGCTCTCCTAGAATGGATTGAATTTTCTGATTAGCTATGCCAGCCCCAGGTGCCAAGCACCTGGTAGCTGATAAAAACATGCCTCTAAGAATTGTGGGTTCAGTTCCAGACCAAAGCAATAAAGCAAATAAAGCAATACAATGTCATACAATATTTTCCTTTTATTTTTAGTTGACATCTAACAACAGTGCCTATTTATGGGATACAGAGTGAGATTTTGATACATGTGTAATATATAATGTGTAAGGATCAAATCAGGATAATTAGCATATCCATCACCTTGAATATTTATCATTTCTTTCTGTTGTGAACATTGAAAATACCCTCTTCTAGCTTTATGAAAACATACACTAAATTTTGGTTAACTATATTTACCTCACAGTGCTACAGAACATTACAACTTATTCTTCCCATTTAGCAGTAACTTTGTATATGTTAATCAACCTCTCCCTATCCTTTCCTTTCTCGATTATTTCTAGGCTCTAAGAACAATTCTCCTCTCTACTATGAGCTCAATACTTTTTAGCTTCCACATATGAGTGAGAATATGTGGTATTTATAATTCTTTTTTTTAACTTTTATTTTAAGTTCAGGGATACAAGTGCAGGTTTGTTATACAGGTAAACTTGTGTCATGGGGGTTTGTTATACAGATTATTTCATTACCTAGGTATTAAGCCTAGTACCCATTAGTTATTCTTTCTGATTATCTCCCTCCTCTCACCCTCCAACTTCCAAAAGCTTCCAGTGTGTATTGTTCTCCCTTATGTGCCCATGTGTTCTCACCATTTAGTTCCCACTTATAAGTGAGAACATGCAGTATTTGGTTTTCTCTTCCTGTGTTAGTTTGCTGAGGATAATGTCCTCCAGTTCCACCCATGTCCCTGCAAAGGAATTGATCTTTTTCTTTTTTGGCTGCATAATATTCCATGGTGTATACGTACCACTTTTTTTTTAATCTAGTCCATCATTGATAGGCATTTATAATTATCATTTAACATAATGTCTTACAGATTTATGTATGTTGCTCTGAATGACAGGATTTTATCCTTTTTATGGGTGAATAATATTTCATTGTGTATACATACCATGTTTTCTTTATCAATTCATCATTTAATAGATATATATTGAGCCTATATCTTGCCTATTGTGAATAAACTGCAATAAGCATATACTGATTTCCTTTCCTTTGAATAAATACCCAGCAGTGGAATTGCTGGGCTGTAAGGTACTTATATTTTAGTTTTTTGAAAAACTTCTATACTATTTTTCACAATAGCTGGATTAAGTCACATTCTCACTGATACAGTTTGGATGTTTATCCCCTCCAAATCTCATGTTAAAATGTGATCCCCAATGTTGGAGATGTGGTCTGGCAGGGGGTGATTTTGTCTTGGGGGTGTATCCCTCATGAATGCCTTGGTGCTGTCCTCATGCTAATGAGTGGGTTCTCACTCTATCAGTTGACATGACAGCTGGTTGTTTAAAGGAGGCTGGCATGGCCGGGCGCGGTGGCTCACGCTTGTAATCCCAGCACTTTGGGAGGCTCAGGGGGGAAGATCACGAGGTCAGGAGATCCAGACCATCTGGGCCAACATGGTGAAACCCCATCTCTACTAAAATACAAAAAAAATTAGCTGGGCGTGGTGGTGCATGCCTGTAGTCCCAGCCACTTGGGAGGCTGAGGCAGGAGAATTGCTTGAACCCGGGAGGTGGAGATTGCAGTGAAATGGGATCATGCCACTGCACTGCAGCCTGGCGACAGAGAGAGACTCCATCTCAAAAAAAAAAAAAGGCTGGCATTTGTCTTGCTCCCTTTTTCACCGTGTGGCATGCTGGCTCCCTGTCCACCTTCTTCTATGACTAAAAGCTCCCTGAGGTCTCACCAGAAGCTTCATATGCTGGTTCCATGCTTGTACAACCTGCAGAACTATAAGCCAAATGATTTTCTTTATAAGTTATCCAGTCTCAGGTATGCCTTCATAGCAACCCATAATTGTCTAATACAACCACAAACAGTGTATGAGTTTTCTTTTTTATGCATCTTCCCCAGCATTTGTAAGTTTTTGTGCTTTTGATAATAGTCATTCTAAGTCGGATGAGATGACATGTCATTGTAGTTTTGATTTGCATTTTCCTGATGATTAGTGATGTTGATCATTTTACATACATTTGGCCATTTGTTTATATTTTTAAGAAAAAATGTATATTCAGATATTTTGGCCATTGTTTATGTTTTAGCTGTTCAGTTGTTTGAGTTTTTTGTATAGCTTGGCTATTAGGTCCCTGTTGGATGAATAGTTTGCAAATATCTTCTCCCATTTTACAGGTTGTCTCTTCACTCTGTTTATTGTTTTCTTTGCTGTACAGAAGGTTTTTATTTTGATATAGTCTCATTTACATATTTTTGTTTTTGTTGCCTGTGTTTTTGAAAACTTACCCATAAAATATTTGCCTAGACCAACATCAAGAAGCCTTTCTTCAAAGGTTTCTTCTAGTAGTTGTATAGTTTTGGGTTTTACGTTTTAGTCTTTTATCTATTTTAAGTTGATTTTGGTAGGAGACAATGATCTAGTTGCATTATTGTGCATATGAATATCCAGTTTTCCTAGCACCATTTATTGAAGAGGGTATTCTTTCCCCAATGTATGTTCTTGGCACCTTTGTTGAAAATGAGCTGGCCATAAATGTGTGGATTAATTTCTGGGTTCTCTATTCTTTTCCATTGAACTATGTGTCTGCTTTTATATCAATACCATGCTATTTGCTTACTATTGTGTAGTAAGATATTATGAAGTGAGATAGTGTGATGCATCTAGCTTTTTTTCTTTTTGCTTAACATTGCTTTGGCTATTTGGGGTCTTTCCTGGTTCCATACAAATTTTAGAATGG